>NC_000023.11:73371632-73674663 GCF_000001405.40 Homo sapiens | reverse complement strand
CAAAATTGATAGACCGCTAGAAAGACTAATAAAAAAGAAAAGAGAGAAGAATCAAACAGATGCAATAAAAAATGATAAAGGGGATATCACCACCGATCCCACAGAAACACAAACTACCATCAGAGAATACTATAAACAGCTCTACACAAATAAACTAGAAAATCTAGAAGAAAGGGATAAATTCCTGGACACATACACCCTCCCAAGACTAAACCAGGAAGAAGTTGAATCTCTGAATAGACAAATAACAGGATCTGACATTGAGGCAATAATCAATAGCTTACCAACCAAAAAAAGTCCAGGACCAGATGGATTCACAGCTGAATTCTACCAGAGGTAGAAAGAGGAGCTGGTACCATTCCTTCTGAAACTATTCCAATCAATAGAAAAAGAGGGAATCTGCCCTAAGTCATTTTATGAGGCCAGCATCATCCTGATACCAAAGCCTGGCAGAGACACAACCAAAAAAGAGAATTTTAGAACATCGATGCAAAAATCCTCAGTAAAATACTGGCAAACCGAATCCAGCAGCACATCAAAAAGCTTATCCACCATGATCAAGTCGGCTTCTTCCCTGGGATGCAAGGCTGGTTCAACATATGCAAATCAATAAATGTAATCCAGCATATAAACAGAACAAAAGACAAAAACTACATGATTATCGCAATAGATGCAGAAAAGGCCTTTGACAAAATTCAACAACCCTTCATGCTAAAAACTCTCAATAAATTAGGTATTGATGGGACATATCTCAAAACAGTAAGAGCTATCTATGACAAACCCACAACCAAAATCATACTGAATGGGCAAAAACTGGAAGCATTCCCTTTGAAAATGGGCAGAAGACAGGGATGCCCTCTCTCACTATTCCTATTCAACATAGTGTTGGAAGTTCTGGCCAGGGCAATTAGTCAGGAGAAGGAAATAAAGGGTATTCAATTAGGAAAAGAGGAAGTCAAATTGTCCCTGTTTGCAGATGACATGATTGTATATCTAGAAAACCACATCGTCTCAGCCCAAAATCTCCTCAAGCTGATAAGCAACTTCAGCAAAATCTCAGGATACAAAATCAATGTACAAAAATCACAAGCATTCTTATACAACAATAATAGACAAACAGAGAGCCAAATCATGAGTAAACTCCCATTCACAATTGCTTCAAAGAGAATAAAATACCTAGGAATCCAACTTACAAGGGAAGTGAAGGACCTCTTCAAGGAGACCTATAAACCACTGCTCAATGAAATAAAAGAGGAAACAAACAAATGGAAGAACATTCCATGCTCATGGGTAGGAAGAATCAGTATCGTGAAAATGGCCATACTGCCCAAGGTAATTTATAGATTCAATGCCATCCCCATCAAGTTACCAAGGACTTTCTTCACAGAATTGGAAAAAACTACTTTAAAGTTCATATGGAACCAAAAAAGAGCCCGCATCGCCAAGTCAATCCTAAGCCAAAAGAACAAAGCTGGAGGCATCATGCTACCTGACTTCAAACTATACTACAAGGCTACAGTAACCAAAACAGCATGGTACTGGTAACAAAACAGATATAGATCAATGGAACAGAACAGAGCCCTCAGAAATAATGCCGCACATCTCCAACTATCTGAGAAAAACAAACAATGGGGAAAGGATTTCCTATTTAATAAATGGTGCTGGGAAAACTGGCTAGCCATATGTAGAAAGCTGAAACTGGATGCCTTCCTTACACCTTATACAAAAATTAATTCAAGATGGATTAAAGACTTACATGTTAGACCTAAAACCATAGAAACCCTAGAAGAAAACCTAGGGAATACCATTCAGGACATAGGCATGGGCAAGGACTTCATGTCTAAAACACCAAAAGCAATGGCAACAAAAGCCAAAATTGACAAATGGGATCTAATTAAACTAAAGAGCTTCTGCACAGCAAAAGAAACTACAATCAGAGTGAACAGGCAACCTACAGAATGGGAGAAAATTTTTGCAACCTACTCATCTGACAAAGGGCTAATATCCAGAATCTACATTGAACTCAAACAAATTTACAAGAAAAAACAAACCACATCAAAAAGTGGGCGAAGGACATGAACAGACACTTCTCAAAAGAAGACATTTATGCAGCCAAAAAACACTTGAAAAAATGCTCATCATCACTGGCCATCAGAGAAATGCAAATCAAAACCACAATGAGATGCTATCTCACACCAGTTAGAATGGTGATCATTAAAAAGTCAGGAAACAACAGGTGCTGGAGAGGATGTGGAGAAATAGGAACACTTTTACACTGTTGGTGGGACTGTAAACTAGTTCAACCATTGTGGAAGTCAGTGTGGCGATTCCTCAGGGATCTAGAACTAGAAATACCATTTGACCCAGCCTTCCCATTACTGGGTATATACCCAAAGGATTATAAATCATGCTGCTATAAAGACACATGCACACGTATGTTTATAGTGGCACTATTCACAATAGCAAAGACTTGGAACCAACCCAAATGTCCAACAACAATAGACTGGATTAAGAAAATGTGGCACATATACACCATGGAATACTATGCAGCCATAAAAAATGATGAGTTCATGTCCTATGTAGGGACATGGATGAACCAGAAACCATCATTCTCAGCAAACTATCGCAAGGAGAAAAAACCAAACACCGCATGTTCTCACTCATAGGTGGGAACTGAACAATGAGAACACATGGACATAGGAAGGGGAACATCACACACCGGGGACTGTTGTGGGGTGTGGGAGCGGGGAGGGATAGCATTAGGAGATATACCTAAAGGTAAATGATGAGTTAATGGGTGCAGCACACCAACATGGCACATGTATACATATGTAACAAACCTGCATGTTGTGCACATGTACCATAAAACTTAAAGTACAATAATAATAAAATTAAAAAAAAAAGAACAAGCACAAAAAAATAAAAATAAATAAATACTAATAGAAAAAGGAAACTGAGATATAAGATAACAAACAAGATTTAAAACTCAGGAAAGCAATTAAAAATCTAGATGAGAAATCCAACAAAGATATCATTAAAAAGAACAAAACAGAAATTCTAGAACTGAAGAATTCAATGAATGACGTTAAAGATACAATAGAGAGCTTCAACAATAGACTAGATAAGCAAAATACAATTTCTGAACTTGAAGACAAATCTTTTGAAATAACCTAGGCAGGAAAAACAAGATAAAAGGAAAAAGAATAAAGAAAGCCTTTGTGACACCATCAAGCAAACAAATTTTTGACGTGTGGGAGTTCTAGAAGAGAAGAGATGGATAAAAATCGTATTCAATGAAATAATAACTGAAAACTTCCCAAGTCTTGGGAGAGATATAGACATCCAAATACAGAAAGCTCAAAGACTCCAAAAGAGATTCAACTGAAAAGGTCGTCTTCAAGGCACATCATAGTCAAACTGTCAAAGTCAGAATCAGAATTCTAAAAACAGCAAGAGAAATGCAGCAAGTCACATATAAGGGAATTCACATCAACTAACAGGAGATTTCTCAGCAGAAACCTTGCAGGCCAGGAGAGACTAGGCAGATCATCTGAACAGAGAAACATCATGAGACTTAAACTGCACTATAAAACTGCACTTAAAAAACAAACATCAGACTTAAACTGCACTATAGACCAAATAGACCTAATAGACATTTACAAAACATTTCATCCAACAATTGCAGGATACACATTCTTCTCATCAGCACATGGAACATTTTCCATGACAAAAAACATGTTAAGTAAAAAACTGTCTCAAATGTAAGAAAATCAAAATCATATCAAGTATCTTCTCAGACCACCACAGAATAAAACCAGAAATCAATAACAGGAGGAAATTTGGAAACTGTACCAATACATGGAAATTAAATAATGTGCTCCTGAAAGACCACTAGGTCAATAAAGAAATTAAGGAGAAAATAAAGTTTCCAAAAACAAATAAAAAGGAAAAACATACCAAAACCTGTAAGATACAGCAAAAGCAATACTAAGAAGTTTATAGCAATAAATGCCTACATCAAAACAGTAGATTTGAAAGAAAGAATATGAGATAGAAAGAAATATAAGAATAGAAGAAAGAATATAATGATGCACCTCAAGGAACTAGAAAAGCAAGAACCAACCAAACCTAAAATTAGTCTACTAATTTTAGTAGAAAAAATAATATAGATCAAAGCAGAAAAAAATAGAGACTAAAAAATATGAAAGATAAATGAAAGAAAAAGTTGGTTCTTAAAAAGATAAAGTAGACAAACCATCAGCTAGACTAAGAGAAAAAGAGAAAAGCCAAATAAAGGGGAGGGCCAAGATGGCCGATTAGAAGCAGCTGTGGTCCACCACTCTCAAGGAGAGGAATGAAAGGGGTGAGTGAATATAGCACCTTCAACCGAAATATCTAGGTTCTCACGTTGGGACTGATTAGAGAAATAACTCGACACACAGAGAACAAAAGCAGGGTGGGGCAATGGCCCACCTGGGAGTGACATGGAGCCAAGAGAAACCCCACCCCCAGCCAAAGGAAACAGTGAGTGACTGTGTGACCCTGGGAAACCATGCTTCTCTCACGGCTCTTTGCAACCCACAGGTCAGGAGATCTCCTTGTGAGCCCATGCCACCAGAGTCTTGGGTCCGACACAGAGCTGTATGGAGTCTTGCAGAGTGGCTGCTCTGGCATGCACAAAGACCCAAGAGCTTTGCATACTCTGACCCGGAGATCCCCAATGAATGTGTCTGCAACTCAGGCAAGACAGGAGGTCTGCATATATGCCTAGGAAGGGGGTAGAGTCCAGGGAGCTGAGCAGCATGTTCTGCAGGCCCCATTTCCACCTCACTTCACAAGATAATAACCACTGGCTTGGAATCCTAGTCAGCCTCAGGCAACAGGGAGAGGGATAGGTGCCATCTCTGCCATTTGGTCGACTCAGCTGTTCTAGCCTGTGGGCTTTGTAGAGTCCAAATGGTCTGGAGGAGAAAGGGGCTCCCCAGCAACGCAGCACAGTGGCTTGGCCAGATTGTCACCAGACTGCTTCTTTAAGTGGGACCAAATCCATTCTTCCACACTGGGCAGGACCTCCCAGGCGGATCCTCCAGCCACGCCTGCAGGCAACTATTAGGGATAGAGCTCTGATCTCTCCCTGAGACATAGTGTGGTGGGGGGTGGGCAGGGGGTGGAGGAGGAGGGTCACCACCTGGGTTGATTGGACAGCTCAGCAGTTCCACCATGTGGGCTTAGAGAGTCCAAACAATTCAGATGAGGAAGGGTCCCCCTGAGTAATGCAACATAGTGGCTTTGCCAGATTGTAGCCAGACTGCTTCTTTAAGCAGGGCACTGATCCATTCCTCCTCACTGGGCAGAACCTCCCAGCAGGACCTTTCAGCCATGCCTGCTGGAACCTATTAGGGACAGAGCTCTGATCTCTCCCTGGGATGGAGTGCCTGGGAGAGAGGAAAGCCACCACTTGGGTTGGTTGGTCACTCAGCTGTTCCAGCCTGCTAGCTTTGGACAGTCCAAGCACACAGGGGCAGACGTGATTCCCCACTATGACACAGCTGTTCTGTTAAGGCATGACCAGACTGCTTCTTTAAGTGGGACCCTGATCCACTCCTCCTCCTGAGGTGCGTCCTCCCAGCTGGAACTTCTGGCCACCCCTCCCCACCTCTCCCTGGGATGGAATGCCTGAGGGGCGAGGCAGGCTGCCAACTTGGCTGTTTGGGCTTATCAGCTGGTCTAGCCTGTGGGCCTTGAAAAGCCCAAACTGATCGGGGGCTGAAGGGATCACCAACACAGCACAGCTGCTCTGCCAAAATGCAGCCAGAATGCTTAAGTTGGTGCCTGATCTTGTTCCTCCTGACTGGGAGAGACCACCAAACGGGTCTCCAGTCACCTCCTACAGACATGTTCAGGCTGGCAAAAGGTCAGTACTGCCCTGGAATGGAGCTTCCAGAGGAATAGGCTGACTGCCATCTTTTCTGTTTTGCAGTATTCACTAGTGATACCTCCAGGTATGAGAAAACTGAGGCAACTAGGGTCTAGAGCGGACCCCCAGCAAACTGCAGCAGCCCTATGGAACAGAGGCCAGACTGTCAGAAGAAAAACAGAGAGAAAACAACAATAAAAAAACACAAAAACCCCATCCAAATGTCAGCAACCTCAAAAATCAAAGGTAGATAATCCCACAAGGATGAGAAAGAACAAAAAAATGCTAAAAACTAAAAAATCCAGAGTGCCCCTGTTCCTCCAAATGACCACAACACTTCTCCAGCAAGGGCTCAGAACTGGGCTGAGGCTGACATAGCTGAAATGACAGAAGTAGGCTTCAGAAGGTGGGTAATAATGAAATTTGCTGAGCTAAAGGAGCATGTTGTAACCCAATGCCAAGAAGCTAAGAATCATGATAAAACAATACAGGAGCTGACAGCCAAAATAGCCAGTTTAGAGAGGAAAATAACTGACATGTTAGACCTGAAAAATATACAAGAACTTCACAACAGAATCACAAGTATTAATGGCAAAGTAGACCAAACAAAGGAAAGAATGTCACAGCTGGAAGACTATCTTTCTGAAATAAGCCAGGCAGACAACAATACAGATAAAAGAATGAAAAGGAATGAACAAAACCTCTGAGAAATATGGAATTATGTAAAGCGACCAAATCTATGACTGATTGGGGTACCTGAAAGAAACTGGGAGAATGGAACCAAGTTGGAAAACATACTTGAGGATATCATCCAAGAGCACTTCCCCAAACTAGCTAGACAGGCTAACATTCAAATTCAAGAAATGCAGAGAAACCCAGTAAGACACTCCACGAGATCATCCCCAATGCATGATCATCAGATTCTCCAAGGTTGAAATGAGAGAAAAAATGTTAAGGGTAGCCAGAGAGAAAGGCCAAGTCACATACAAGGGGAAGACTAAGAGCAGTCTTCCATGAGACTAAGAGCAGACCTCTCAGTGAAAAACCTTACAAGCCAGAAGAAATCAGGGGCCAATATTCAACATTCTTAAAGAAAAGAATTTCCAACCCCCAAATTCATGTCCGGCCAAACTAAGCTTCATAAGCAAAAGAGAAATAAAATCCTTTTCAGACAAGCAGATGCTGAGGGAATTTGTTACCTCCAGACTTCCCCTGCAAGAGCTCCTGAAGAAAGCACTAAATATGGAAAGGAAAAACTGTCATCAGCCACTACAAAAACATACTTAAGTACATAGACCAGTGACACAATGAAGCAATCACATAAACAAGTTTGCAAAATAATCAGCTAACATCATGATGAAAAAAATCAAATCCATACATAATAACACTAACCTTAAATGTAAATGGCTAAATGCCCCAATTAAAGGACACAGAATGACAAGCTGGATAAAGAACAAAGACATATTGGTATGGTGTCTTCAAAAGACCCATCCTACATGCAAAGACAAAAATATGCTAAAAATAAAGGGATGGAAGAAAATTTACCAAGCAAATGAAAAGCAGAAAAAAGCAGGGGTTGCTATCCTAGTTTCTGAAAAAACAGATTTTAAACCAACAAAGATCAAAAAAGACAAAGGAGGGCATTACATAATGGTAAAGGGTTCAATTCAACAAGAAGAGCTAACTACCTAAATATATATGCAACCAATACACTAGCACCCATATTCATAAAGCAAGTTTTTAGAGACTTTCAAAATGCTTAGACTCCCACACAATAATAGTGAAAGACTTTAACACCCCACTGGCACTATTAGACAGATCATTGAGATAGAAGATTAACAGATATTCAGGACTTAAACTCACCTCTGGATCAAGTGTACCTGATAGATATCTAAGAACTTTCCACCCCCAAAACAACAGAATATACATTTTTCTCATCGCCACATGGTATTTACTCTAAAATTGATCACATAATTGGAAGTAAAACACTCCTCAGCAAATGCAAAGAACAGAAATCATAATAGTCTCTCAGAGCACAGAACAATCAAATTAGAACACAAGATTAAGAAATTCACTCAAAACCACTGTGAGGGTTATTACTGAGTGTCAACTTCGTTGGACTGAAGGATACAAAGTATTGATCCTGGGTGTGACTGTGATGGTGTTGCCAAAAGAGGTTAACATTTGAGTCAGTGGGCTGGGGAAGGCAGATCCACCCTTAATCTGGTGGGCACAATCTAATCAGCTGCCAATAAATATAAAGCAGGCAGAAAAATGTGAAAAGGAGAGACTGGCCTAGCCTCCCAGCCTACATCTTTCTCCCATGCTGGATGCTTCCTACCCTTGAACATTGGACTCCAAGTTCTTCTGTTTTGGGACTTGGACGGTCTTTCCTTCCTCCTCAGCTTGCAGACAGCCTATTGTGGGACCTTGTGATTGTGTAAGTTAATACATAATAAACTCCCCAATACAATCACACAACTGCATTGAAACTGAACAATGTACTCCTAAATGACTCTTGGGTACATAAAGAAATTAAGGCAGATGTAGGAGATTGGTTATGGTGGTGGGAGAAATTATAGGAAAAATGCAAACCTTCTTGGAAGGCCAGGAGGTTTTGCAAAAGCTTCGAAAGATAATTTGGTTGAAGGCAGCCAAATTCTCTTATCCAGAGCCTGAGAGCAAATAGTATATAACAAGGAAGTGTAAAGGAATTGATCTAGATAGGTTAGTTTACTTAGGCCTCAGAACCTGGCCTTTAATCATTTGTTTGCAGGACTGCTCTCTCCAAGGGGGCGACCATGTTAATTACCCACAAGTGTGTTGACTCAAAGCCTTTGTCATTAAATCTGTACTAAATAAATCCCTGCAGCACTGGCTTGTCAGGGCCGTGGCTGTTGGGACTCTTTATGATGCCCTCCTTGGTGTCTGTGGGTGCCCCAGTCCCCTAGCCATGCGACCAGGCAAAAAACCTGTGTCTGCGTACATTTTTTCATCTGTCACTCTGCCAGGGTCTGCTGGTCAGACCCGGCAGCTGGTGCCCTGTGTGAGAAATAGCTGCAATGGGTCGCAATGGAACCCTTGAAAACGAAGATGAAGAGACTGCACAGTCAGTAAGTCACTGGTGCCTGCTTGGGGTTTGCAAGTTTGAGGACGTTGTTCAGGCTAGGGTTTCATCATGGGACAACAGTTATCAGCTCAACAGCAACAGTATATAAAAGTATTGAAACAGCTGCTTAAAGCTAGTGGAGCCTCGGTTTTGCAGGCTCAATTAAGGAACCTAATGCAAACTTTTGTTTCCCATAACCCATGATTCCTGGAAGAAGGTATGGTAGATGTAGAGCTCTGGGAACAAGTGAAGAGAAATCTTCAAGAACATCATGTACAAGGGCAATGGGTCCCAGTAACATCTCTAACAGTATGGGCTTTAGTAAGGGCTGCTTTGGTCCCACTATACACAGAAGAGCCTAAAAGGGGGAGGGAAGAGGAACCATCACCTACCTTTCCACCTCCACCTCCCTCAGCCTTGCCGTTTCTGGGCAAAAATAACAAAGAGGAAACGGAGGTTTTGCCTGAGCCCCGTCCTCCAATAAATTGGAAAAAAGACAAGGGATACACTGCAGCTATGGGACCCTGTCTTAGGCAAGTGGCATTAGAAGGGGAGCTCTTGGCCTGCCTGTTAATGCAAAATTGACAAGGCAATCAGGTATATGAACCCATTTCTTTTAACGTTTATAAAAAGATAAAAAGCATTAAAGCAAATGGAGTTGCTAGCCCATTTACGAAAGGAATAATTGAAGCCATGGCAGACAACTTCTGTATGACCCCATGGGACTAGTCAGTGCTAACTAAAACAACTTTGGAGCCCAGCCAATACCTCCTCTGGAGGGCAGAATATGATGAGTTGTGCGAACAACAAGCCAACCAGAATCAAGTGGCCAGGCGAGACACAACCACTGCTATGCTCTAGGGGAGGGGGTCCCCATTCGATGAACAACAACAACTAAATTTTGATCCCCAGGTCTATACACAAGTGTCTTTGTGTGATCTCAGGGCTTGGGACTGAATTCCCCAAAGTGGAGTTCAACAGGGATCTTTTGTAAATGTTCGACAAGGGCCTCAGGAGCCATTTGTTGAATTTATCAATTGGTTAACCCAGGCAATTAAGAGACAAATTAGTCACACCCAGGCCACTGGTATCTTATTGTTGCAACTGGCTTATGAAAATGCTAACATCAACTGCCAGCAAGCAAGGCAGGCAATCAGAGGAAAGGCAGCCACAGTTGGGGAACTTATACGAGCATGTCAACTGGTGGGGACTAAAACACACAAAGCCAAAATATTGGCTATGGCATTAAGGCCTCCTGAAGTGAAAAGTGAGAGGAACCCAAATTGTTTTCTACGTGGAGAGCCAGGTCATATGAAGTGGGAATGCCCCCCAATAGTAGAGACTAAGGTAACTCAGGAAAACAACCCCTTTCTATATGCCCCGATGTAAAAAGGGAAACATTGGGCAAATCAATGCAGGTCCAAATTGATAAAAACAGCAACCCCATAAGTAATCAGGTGGGAAACTTCATGAGGGACTGGTCCCAGGCCCTGTTCTAAATTGGAGCAATGCCAGTGGCTTTCCTCGGTCAGATGAAAAGCCCACAGTCCTCTCTCTCAGAGCTGCCACCACTGGGAGCACAGGACTGGACTTACTCTGCCCCAAAGAATCAGGGCTAAAAGAAGGAGAAGACCCTAAAAGGGTTGCAACTGGGATCTGGGGCCCCTGCCTCCAGGAACAGTGGGATTAGTCCTAGGGCGATTAAGTCTATCCAGTAAAGGAATTAATGTGCTTACCGGGGTAGTGATTATCAAGGTGAGATACTAGTTATGATGGAATGTAAAGGTCTGCATATCCTTTCCCCTGGATCAAAGATAGCTCAGTTAATACTTTACTGTACTGGGTCCCCAATGCCCAGGGAAAAGAAAGGGGAAAGGGAAGTTTTGGAAGCACGGGAGCCACAGGAGTATATCTGAACCAATTAATCACTGATCAGAGACACATGATTACCTTAAAACTTGGAAATAAAAATTTTTCTGGCTTATTGGACACAGGGGCGGACATTTCGATAATTAGTCATCAAAACTGGACAGAAACTTGGCCTTGGGTCACTCAGAAACAAAAAATTGTCAGCGTCAGGGAAGCACACACAGCCAAGCAGAGCACATGCCCCCTAACATGTTGCAATTCAGAGGGAAGAAAGGCACTTATACAACCTCTAATCATGCTCATCCCTGTTAATCTTTGGGGAACGAGACCTATTAGCCCAATGGGGGAGTCACTCTGCAGACCCCTTTCTAATAAAGGGCACTGTTATTATCCTTCCCCTACCCCTGACATGGCTCTCTCAAGATCCAATTTGGGTAGCACAGTGGCTTTTAAAGGGAGAAAAATTACAAAGAGCCCATGAATTAGTTGAGCAATTAAAAGCCGGCCACATAGAACAATCAAAAAGCCCTTGGAATTCGCCCATTTTCGTCATTCCCCAAAAGTCCGGTAAATGGAGACTTTTGCATGATCTATGGGCTATCAATGCTAATTTGCAACCTATGGGACCCCTTCAACAGGGCCTCCCTTCCCCCATGGTGATTCCTCAAGATTGGCCTTAGTTGTTATTGACTTAAAAGACTGTTTTTATACTATTCCCGTTGCAGAACAGGACAGAGAAAAATTTCTGTTTACAATACCAGCTATCAATAATGAAAGGCCAGCTCGCCAATTTCACTGGAAAGTGCTTCTTCAAGGAATGCTGAACAGTCCTACCACGTGTCAGTATCATGTAAATCAAGCTTTGATCCCCAATGGAAAATAATTTCCTAATTGCACAATTATTCATTTTATGGATGATATTCTACTAGCAGCCCCAATAAGCCAGTATTTTTAAGTTTATACGCCCCTGTTGTAAAGAATACAGTTAAGAGGTTTAATCATAGCACCTGAAAAACTACAAATGTTCTCTCCTTGGAAATATCTCAGGTACATACTAACTTCCTGGTCAGTAAGACCTCAGAAGGGTTAAATTAAATACTAGCAACTTGCACATCTTAAATGATTATCAGAAATTACTAGGCGATATTAACTGACTTCACCTCATCTTGGGCAAAACTACTGATAAGTTACAAAATCTGTTTTCTATCTTAAAGGGTGATGCTGCCCTAGACTCTCCAAGGTATTTAACTCCTGCAGCAAAAAGGGAAATAGAAGAAATAGAGCAAGCTATTTCTCAGAGGCAACTAGATCGCATAAGATCCACAATATTCAGTTCAGTTGTTTGTTTTTCCCACTAAACATTCCCCAATAGGGTTAACAGGACAGATGCCCCCAGGGCTGAGCTTTCTAGAACAGGTTTTTTTGCTCACTACTGGGACTAAAACACTCTCTCCCTATATCCAACTAGTTAGTAAAGTCATCCATTCAGGTGGCAGACAATGCAATCAGTTGCTAGGTTATGACCCTGATGTCATCAGAATTCCTTTAAGTAAAAAGCAATTCGAAGCAGTATTGCCATTATCTTCAGACCTGCAAATAGCACTTTCTGATTACCAGGCCATATAGAGCATGCCCTTCCTGCTGATAAACTACTTCAGTTCTTATCTCATACTTCTTTTTTTTTATTATTTATTTTTATTTATTTATTTATTTTTATTTATTTTTTTATTATTATACTTTAAGTTTTAGGGTACATGTGCACAGTGTGCAGGTTAGTTACATATGTATACATGTGCCATGCTGGTGCGCTGAACCCACTAACTCATCATCTAGCATACTTCTGTGGTTTTGCCTACAAAAATATTTCACTCCCCCATACCTAACGCTTTAACACTGTTTACGAATGACTCTGGTAAACATGGAAAAGTGGCTGTTTGGTGGAGACCGCATAATTCCCTCACTCATTCTGGATTTACTAGCACTCAGAGCTGAAGTTGGAGCCCTGGAAACTTTTTCTGCTCAGCCCATCAATATTGTTAGTGACTCTGCTTATTCTGTTTATTTACTGCAGAACCTTGAAACAGCCCTCATGAAGTCCACTCTGGAGCCCACCCTGTGTGCACTTTTTCTTCGACTTCAGCAACTGCTAGATCAATGTACACATCCAAATATCACATATTTGAGCCCACAGCTCACTGCCTGGCCCATTGGCTAATGGCAATGATCAAGCAGACTTACAAGTTATGACATCATTGTTTGATCAAGCCACCCAATTGCATCAATTTTTCCACCAAAATTGGAGAAACTTAACAATTTCAACTTACCCAGAGACTAGCTAAATAAATTATCCTGCAATGCCCAGATTGCCAGCTCACAGGCATGTCCCCTCCTTCAAGAGGTGTTAACCCTAGAGGACTAGAACCTAATTAGTTATGGCAAACAGATGTTACACACATCCCTGAATTTGAAAACTAAGATATGTTCATGTATCTGTTGATAATGATTCTCACTTAATTAGCACTCATGCCTTTCCTGGAGAGTCCACCTGACACGTCATTAAACATCTTCTTTTAACTTTTGCCTTTATGGGGCGGCCCACAAAAATTAAAACTGACAATGGTATGGCTTATGCCAGCTCACAATTTCAACAATTTTGTCACACATGGAACATCCAACATTCCACAAGCATCCTGTATAACCCCCAAGGACAGGCCATAGTAGAACGTACCCACGCCACCCTTAAAAATATGCTCAAAAAACAAAAAAGGAGGACTATGAGTAAGGACCCTGCAACACCACTAGCACAAGCCTTATTTACCCTTGATTTCTTAAATTTAAATGATAAATTTCAATCAGCTGTAGAAAAGCACTTTGCTAAAACCTCTCAAGACATAAAGCCCACCGTTTTATGGAAAGACATAAACAGTAATGTATGGTGTGGTCCAAATAATTTGTTAATGTGGGGAAGAGGATATGCTTGTGTTCATACCCCCTCAGGTCCTCTTTGGATTCCAGCACGATGCATCAAACCATACCATGGCGTGGCTAGGACCCAACCCGGTACCAGAAATGAAGAAAATGACCCTGCAGGATCTGCAGACCCAGACGATGCAGCTCCCTTGGACGACACAAGCCCTGGACATTATCTGGGGGATGCTGAAGAAGACAACTCTGGAGGCTGAGCAAATTCTGCTCTGGACACAAGACACCATTCACTCCAGATAATCTGTTCCTTGCTATGCTCTCTGTTGTACACTGCAACTCGCGTAGGGTATTAATCCTTTTTATGCTCTTGCTTTGTCTGCAACCTGTACCTGCTACACTCTATTGGGCTCATACCTTGCATCCGCCTTTCTTCCGCCCTGTCACCTGGGCAGACACCCCCTTTCCAGCCTCTAATAATGTAACTGCTTGGCTAGGAGGAATAGATTTACCCCCAGTGGGGTCCCTCATTAATGGCACACATTGGACTAAGGTGCCAGGTAACACTACATATCACTCCACTATCCTCCTACTGTGTGTAAATTATAAAAGTTCTAACCCTTACTGTGTACCTGCCCAAACACAATTATGGCTACATCATGGTAAAGGAAATGCCTTAACAGTCTTAGTTGCAGGTAGCCTCAAACTGGGCAATGCCACCAATGCTACTTTCCCCAGCATTCCTCCCTGTGCTAAAGAACAAAGCCAAGAAAGTAATGGATTCCACTTTGGCTGGGAGGTCTGTCTTGGGGGACAAGCCCGTAGCCTCCAGTTAGGCAATTATAACATCTTAGACTGGAGCTCCCACAGCCATTTCAGGGTGATCATACTGATGTCCGCGTCTATCATGGCATCAATGACAGTTTCGTAGCCACGTCCTGCTCCCCTATAATTTGGGCCGATAGGGTAATGGGGTATCCCAGACCCCAAGTAGAGTCCATGCCACCCCAAGACACTTTATGGTGCCTGGGACATCTTAGCACCTCCCTTAACACCTGGCATGGGACATATAATTCCAGTCACAATTACACTATGACATTTTTTCATAATCACACTGATCAGTGCCTGATTTGCACTACCCAACCATATGTTTTCCTTATGGGAACCAATATTTCCATTACATCCCAAAACTCCACGTTTGTGACCTGAGTGCAGGGACAGGCTTGGTTCGCCTCTTGTATCACTAATTACAATATATCTAATTTAAATTGCAAGTGTCATGGTATTAAGGAGACAATCTAAGGCATTCCTGCCAGTCAATTTGACATGCGATTGGCAAGGCTCCTCTGCTCTTACCACCTTAGAACGTGCCCTGTCCCAGGTCGGACACAAAAGATTCATAGTTACATTGCTGCACACATCTGTACTCTTCAATCAACAAAATTCCTGATGCAAAAAAAAAAAAAAAAAAAAAAAGAAAAGGGGAAGATGTAGGAGATCATTCAGGGTGGTGGGAGAAATTATAGGAAAAACACAAACCTTCTTGGAAGGCCAGGTTTTGCAAAAGCTTTGAAAGATAATTTGACTGAAGGCAGCCAAATTCTCTTATCCAGAGCCTGAGAGCAAGAGGTAGATAACAAGGAAGTGTAAAGGAATTGATCTAGATAAGTTACTTTACTTAGGCCTTGGAACCTGGCCTTTAATCATTTGTGTGCAGTGCTGCTCTCTCCAGGGAGGTGACCATGTTAATTACCCACAAGTACGTTGACTCAAAGCCTTTGTCATTAAACCTGTGCTAAATAAATCCCCGCAGCACTGGCTTGTCAGGGCCATGGCTGCTGGGACTCTTTATGGCACCCTCCTCAGTGTCTGTGGGTGGCCTGGTCCCCTAGCCACACGGCCAGGCAAAAAACCTGTGTCTGCATAAATTTTTTCATCCATTGCTTGGCCAGGGTCTGCCAGTCAGACTTGGCAGAAAGAAATCAAGAAGTTCTTTAAACAAATGAGAACGAAGATAAAATGTGCCAGAATCTCTGGGATGCAGCTAAAGCAGTGTTAAGAGGGAAATTTATAGCACTAAATGCCCACATCAAAATGCTAGAAAGACCTCAAGTTAGCAACCTAACATCACAACAAAAAGAACTAGAGAACCAAGAACAAACATGCCAAATTTAGTAGCAGATAAGAAATATGCAAGATCAGAGTGGAACTGAAAGAGATAGAGACACAAAAAGAAACCTTCAAAAAACAAATCCAGGAGATGGATTTTTTTTTAAATAATAAAATAGAATTCTACCTAGACTAATAAAGAAAAAAAGAGAGAAGATTATCAAGTAAACACAATCAGAAATGATAAGGAAAATAACACCACTGACCACATAGAAATACAACAAACCATCAGAGAATACTATAAATACCTCTATACACATAAACTAGAAAATAAAGAAGAAACGGATATTTTCCTGGGCACATACAACCTCCTAGGACTGAACCAGGAAGAAAGTGAATCCCTGAATAGACCAATAATGAGTTCTGAAGTTGCGGCCGTAATAAATAGCCTACCAACCAAAAAAAAAAAAAAAAAAAAAAAAAAAAAAACCTAGGACCAGGATTCACAGCTGAATTCTAGCAGGGGTACAAAGAAGAGCTGGTACCATTCCTACTAAAACTATTCCAATAAATTGAAAAGGAGAGACTCCTCCCTAATTTATTTGATGAAGCCAGCATCATCCTAATACCCCCAAAATGGCAGATACACAACAACAACAAAAAAACCTTCAGGCCAATATCCTTGACGACATCAATGCAAAAATCCTCAACAAAATACTGGCAATCCAAATCCAGCAGCACATTAAAAGGCTTATCCACCATGATCAAGTTGTCTTTCTCCCTGGAATACAAGGTTGGTTCAACGTATACAAATCAAAAAATGTGATTCATCACATAAACAGAAGTAAAGAAAAAAACTACATAATTATCTCAATAGACAAAAAAAGGCCTTCAATAAAATTCAACATCCCTTCATGTTAAAAGCTCTCAATAACCTAGATATTGAAGGAATATACCTCAAAATGATAAGAGCCATAAATGAAAAATCTACAGCCAATATCATACTGAATGAGCAAAAGCTGGAAGCATTCTCCTTGAAAATTGGGAAAACACAAGAATGCCCCCTCACCATTCCTATTCAACATAGTATTGGAAGTTCTGACTAGGGCAATTAGGCAAGAAAAAGAAATAAAGCATATTCAAATATCAAGAGAGGAAGTTAAACTATCTTTATTTGCAGTTGACCTGATTCTATATCTAGAACATCCCAATGTCTCAGCCCAAAAGCTTAAGTTGATAAGCAACTTCAGGAAAGTTACAAGATACAAAATCAATGTGCAAAAATCACTGGCATTCCTATACACCAACAACAGGCAAGCCAAGAGCCAAATCATGAATGAACTCCCATTCACAATTTCCACAATAAGAGTATAAAATACGGCTGGGCGCAGTGGCTCACGCCTGTAATCCCAGCACTTTGGGAGGCTGAGGCGGGTGGATCATGAGGTCGGGGATCAAGACCATCCTGGCTGACATGGTGAAACCCTGTCTCTACTAAAAAATAAAAAAAAGTAGCCGGGCATGGTGGCGGGCACCTGTAGTCCCAGCTGCTCCAGAGGCTGAGGTGGGAGAATGGCGTGAACCCGGAAGGTGGAGCTTGCAGTGAGCCGAGATCGTGCCACTGCACTCCAGTCTGGGCGATGGAGTAAGACTCTGTCTCAAAAAAAAAAAAAAAATTAAAAAAAGAATATAAAATACCTAGGAATATAGCCTACAAGGGAAGTAAAGGACCTCTTCAAGGAGAGCTACAAAACACTGCTCAAAGAAATCAGAAATGACACAAACAAGTGGAAAAAATTCCAGGCTCACGGATAGGAAGAATCAATATTGTGAAAATAACCACACTGCCCAAAGCAATTTATAAATGCAATGCTATTCCCATTAAACTACCACTGACATTCTTCACAGACTTAGAAAAACTATTTTAAAATTCATATGACACAAAAAAAGAGCTTGAATGGCCAAGGCTATCCTAAGCAAAAAACAATAAAGCTGAAGGCATCACGCTACCTGACTCTGAACTATACTACAAGGCTACAGTAATCAAAACAGCATGGTACTGGTAAAAGAACAGACACACAGACCATTGGAACAGAATAGAGAACCCAGAACTAAGACTGCACACCTACAACCAACTGATGTTTGACAAACCTGAGAAAAACAAGCAATGGGAAAGGATTCCATGTTTAAGAAATGGTGCTGGGAGAACTGGCTAGCCATATGCAAAAAACTGAAAAATAGACCTCTTCCTTATACCATATATAAAAATCAACTCAAGACTGATGAAAGACTTAAATATAAAACCCCAAACTATAAAATCCCTAAAAGAAAATCTAGGCAACACCATTCAGGAAATAGACAGGAACAAACATTTCACGATGAAGATGCCAAAAGCAATTGCAACAAAAGCAAAAATTGACAAATGGGATCTAGTTAAACTAAAGAGCTTCTGCACAGCAAAATAAACTATTATCAGGGTGAACAAAAAATCTACAGAATAGGAGAAAATTTTTGCAATCCATCCATCTGAAAAGGTCTAATATCTAGCATCTACAAGGACCTTAAACAAACTTAACAAGAGAAAAATCCATTAAAAAGTGGGCAAAAGACATAAACAGACACCTCTCAAAGGAAGACATACAAATGCCTAACAAACATAAAAAATGCTCAATATCACTGATCATTAGAGTAATGCAAATCAAAATACAATGAGATACGATCTCACATCAGTTAGAATGCCTATTATTAAAAAGTCAAAAAACAACAGATGCTAGTGAGGTTGTGGAGGCAAAGGAATGCTTTTACACCATTGGTGGGAGTGTAAATTAGTTTAACCATTATGGAAGAGAGTGTGGCAATTCCTCAAATACCTAGAGGCAGAAATACTATTTGACCCAGCAATCCCATTGCTGGGAATATACCAAAGGAATATAAATCATTCTATTATAAAGATAAGCATGCATATGTTAATTGCAGCACTACTCACAACAGCAAAGAGAGAATCAAAAGAATCAATGGAATCAACAGAAATGCCCATCAATGATAGACTTGATAATGTGGTGTGTGTATATATATATATATATATATACACACACACACACACACTATATATATATATACACACACTATATATACACAATATTGTATATATATGTATATATATGCACACACTATATATACACAATATTGTATATATATGTATATATATATACACAATATTGTGTATATATGTATATATATATACACAATATTGTGTATATATGTATATATATATACACAATATTGTGTATATATGTATATATATACACACACTATATATACACAATATTGTATATATATGTACATATATATACACACCCACAATATTGTGTGTATATAGTGTTTGTATGTGTGTATATATAGTGTATATAGTGTGTGTGTATATATATACATACACACATACACACACACACACGCACACACACACCACCACCACGGAATATTATGTAGCCATGAAAAGGAATGCGATTGTATCCTTTGAAGTGACATGAATGGAGCTCGAGGCCATTATCCTCAGCAAATAACGCAGGAAGAGAAAACCAAATACCCGCATTCTCACTCATAAATTGGAGCTGAATGATGAGAACACACAGACACACAGTGGGGAACAACACACTGGGGCTTGTCAGAGGGTGGGAGGTGAGAATGAAGAGTATCAGAAAGAACAACTAATGGATGGTGGGCTTAATACCTAGGTGATGGGATGATCTGCACGGCAAACCATCATGGCACACATTTACCTATGTAACAAACCTGCATATTTGCCACATGTACCTTTGAACTTAAAATAAAAGAAAAAGCCAAATAAATAAAATCAAATTGAAAAAGGAGACATTATAAGGGATACTACAGAAATAAAAAGAATCACTAGAGACTGTTATGAACTATATGCCAACAAACTGGAAAACCAAAATAATGGACAAATTCCTGGACAAATTTACCAAGACGGAATCAGAAAGAACACTAAAATCTGAACAGACCAATAATGTGAAATGTGATTCATTCACCAATAAAACATCTCAAAACAACAAAATGCCCAGGAGTGGATGGCTTTATGGCTGAATTCTGCCAAACTTTTAAAGAAGAACTAATAACAATTCCTCTCAAACTACTCTAAAAAACTGAAAACAAAGAAATGCTTCCTAATTCATTCTACAAGGCCCGCATTAACCTGATACCAAAGCCAGAGAAGAATACAAGAGAAAAACTACAGGCTAATATACGTCATGAACATAAATGCAAAAGTCCTCAACAAAATACTAGCAAAATGAATATCTAGTAACACATTAAAAAGATAAATACCATGATCAAGTGGGATTTATCCCAGGAATGTAAGGATAGCGCAACATACACAATCAGTAAATGTGATAAACCATATCAACAGAATAAAAGAGTAAAAATATAAATCATTTTAATCAGTGCAGAAAAAGCATTTGATAAAATTCAACAACCTTCAAAGTAAAAACTCTCAGCAAACTGAGTACAGAAGAAATATATCTCAAAAACAATAATGCCCATATATGATAAAACCACAGCTAACATTATACTAAATAGGGAAAAATTGAAAGTGTTTCCTTTAAGATCTGGAACAAAACCAGGATGTCCACTTTCACTATTTTGACCAAAATTTTACTAGAAGTTTTAGCCACAGCAATAAGGCAAAAGGAAGAAATATAAAGCAACAAAGGAAGAAAGAACTAAAATTGTCCTATTTGCAGATGACATGATCATATATAATTAGGAAAGCCTAAAGATGTCACCAATCTTTCAAATTCAGTAAAGTTGCAGGATGCAAAATCAACACATGAATGTCAGTAGCATATCTATATGCCAACAATAAACAATCTGAAAAAGAAATTTCGAAAAATCCCATTTACAATAGATACAAAAAATTTTTTAGGAATAGATTTACTCAAAGAGGTAAAAGATTTCTGTAATGAAAATCATAAAACATTGATGAAAGAAATTAAAAAGGGCACACACACAAAAACACGGAAAGACAGCCCATGCTAATAGGTTAGAAGAATTAACATTGTTAAAATGTCCACACTACCCGAAGCAATATACAAATTCAATGCATTCCCAATCACAATACAAATTACATTCTTCATAGAAAGAGAAAATAATTATAAAATGTGAATGGAAATACACAACACCCTGAATAAGCAAAGCAATCTTGCACAAAAAGAACAAAGCTGTAGGCACTAAAATAATTTCAAAATATACTACTAAGCTACAGTAACCAAAGCAGCATGAAACTGGCATAAAAAACAGACACATACACCAGGACAGAACAGAAGACCCTGAAGTAAATCCACATATTTTACAGCCAACTGATTTTCTTGTTATTTTACTTAAAGTTCCAGGATACATGTGCTGAACGTGCAGGTTTGTTACATAGGTATACGTGTACCATGGTGGTTTGCGGCATCTATTGACCCGTCCTCTAGGTTCCCTCCCCTCATCCCACACCCCCCAACAGACCCCAGAGTGTGTTGTTCCCCTCCCTGTGTCCATGTGTTCTTATTGTTCAACTCCCACTTATGAGTGAGAGCATGAGGTGCTTGGTTTTCTGTTCCTGTGTTAGTTTACTGAGGAAGAAGGCTTCCAGCTTTATCCATGTCCCTGCAAAGGAAATAATCTCTTTTTATGGCTGCATAGTATTCCATGGTGTATATGTACCACATTTTCTTTATCTAGTTTAAATTGATGGGCATTTTGGTTGGTTCCACGTTACTGCTATTGTGAATAGTACTGCAATAAACATATGTGTGCATGTATCTTTATAATAGAATGATTTCTGTTCCTTCAGGTATATATCCAGTAATGAAATTGCTGGGTCAAATGGTATTTCTGGTTCTAGGTCCTTGAGGAATCACCACACTGTCTTCCACAATGGTTGAACTAGTTTACATTCCACCAATAATGTAAAAGCATTCCTATTTCTTCACAGCCTCACCAACATCTGTTGTTTATTGACTTTTTAATAATTGCCATTCTGACTGGCATGAGATGATATCTTATTGTGGTTTTTATTTGCATTTCTCTAATGATCAGTGATGTTGAGCTTTTTTTCCATATGTTTGTTGGCCACATAAATGTCTTCTTTTGAATAGCGTCTGTTCATATACTTTGCCCACATTTGGATGACATTGTTTTTATCTTGTAAATTTAAGTTCCTAGTAGATTCTGGGTATTAGACCTTGGTCAGGTGGGTAGACTGCAAAAATTTTCTCCCATTCTGTAGGTTGCCTGTTCACTCTGATGATAGTTTCTTTTGCTGTGAAGAAGCTCTTTAGTTTCATTAGATCCCATTTGTCAATTTTGGCTTTTGTTGCAATTGCTTTTGGTGTTTATGTCATGAAGTCTTTGCCCATGCCTATGTCCTGAATGTTATTGCCTAGGTTTTTTTCTAAGGCTTTTATGGTTTTGGGATTTACATTTGAGTCTTTATTCCATCTTGAGTTAATTTTTGTATAAGGTGTAAGGAAGGGGTACAGTTTCTGCTTTTTGCATATGGGCTAGCCAGTTCTCCCGGCACCATTTATTGAATAGAAAATCCTTTCCCTGTTGCTTGTTTTTGTCAGGTTCATCGAAGAATGGATGGTTGTAGATGTGTGGTGTTATTTCTAAGGTCTCTGTTCTGTTCCATTGGTCTGTCTGTCTTGGTACCAGTACCATGCTGTTTTGGTTACTGTAGCCTTGCATTACAGTTTAAAGTCAGGTAGTGTGATGCCTCCAGCTTTGTTCTTTTTGCTTAGAACTGTCTTGGCTATATGCACTCTTCTTTGGTTCCATACGAACTTTAAAGTAGTTTTTTCTAATTCTGTGAAGAATGTCAATGGTAGTTTGATGGGAAGAGCATTAAATCTATAAATTACTATGGGCAGTACGGCCATGTTCATGATATTGATTCTTCCTATCCATGAGCATGGAATGTTTTTCCATTTGTTTGTGTCCTCTCTTATTTCCTTGAGCAGTGGTTTGTAGTTCTCCTTGAAGAGGTCCTTAAGGTCCTTCACATCCCTTATTAGCTGTATCCTTAGGTATTTTATTCTCTTTGTAGCAAGTGTGATTGGGAGTTCACTCATGATTTGGCTTTCTGCTTGTCTATTGTTGATGTATAGGAATGCATGTAATTTTTGC
The DNA here is from genome assembly GCF_000001405.40 of Homo sapiens. NCBI lineage: Eukaryota > Metazoa > Chordata > Mammalia > Primates > Hominidae > Homo > Homo sapiens. The sequence goes on along the minus strand of NC_000023.11, from coordinate 73,651,552 downwards.
ACATTGATTTTGTATCCTGAGACTTTGCTGAAGTTACTTATCAGCTTAAGAAGTTTTGTGGCTGAGACAATGGGGTTCTCTAAATATACAATCGTGTCATCTGCAAACAGAGACAGTTTGACTTCCTCTCTTCCTATTTGAATATCGTTTATTTCTCTCTCTTGCCTGATTGCCCTGGCCAGAACTTCTAATACTATGTTGAAAAAAAAGTGGTGAGAGAGGGCATCCTTGTCTTGTGCCGGTTTTCAAAGGAAATGTTTCCAGCTTTTGCCCATTCAATATGATATTGGCTGTGGGTTTGTCTAATTCTGTGAAGAATGTGAATGTTAGTTTGATGGGAATAACATTATATCTATAAATTATTGAGATATTTTCCATCAATATCTAGTTTGTTGAGAGTTTTAACATGAAGGAATGTGAAATTTTATTAAAGGCCTTTTCTGCATCTATTGAGATAATCATGTGGTTTTTGTCTTTGGTTCTGTTTATGTGATGGATTACGTTTATTGACTTGTGTATGTTGAACCAGCCTTGCATCCCAAGGATGAAGCTGCCTTGATCGTGGTGGATAAGTTTTTTGATGTGCTGCTGGATTTGGTTTGCTGGTATTTTATTGAGGATTTTTGCATTGATGTTCATCAGGAATATCGGCCTGAAGTTTCCTTTTTTTGTTGTGTCTCTGCCAGGTTTGGGTATGATGATGCTGGCCTCATAAAATGAGTTAGGGAGGAGTTCCTCCTTTTCAATTTTTTGGAATAGTTTCAGAAGAAATGGTACCAACTCCTCTTTGTACTTCTGGTAGATTTCGGCTGTGAATCTGTCTGCTTCTGGGCTTTTTTTTTTTTTTTTTTGGTTGGTAGGCTATTAATTACTGCCTCAATTTCAGAACTTGTTATTGGTCTATTCAAGAATTCGACTTCTTCCTGGTTTAGTCTTGGGAGGGTGTATGTGTCGAGGAGTTTATCAATTTCTTGTAGATTTTCTAGTTTATTTGTGGAGAGGTGTTTATAGTATTCTCTGAGGATAGTTTCTATTTCTGTGCGGTCAGTGGTGATATCCCCTTTATCATTTTTCATTGTGCCTTTCTGATTCTTCTCTCTTTTCTTCCTTATTAGTCTAGCTACCAGTCTATTTTGTTAATTTTTTCAAAAACCAGTTCCTAGATTCATTGATTTTTGGAGGGTTTTTTTGTGTCTCTATCTCCTTCAGTTCTGCTCTGATCTTAGTTATTTCTTGTCTTCTGATAGCTTTTGGATTTGTTTGCTCTTGCTTCTCTAGTTCTTTTAATTGTGATGTTAGGGTGTCGATTTCAAAGCTTTCCAGTTTTCTGATGTGAGCATTTAGTGCTATAAATTTCCCTCTTAACACTGCCTTCGCTGTGTCCCAGAGATTCTGGTACGTTGTCTCATTGTTCTCATTGGTTTCAAAGAACTTGATTCCTGCCTTAATTTTGCTATTTATCCAGGAATCTTTCAGGAACAGGTTTTTCAATTTCCATGTAGTTGTGTGGTTTTTGAGTGAGTTTCTTAATCCTGAGTTCTAATTAGATTGCACTGTGGTCTGAGAGACTGTTATGATTTCCATTGCTTTGCATTTGTTAAGTAGTGTTTTACTTCCAATTATGTGGTCAATTCTAGAATAAGTGCCATGTGGCACTGAGAAGAATGTATATTCTGCAGATTTGGGGTGGAGAGTTCTTTAGATGTCTATTAGTTCTGCTTGGTCCAGAGCAGAGTTCAAGTCCTGAATATCCTTGTTAATTTTCTGTCTTGTTGATCTGTCTAATATTGATAGTGGGGTGTTAAAGTCTCCCATTTTTGTTGTGTGGGAGTCTAAGTCTCTTTGTAGGTCTCTAAGAACTTGTTTTATGAATCTGGGTGTTCCTTTATTGGGTGCATATATGTTTAGGATAGTTAGCTCTTCTTGTTGCATTGATCCTTTTAGCATTATGTAATGTCCTTCTTTGTCTGTTTTGATCTTTGTTGGGAAGTTTGTTTTATCAGAGACTAGGATTGCAACCTCTGCTTTTTTTGATTCCCATTTGCTTGGTAAATATTCCTCCATTCCTTTATTTTGAGCCTGTGTCTTTGCACATGAGATGGGTCTCCTGAATACAGCACACTGATGGGTCTTGACTCTTTATCCAATGTGCCACTCTGTCTTTCAATTAGGGCATTTAGCTCATTTACATTTAAGGTTAATATTGTTATATGTGAATTTGATGCTGTCATCATGATCCTAGCTGGTTATTTTGCGCACTAGTTGATGCAGTTTCTTCATGGTGTCATTGGTCTTTACATTTTGGTGTGTTTTTGCAGTGGCTAGTTCCAGTTTTTCCTTTCCATATTTAGTGCTTCCTTCAGGAGCTCTTGCAAGGAAGGCCTAGTGGTGAAAAAAATCCCTTAGCATTTGCTTGTCTGGAAAAGATTTTATTTCTCCTTCAGTTAAAAGCTTAATTTGTCTGGATATGAAATTCTGGGTTGACAAATCTTTTCTTTTAGAATGTTGAATATTGGCCGCCACTCTCTTCTGGCTTGTAGGGTTTCTGCTGAGAGATCCACTGTTAGTCTGATGGTCTTCCCTTTGTAGGTTAACTGACCTTTCTCTCTGGCTGCCTTAACACTTTTTCCTTCATTTTGACCTTGGAGAGTCTGATGATCATGTGTCTTCGGGTTGATCTTCTCATGAAATATCTTAGTAGTGTTCTCTGTATTTCCTGAATTTGAATGTTGTTCTTACTAGGTTAGGGAATTTCTCCTGGGGTGTGTTTTCCAGCTTGTTTCCATTCTCCCCGTCTCCTTCGGGTACTCCAGTCAATCATAGATTCAGTCTTTATATAGTCCCATATTTCTCTGAGGCTTTGTTCGTTCCTTTTCATTCTTTTTTCTCTAATTTTGTATGCATGCCCTTTTTCAGCAAGATGGTCTTCAAATTCTGATATCCTTTCTTCCACTTGGTCAATTCAGCTGTTGATACTTGTGTATGCTTCACCAAGTTCTTGTGCTGTGTGTTTCAGCTCCATCAGGTCATTTATATTCCTCTCTAAAATGGTTATTCTAGTTAGCATCTCCTCTAACCCTTTATCTACCTTCTTAGCTTCTTTGCATTGGGTTAAAATATGCTTCTTTCACTCAGAGAAGTTTGTTATTACCCATCTTCTGAAGCCTACTTCTGTCAATTCGTCCATCTCATTCTCTGTCCAGTTCTGTGTCCTTGCTAGAGAGGAGTTCAATCATTTGGAGGAAAAGAGGCACTCTGGTATTTTGGGTTTTCAGTTTTGTTGTTGTTGTTGTTGTTGATTCTTTCTCTTCTTCATGAGTTTGTTTAAGTTTTGATTTTTGGAGCTGCTGTCCCTTGGGGTTTTTGTTGGTACTTTTTTTGTGGTTGATACTGTTGTTGTTGCTTTCTGTTTGTTTTTCTTTCAATGGTCAGGTCCCTCTTCTCTACAGCTGCTGTGGTTTGCTGGGGGTTCACTTCAGGCCCTATTCATCTGGTTCTCTTCCACACCTGGAGGCTGGAGAACAGCAAAGTTGGGTGCTTATTTCTTCCTTTGGGATCTCTGATCTCAAGGGACATTGACCTGATGTCAGTAGAATTGCTCCTGTATAGGGTGTCTGACAACTCCTGTTGAAGGGTCTCACTCAGCTGGGTGGCACAGGGAACAGAATCCATTTAATCATGCACTTTGACTGTCCCTTGGTGGAGGGGATGTACCTCACTGGGCAGAAACCCACTGGTCTAGGCTGCCTGGATTCCTCAGCAGTAGCAGGAGGAAAGGCTAAGTCTGCTGATCCACAGAGACTGTGGCCATGCCTTCCCCTAGGGGCTCAGGCCCAGGGAGATCAGAGTTCTGTCCCTGAGCCCATGGATGAAGTTGGTGGAGTTCCTGCAGGGAGGCCCCACCCAGTGAGGAGGGATGGGTCAGCATCAAGCCTGAAGAGTTGCTCTGGCCACAGTCTGCCACATAGCCAGTGTGTTAGGTTGTGGGGGACATCCCTTGGGACCAAGTCATCCAGCCTCCCTGGCTCCAGCAGGGGAAAATTGTGGCCTCAAGCTATAGAGATGGCTCCCACCCTTCCCCTGCCCATGGAGCTTAGTGTGTTAGGCAGCTGTCAGTCCCAGTGCTGGCGGTTGCCTCTCCCCCCAGGGAGCTCAATCAGCTTAACAGGCAGCTGCAGCTGTGGTGCTGGTCACCCATCTCTCCAGGAACTCAGCAGGGGAGTTCTAGAAACTCCCTAGAACTGAACTCTAGTTAAGTTCTAACTAGAAACTTAATCAGATTCTAGCTGAGATGCTGTTGAGAATCTGCATGGCTCTGATGTTAGAACCCTAGTCCCTGGTGGCATGGATTTATAAGTGGGATCTTCCAATACGTGGGTTGCACAGTTCTGTAGAAAAAGCATGGTTTCCCTAGCTGGGTAGCACGCTCACTCCCCACCTCCATTCAGCCAACTGACTTTCAATGAAGGCACCAAAGACATACCATGGGTAAAGTGTATCCTCTTCAATAAATGGTACTGGGAAAACTGGATATCCATATGCAGAAGAATGAAACTAGAATCCTATCTCTCACCATATACAAAAATCAAATAGAAATGTATTTTAGACTTAAATGTAAGACCTGAAACTATGAAACTACTATAGGAAAAGTTGGAGAAATGCTTCAAGGTATTGGTCTGGGTCAAAGATTTTATGGATAAAACTTTGAAAGTAAAAATAGACAAACGGAATTACAACAAAGAAATAAAAGCTAACAAAGTCAGACAGAAGTGAAATTGTCTCTGTTTGCTTATGACCTTATCCTATAAATAGAAAACCTGACAGATTCCACCAAAAAACTGTTGGAGTTGATAAACAAATTCAGTAAATTTACAAGATACAAAATCAACATACAAGTTTCAGTTGTGTTTCTATATGCTACAAACTAAGAAAGAAATTAAGAAAGCAATTCCATTTACAATAGCATCACAAAACTGTACTCAGGATTAAAGTTCACTTAGGATGTGAAAGATCTGTATCCTGAAAACTGCAAAACAATGATAACAGAAATGGAAGAACACACAAATGGAAGGATATTTTGTGTTTGTGCAATTCCTATGAAAATTCCAATTTTATATTTCACAAAAATAGAAAAAGCATTTCCTAAAATTCACTTGGAACCACAAAAGATTGCAAATAGCCAAAACAGTCTTGAGAAAAAAGAACAAAGCTGGAGACCTCACACTACCTGATTTCAAAATATATTACAAAGCTATAAAAATCAAAACTGCATGGTAACAGCATAAATACAGACACACTGGACAATAGAACAGGATAGAGTGCCCAGAAATAAACCTATGTTTACTCATGGTCAAACCATGGTCAATTGGTTTGACAAAGTTGCTAAGAACACACAATACAGAAAGGACAGTCTCTTTAATAAATGATATTGGAACAACTGAATATCCACATGCAGAGGAATAAAATTGGACCCTTACCTCATACCATACATAAAAATCAGCTCAAAATTGATTGAAGACTTAAATGCAAGACCTGAAAATATAAAACTACTAGAAGAAAACATAGGGTAAAAACTCCATGACACTGGTCTGGGTAGTAATTTCTTGGTAAAAGCGCAGGCAACAAAAGCAGAAATAAATGAACAGGACTGCATGAAACTATTTCCTTTGCTTTGCAAAGGAAATAATTAACAGAGTGAAGAGACAATTGCATGGATTGGGAGAAAATATTTGCAAACCATACATCTGACAAGGCTAATATCCAAAACATAAGAAACTCAAACTGTAGTAAAACAATCCAATTACCAAAAATAGGTGGAGGATCTGAATAGATACTTCTCAAAAGAAGACATACAGGTAGCCAACAGGTATATAAAAAGGTGCTCAACATCACTAATCATCAGGGCAATTCAAATGAATACCATAATGAGATATTACCTCACACCTATTAGAATGGCTACTATGAAAAAGACAAAAGATAACAAGTGTTGGTGAGGATGTAGAATAAAGGGAATTCTTTGACACTGTTGACAGAAATGTAAATTAATACAGCTGTTATGGAAAACAGTATGGATGTTCCTCAAAAAACTAAAAATAGAATTCCCATATAATCCAGCAATCCCACTTCTGGGTATACATCCAAAAAAATTGAAATAAGTATGACAAATGGGTATCTGAACTCCCATGTTCACTGCAGCATTATTCACAATAGCCAAGATAGAGAGATACCTAAGTGTCCATCAATGGACTAATGAATAAAGAAAATGTAGCACATATACATGATAGAATTCTATGCAGCATTAAGAAAAGAAAATTCTATCATTTTTGACAACATAGATAGCCTGAAAGACATTATGTTAAGTGATAAAAGCCAGGCACAGATAGATACTGTGTGATCTCACTTATATGTGGAATCTAAAAAAATTGATCTCAGCTTCCGGAGCCAAGATGGCCGAATAGGAACAGCTCTGGTCTACAGCTCCCAGCGTGAGCGACGCAGAAGACGGGTGATTTCTGCATTTCCATCTGAGGTACCAGGTTCATCTCACTAGGGAGTGCCAGACAGTGGGTGCAGGACAGTGGGTGCAGCGCACCGGGTGTGAGTCGAAGCAGGGCGAGGCACTGCCTCACTCCGGAAGTGCAAGGGGTCAGGGAGTACCCGTTCCTAGTCAAAGAAAGGGATGACAGACGGCACCTGGAAAATTGGGTCACTCCCACCCTAATACTGCGCTTTTCCAAAATGGGCTTAAAAAAACAGCAAACCTGGATGACAGACGGCACCTGGAAAATTGGGTCACTCCCACCCTAATACTGCGCTTTTCCAAAATGGGCTTAAAAAAGAGCACACCTGGAGATTATATACTGCACCTGGCTTGGAGGGTCCTACGCCCATGGAGTCTGGCTCATTGCTAGCCCAGCAGTCTGAGATCAAAATGCAAGGCGGCAGTGAGGCTGGGGGAGGGGCGCCTGCCATTGCCCAGGCTTGATTAGGTAAACAAAGCAGCCGGGAAGCTTGAACTGGGTGGAGCCCACCACAGCTCAAGGAGGCCTGCCTGCCTCTGTAGGCTCCACTTCTGGGGGCAGGGCACAGACAAACAAAAAGACAGCAGTAACCTCTGCAGACTTAAATGTCCCTGTCTGACAGCTTTGAAGAGAGTAGTGGTTCTCCCAGCATGCAGCTGGAGATCTGAGAACGGGCAGACTGCCTCCTCAAGTGGGTCCCTGACCCCCGAGCAGCCTAACTTGGAGGCACCCCCCAGTAGGGGCAGACTGACACCTCACATGGCCGGGTACTCCTCTGTGACAAAACTTCCAGAGGAACGATCAGGCAGCAGCATTTGCAGATCACCAATATCCGCTGTTCTACAGCCACCGCTGTTCTGCAGCCACCGCTGCTGATACCCAGGCAAACAGGGTCTGGAGTGGAACTCTAGCAAACTCCAACAGACCTGCAGCTGAGAGTCCTGTCTGTTAGAAGGAAAACTAACAAACAGAAAGGACATCCACACCAAAAACCCATCTGTACGTCACCATCATCAAAGACCAAAAGTAGATAAACCACAAAGATGGGGAAAAAACAGAGCAGAAAAACTGGAAACTCTAAAAAGCTGAGCGCCTCTCCTCCTCCAAAGGAACGCAGCTCCTCACCAGCAACGGAACAAAGATGGACGGAGAATGACTTTGACGAGTTGAGAGAAGAAGGCTTCAGAAGATCAAACTACTCTGAGCTATAGGAGGAAATTCAAACCAAAGGCAAAGAAGTTAAAAACTTTGAAAAAAAATTAGATGAATGGATACCAAGAATAACCAATGCAGAGAAGTCCTTAAAGGAGTTGATGGAGCTGAAAGCCAAGGCTCGACAACTACATGAAGAATGCAGAAGCCTCAGGAGCCGATGCGATCAACTGGAAGAAAGGGTATCAGTGATGGAAGACGAAATGAATGAAATGAAGCGAGAAGGGAAGTTTAGAGATAAAAGAATAAAAAGAAACGAACAAAGCCTCCAAGAAATATGGGACTATGTGAAAAGACCAAATCTACGTCTGATTGGTGTATCTGAAAGTGACGGGGAGAATGGAACCAAGTTGGAAAACACTCTGCAGGATATTATCCAGGAGAACTTCCCCAATCTAGCAAGGCAGGCTAACATTCAGATTCAGGAAATACAGAGAACACCACAAAGATACTCCTCGAGAAGAGCAACTCCAAGACACGTAATTGTCAGATTCACCAAAGTTGAAATGAAGGAAAAAATGTTAAGGGCAGCCAGAGAGAAAGGTCGGGTTACCCACAAAGGGAAGCCCATCAGACTAACAGCAGATCTCTCGGCAGAAACTCTACAAGCCAGAAGAGAGTGGGGGCCAATATTCAACATTCTCAAAGAAAAGGATTTTCAAAACAGAATTTCATATCCAGCCAAACTAAGCTTCATAAGTGAAGGAGAAATAAAATACTTTACAGACAAGCAAATGCTGAGAGATTTTGTCACCACCAGGCCTGCCCTAAAAGAGCTCCTGAAGGAAGCACTAAACATGGAAAGGAACAACCGGCCTGCAACGCCAAGTCAATCCTAAGCCAAAAGAACAAAGCTGGAGGCATCACGCTACCTGACTTCAAACTATACTACAAGGCTACAGTAACCAAAACAGCATGGTACTGGTACCAAAACAGAGATATAGATCAATGGAACAGAACAGAGCCCTCAGAAATAACACCGCATATCTACAACTGTCTGATCTTTGACAAACCTGAGAAAAACAAGCAATGGGGAAAGGATTCCCTATTTAATAAATGGTGCTGGGAAAACTGGCTAGCCATATGTAGAAAGCTGAAACTGGATGCCTTCCTTACACCTTTATACAAAAATTAATTCAAGATGGATTAAAGACTTAAACGTTAGACCTAAAACCATAAAAACCCTAGAAGAAAACCTAGGCATTACCATTCAGGACATAGGCATGGGCAAGGACTTCATGTCTAAAACACCAAAAGCAATGGCAACAAAAGACAAAATTGACAAATGGGATCTAATTAAACTAAAGAGCTTCTGCACAGCAAAAGAAACTACCATCAGAGTGAACAGGCAACCTACAAAATGGGAGAAAATTTTCGCAACCTACTCATCTGACAAAGGGCTGATATCCAGAATCTACAATGAACTCTAACAAATTTACAAGAAAAAAACAAACAACGCCATCAAAAGGTGGGCGAAGGACATGAACAGACACTTCTCAAAAGAAGACATTTATGCAGCCAAAAAACACATGAAAAAATGCTCATCATCACTGGCCATCAGAGAAATGCAAATCAAAACCACAATGAGATACCATCTCATACCAGTTAGAATGGCAATCATTAAAAAGTCAGGAAACAACAGGTGCTGGAGAGGATGTGGAAAAATAGGAACACTTTTACACTGTTGGTGGGATTGTAAACTAGTTCGATCCTTGTGGAAGTCAGTGTGGCGATTCCTCAGGGATCTAGAACTAGAAATACCATTTGACCCAGCCATCCCTTTACTGGGTATATACCCAAAGGACTATAAATCATGCTGCTCTAAAGACACATGCACACGTATGTTTATTGTGGCACTATTCACAATAGCAAAGACTTGGAATCAACCCAAATGTCCAACAATGATAGACTGGATTAAGAAAATGTGGCACATATACACCATGGAATACTATGCAGCCCTAAAAAATGATGAGTTCATGTCCTTTGTAGGGACATGGATGAAATTGGAAATCATCATTCTCAGTAAACCATCGCAAGAACAAAAAACCAAACACCACATATTCTCACTCACAGGTGGGAACTGAACAATGAGAACACATGGACACAGGAAGGGGAACATCACACTCTGGGGACTGTTGTGGTGTGGGGGGAGGGGGGAAGGGATGGCTTTAGGAGATATACCTAATGCTAAATGACGAGTTAATGGGTGCAGCACACCAGCATGGCACATGTATACGTAGGTAACTAACCTGCACATTATGCACATGTACCCTAAAACTTAAAGTATAATAATAATGAAATTTAAAAAAATTGATCTCATAAAAGTAGAGAGTGGAACGGTGGTTACCAGTAAAAGGGGTTTGGGGAAGAGGAAAGGTGAGATATTGGTCAAAGGATACAAAGTTTCAGTTAGATCAAGGCAGAAAATTAACAAAGATATAAAGGTCCCAAACTCAACATTACCAAATGGACCTAATCAATATCTACAGAACTCTTCACTCCAAAACAATGCGACATACATTCTTCTCATTGACACATGGCACATATTATAAAATTGACCACACAATCAGACAAAACAATCCTCAGCAAATTAAAAAAAAATCATACCAACCACAATCTCAGACCACAGCACAATAAAAACAGAAATAAATACTGAGAAAATAACTCAAAACCATACAGTTACAGGGAAACTAAACAACCTGTTCCTGAATGACTTCTAGGTGAAAAATAAAATTCAGGCAGAAATCAAGAAATTTTTTGAAACTAATGAGAACATGATAATAATGTACCAGAATCTCTGGGACATGGCTAAGGCAGTGTTAAAAGGGAAATTTATAGCACTAAATGTCCACATCAAAAAGTTAGAAACATCTCAAATTAACAACCTAAACCACAACTAGAAGACCTAGAGAAGCAAGAGCAAACTAACCACAAAGCTAGCAGAAAACAAGAAATAACCAAAATCAGAGCTGAATTGAAGGAAATTCTAGAGAAAACCATACAAAAGATCAACAAATCCAGGAGTGTCTTCTTTGAAAAAATTAGTAAGGTAGACTGCTTGTTAGACTAATAAAGAAAAAAAGAGATCCAAATAAATACAATTAGAAATAACAAAGGGAATATTAGAAATGACACATAAATACAAAAAGAATCCCATCAGAGAGTACTATAAACACCTCTATACACACAAACAAGAAAATTTAGAAGAAATGGACAAATTCCTACACACACTCATCCTCCCCAGACTGAAGAAGGAAGAAACTGAATCCCTGAACTAACTAATAACAAGTTCTGAAACTGAATCAGTTGGCAGAGACACACACAAAAAGAAAACTTCAGGCCAATATCCTTGATGAACATAGATGTAAAAATCCTCAACAAAATACTAGCAAACTCAATCCAGCAGCACAGCAAAAGGGTAATCTGCCATGATCAAGTAAGATTTATCCCTGGGATGCAAGCTTGGTTCAATATATGAAAATAAATAAATGTGATTCATCACATAAACAGAACTAAAAACAAAAACCACATGATTATCTCAATAGATGCAGAAAACGCTTTCACAAAATCAATATCCTGTCATGTTAAAAACCCTCAATAAACTAGGCCATTGAAGGAATATACTTTAAAGTAATAAGACACATCTAGAACAAACCCACAGCCAACACCATACCGAATAATGGATGAAAGCTGGAAGCATTCCCATGGAAAACTGACACAAGACAAGGATGTCTTCTCTCACCACTCCTATTAAATATTGTATTGGAAATCCTGGCAAGGACAATCAGGTAAGAAAAGGAAATAAAGAGCATCCAAATAAAAAGTGAGGAAGTCAAACTATCAGTTTGCAGATGACAAGATTCTTCATCTAGAAAGCCCCATATTCTCTGCCTAAAAGCTCCTTGAGCTGATAAACAACTTCAGCAAAGTTTCACAATACAAAATCAACATACAAAAATCAGTAGCATTCCTATATGCTAACAACATTCAAGCTGAGAGCCAAATCAGAAATGTAGTTCAATTCACAATTACCATAAAAAGAATAAAATAACTAGGCAAACAGCTAATTAGGGAGGTGAAAGACCTCTACAACAAGAGTTACAAAACACTGGACCACTTTCCTACATCATATAAAAAATTAACTCAATGAATTAAAGACTTAAATGTAAAACCCAAAACTATTAAAACACTGGAAGATAATCTAGGAAATACCCTTCTGGACGTAGGAACTGGAAAAGATTTAATAATGAAGATGCCAAAAGTAACTGCAACAAAAGCAAAAATGGACAAATTGAACCTAATTAAACTAAAGTGCTTCTGCATAGCCAAAGAAACTATCAACAGAGAAAACAATGTACAAAATGGGGAAAACTAATTTGCAAACTATGCATTCAACAAAGTTTTAATATCCATAATCTAGAAAGAACTTAAATTTCCAAGAAAAAACAAACCAACCCATTAAAAAGTGGGCAAAGGACATGAATAGATACTTTTCAAAAGAAGACATAAACGTGGCCAAGCAACACATAAAAAATCAATATCACTAATCATTAGAGAAATGAAAATCAAAACCACAGTGAGATACTATCTCACGTCAGTCAGAATAGCTATTATTAAAAGGTCAAAAAATGAGAGGTGCTGTTGAGGTTGCATAGAAAAGGAGATACTTAACTGCTGGTGGGAATGTAGAAAATGTGAAAACCACTGTAGAAAATGGTGTGGTGATTCCTCAAAGAGCTTAAAACACAATCATTGTTTGTCCCAGCAATCCCATGACTGGGTATATACCCAAAGGAATATAAATTGTTCTACCATAAAGATACATGCACACATATGTTCACTGCAGTACTGCTGACAATAGCAAGGACATGGAATCAACCTAAATGCCCATCAACAGTAGACTGGATAGAGAAAATGTGGTACATATACTCCATGGAATACTATGCAGCCATAAAAAATAAGATCATGTCCTTTGCAGCAACATGGATGAAGCTGGAGGACATTATCCTAAGCAAACTAACACAGGAATACAAAACCCAATACTGTATGTTCTCACTTATAAGTGGGAGTTAAACAACAGGAACACAGGGACACAAAGAGGGAAACAACAGACACAGAGGCCTACTTGAGGAAGGAGGGTAGGAGGAGGGAGAGAATCAGAAAAAATATGTATCAGGTACTCTGCTAATTACCTGGGTGACAAAATGATCCATACAACACACCTCTCAGAAACACATTAACCTATATGACAAACGTGCACATGTACCCTGAACCTAAAATATTTTTTTTTTAAAGAAAAGACATCTTCAAAATGGGGGGAAAGGTTTTGTGGCATTTTTCCTTGCTCTCTCCTTGCCTTACCCCACCATGTATGGCAGAATTCTTGGTCTGAATGAGGTAGGAACTCAGATCTCAATTCTCTCTCTTGAAACAGAGAAAGAAGAGCAGACGTTATTTCCAATGTTCTAACCTGTCTGAAGACAAACTGAAGGACTGATCTCTTTTTTACCTACCTTGGATCTCAGGTGGGGAAAGCAGAAGGCACTCCTGATAAACACTGCAGAGAGGCAACAGACATGTAGAAGGCTAGGGCAAGAGATTACAAGTCAATACATAAAAACAGACCAGCTAAAGTTCCAAAGATGAGACTGGTTGTGAAATTAAGACAATGAAACACAGTCATGTATACGGGGAATTGAGAAAGCCACACACAGGCCCAGGCAAGATGCATACTCAGAAAATACCTGAGAAGATCTTAGCTTTTCATCTCATTCCTACGCTAAGATCAAGCTCTGGTAATCTGTTAAGAACTGCTCCTGAACAGAGCCAGTCTGCAAAGATTGGCAGATGAGGTTTTTTCAAATTCCCAGTGTTCAACAACAACGAGATAACAGGGCATACAAGAAAACAAGAAGGCATAGCCCACTCCTAGGAACAAATAAACTGGCAGAAAACATCCACAAGAAAGTTCAGACATTGCACTTATGTGACAAAGACTTTAAAAGAGCTTTCTTAAATATTGTTAAAGAACTAAAGAAAAACATAAATACAAAAATAAAATTAAGAAAATGATAAAATTAAAATTTAAAAAAAGAGATAGAATATGTAAAAAGAAACCACACCAAATTCTGGAGTTGAAAAACACAATAACTGAAATAGAAATTCAATAGAGGGAGTTGAAGAGCAGAGTTGAGCAGGCAGAAGAATCAACAAAGCAGAAGTTAGGACAATGAAGTTACTGAATCTGAAGAGAAGAAAGAAAATGAAGAAAAATGAGCAGGGACTATGGGACTTGTGAGACACCATTAAATGGACAAATATGTGTATTATGGGCTTCCAAGAAGAGACTTGGGATATAGGAGCAGAAACTTTGAAGAAATTATGGCTAAAACCTTCCCAAATTTAATGAATGAAATGAATTTCCAAATCCAAGCTCAATGATGTCCAAGTGTGATAAATCCAAAGAGACCAACACCAAGACCTACTCCAACTATCAAAAGAAAAAGACCAAAAAAAAAAAAAAACTTAAAATCAGCAAGAGAAGTAACTTGTCATATACAAGGGATCCTCAGCAAGATTTTTGCTGATTTCTCAGAAGAAACTTTGGAGGCAAGAAGGCAGTGAAGATATACTTAAAGTATTGCAATAAAAACACCTGTTAACATAGAATTCCATATGCAGCAAAACTTTCCTTCAAAAATAAAGGAAAAATTAAGACGTTCTAAGATAAACAAAAGCTAAGGAAGTACATTACCATTAGATCTGCCCTACAAAAAATGCTAAACGATGCTAGAAAGTAACTCAATGCCAGAGGTCAATATAAACATCTCTGGTAAAGGTAAACACATGCACACATATAAAAGACATCATTATTATTATATTGTAATATACTGCATTTTTTATTTCTATAAAACAAATGATAAACACATAAAATAATTGTGAGCCTACACTAGTGGGTATACAGTATATACAATGTAATTTGTGACATCAATAACAAAGTGTCAGAGGAACAGATATATATATAAATAGAGATTCTGTATCTGATTTATGTTCAGTTGTTATTAATTTAAAGTGGATTCTTGTAAATTTTTAATGTCCTATGTAACCTCCACGGTAACCACAGAGATAATATCTATAAAATAAACACAAAAGACAATTAGAAGAAAATAAAAATGTGTCATTACAAAAAAAAAGAACTAAACAGAAAATGGTAGTAAGGGAAAGCAATAAGGGACAAAACAGTTATAAGACATGAAGAAAAGAAATAAATGGCAAAGTAAGTTTTTACTTACCATATTTTTTTAAATGTACATTGATTAAACTCTCTACCAAAATTTCAGAGATTGGGGGAGTGGATAAAAAGTGCTCTCAGTTGGGTGCAGCAGTGGGTACCTGTAGTTCCAGCCTCTCAGGAGTCTAAAGCAGGAAGATTGCTTGAGGCTAGGAGTTTGAGGCTGTACTGCACTGTGATCATTCCTGTGAATAGCCACCTCACTCCAGCTGGGACAACACAGTAAGACCTCATTTTTAGAAATATAACACATAAAGAAATGCTATCTATAAAGACTCACTTTGGATTAAATACACAAATAAATGGAAAATAAAATGATAAAAAATATTACATGCTAATAGTAACCAAAAGAGAGCAAAAATAAATACACTAATGTCAGACCAAATTGGCCTTAAGTAAAAATCTTACAAGTGACAAAGAACAACATATTAAAAAATGGTCAATGTAGCAGCTAAGAATACATAAAAAGTATAAAAAGATATATACCAAACATCACAGATCTAACCATATGAAGCAAATACTGACAAAATTGAAGCGATAATAGCTTCAGACTTCCATACACCACTTTCAATAATGATGTTAACAACAAGAGAGAAAGAAAAGAGAGTACTTGAATAACATCATGAGCCAACAGGACCTAAGAGACATATACACAACACTCCATCCAACAGCAGAATACACATTATTTTCAACGGTACAAGAAACATCCTCCAGGATAACCCAAAAGTTAGTTATTGAAAAAGATAAACAAAATTGACAAACCTTTAGCTAGACTGATGAAGAAAAAAGAGAAGACTCAATAAAATCAGAAATAAATGTGGGGACTTTACTACTGGTTTAAAAAAATAAAAAATGAATTGTAAGAGAATATGGTAAATAACTATATGCAAATTGGCTAGCCTAAATGAAATGGCTAAATTCTTAGAAACACAAAAACTACTAAGGCTGAATCAGGAATAAACAGAAAACCTAAATAGAACACAATAGGTAGTAAGATGATTTAATCAGAAAAAAAACCTCCCCCAAATGAAAGACCTAGACAATATGACTTCATTGGCAAATTATTCCTAACATTTAAAGAATTAACACCAGTCCTTCTCAAACTCTTCCAAAAATTGAAAGAACACTTAACTGATTCTCTGAGGACATTACCCATTTAACAAAGCTATTCAAACACACTACAAAGAAAGAAAACTAGTCTTACATCCCTTATTGATACTGATGCAAAAATTCACAACAAAATAGAAGCAAATCAAAGTCAGTAGCATAATAAAAGGATTGTAAACCATGATCGAGTATGATGTATTCCTGCAATGCAAGAATGATTCATCATATGAAAGCCAGTGTGATATACTACATTAACAGAATGAATGAAAACAACCACATGATCATTTACATTGATGCAAAACAAACATTTGAAAAATTAAAGAGTAACACCACCAAGATGGCAGAACAAGAGGTTCCAGCTTTCATTCCCCTACAGATACACTAGTTTTGGCAACCACCCATAGATGAGAATACTTTTGTGGGAGCCAGAGTCTAACTAAGGTTTCAGCACTGTAATACAGCAAAAATCCTGAAAGTGGATGCATTAAAGAGGGTAAAAACTACAGTTTCAATTTACCCATGTCATCTCTCCACCAAGATGGCACAGCTTGATGCCAAAAAAGCCCCCCTCCTTAACCTGCAATTTCTACCACGGAGAAAAGTTAGTTAACATTTTGCTTCCTCAGACTTGCAGGATATGGCCCAGGAGGCCATATCTATCTCTCTGCACCTTGAATACTGAGGGAATCTGTATGGTTAAATTGCCTGGGGACAACAAGAAGCAAAAAGAAGGGGAGGGAGAGCACAACAATCAGTGTGCAGTTTAAAACAGTGGCTATAGATCCTGTTAACTTGCTTAAAGACTCCACCACAAGGCCCACCCAAGAAATCTGAAGAATGACTTGCCTGAGGAACACCCCAACTAGCCAACATGAGCTGTGAGCACTTAATGAACCCCTACAACCTTGTGGATGGTGCCCATACTTCCCTGAGCACAGCCTGCCTGACCTCCCACAGACAGTACTCGAATCTCAATAGCAGGTACATATCTTAATAGCTGGCTTGACTCTTTTGGTCTGAGAAAAGGCATGCAACCTTGTTCATGCTTGGGCAGTGCCATAGGGAAAAGAAACAGGAGGCTTATCACCATACCTGGCTTGACAGGATAGAGTAAAGGCACACAATCCTAACACTTGTCCCCTAGGACAGAACAAGTGAAGCAGGTGGGCACATTCACAGAAAAGTTCTGAGAGACCTTTGGAATCTCTACCTAGGCTCATTGGTAAAGGTCTATCTCTCCTGAAGCCAAAGAGTAAAGACTGGAGAAGGTGAGTGTTCCTTCAACTGTGAAGATGGCAATGTGTGGCTAAAAGGAAAATAAAGAATCAAGGAAATATGATACCACAAAAATAATAAAATAAAGTTCCAGTGAAGACCCTGAATAAATAGAGAATCCACAAAGAGCTTGACAAAAATTCAAAATAATCATCTTAAGGAAACTCATTAAGAACAGAACACAGAAAATTACACAATATCAGAAAAACAATACATGAACAAAATGAAAACTTCAAAAAAGCAGTAAAAAATCTATTAAAAAAACCCAGAAATCCTGGAGCTGAAAATCACAATGACTGAAAAGAAAAATTCAATAAAGACCACCAATGTCTGACTTGATCAAGCTGAGTACAATATCAGCATCCTCAAAGACAGATCATTTGAAATTATCCAGTTATAGGGAGAAAAAGAAAAAAAAATGAGAATGAGTAAAGAAAGCCAACGAGACTTATTGGACAAAAGCAAGTGAACCAATATAAACATTCTGGGAGTCAATGAAGGAGCAGAAAAAGAGAAAGAACAGAAAGCTTATTTAAATAAATAATGATGGAAAACTTCCCAAATCTGGAAAAGGAAATGGACATCCAGATGCATGAAGCTTAAAGAACTCCAAATAGGTTGAGAGCCAAGAGGTCTTCACTGAGACATGTTTTAATGAAATTGTCAAAAGTCAAAAACAGACGATTTTGAAAGTGAAAACAACTCATCACATCTAAGGGAACTATTCACCATTGCCCCAATAAGAAAATCAGCAGATTTCTCAGCAGAAACCTTATAAGCCATAAGAGAGTGAGATCATATATTCAAACTGCTGAAGGAAAAAAAAACTGCCAATCAATAATACTGTACCTAGTAAAGCTGTCCTTTAGAAATGAAGGAGATAAAGAGATTTCTACACAAATGTGGGGGGGCAGTGGGGGGAGGGATGTAAGTTCATCACCAGTAAATCTGCCTTGTAAGAAATGCTAAACGAGGTTTTTCAAGTTGAAATAAAAGAATGCTTATTAGCAACATAAAAACATATAAAAGTATAAAACTCACAGTAAAGGTAAGCAGAGTCAAGTTAAAAATAACAATACCGGCCAGGCGCGGTGGCTCATGCCTGTAATCCCAGCACTTTGGGAGGCTGAGGCTGGCGGATCACGGGTCAGGAGATTGAGACCATCCTGGCTAACACGGTGAAACCCCATCTCAACTAAAAATACAAAAAATTAGCTGGGCGTGGTGGTGGGCGCCTGTAGTCCCAGCTACTTGGGAGGCTGAGGCAGGAGAATGGCATGAACCTGGGAGGTGGAGCTTGCAGTCAGCTGAGATTGTGCCACTGCACTCCAGCCTGGGTGACAGAGCGAAACTCCGACTCAAAAAAAAAAAAAAAAAAAAAAAGAATAACAATACTGTAATGGTGGTTAAAATCACATCTCTATGACAAAAGTTAAAAGACAAAGTATTACAACTATAGCTACATTAATTTGTCAATGGATACATAACATAAAAAGGAAAAAATAACCTCATGGTAACTTCCAAAGAATAAAACCTATAGTAGACACACAAAAGATGAGAGAAAAAAAATAAAAGCATACTACTATGGAAAAAAAATCAACAAATGAAAAGGAGGACAGCAAAAGAGGAAGAAACTACGAACCAGTCAGGAAATGTTTTAAAAAATAGCAATAACAAGTCCTTACCTACCAATAATTAATTTAAATGTCAACAAATTAAACTCTCCAATAGAAAAATAGAGTTGCTGAATGCATTAACAAACAACACCCTATTATATGCTGCTCACGAGACACACACTAGGCTGAAAGTGAAGAATGGAAAAAGACAGTCCATGCAAATAGTGGACAAAAATTAGCAGGGGTAATTATACTGGAAAAAATATTTTCAGTCACAATCTGTCACAAGAAACAATGGACACTATATAATAAAGTGGTCAATTTATCAAGAGAATATATATCAAGAAGATACTATAAATGCATATGCTCCCAAGTTCAGAGCACATAAATATACATTTATAAACCACTTGCAACAATGGATAAATCATACAGACAGAAAATCAGTATGGAAAGAGTGGACTTGAATAAGAATGTAAAACAAATAGACCTAACAGACATTCGCAGAAAATTCCATCCAACAACAGCAGAATACACAATCTTCTCAATTGCATATAGAGCATTCTCCAGAACAGAGCATACATTAGGCCAGAAAATGAGTCTTAACAAATTTCACAAGATTAAAATCATATCAAGTATATTTTCCTAATACAATTGTACAGAACTAGAAATAACAGGATAAAAATTGGAAAACTCACAAATATGTGGAAATTAGGCAAGATACTTCTGCACAACCAATGGGTCAAAAAAATCAAAAGGAAAGTTTGAAAACAATTCTGAGATGAACAAAAATGGAAACAAAACATATCACAACTTATGAGATGCAACAAAAGCAGTTCTAAGAGGAAAGTTTATAGTGATAAATGCTTACATTAAAAAAGATATCAAATAACTTTTTTTTTTTTTGAGATGGAGTCTCTGTTGCTCAGGCTGGAGTGCAGTCTGCAATCTCAGCTCACTGTAACCTCTGCTTCCTGGATTCAAGTGATTCTCCTGCCTCAGCCTCCTGAGTAGCTGGAATTACAGGCATGTGCCACCACACCCAGCTAATTTTTTTTTTTGTATTTTTAGTAGAGATGGGGTTTAAACAGGTTGGCCAGGCTGGTCTCGAACACCCAACCTCAGGTGATCTGCCCGCCTAAGCCTCCCAAAGTGTTGAGATTACAGGTGTGAGCCACTACGCCCAGCCTAAACAACCTAATTTTACACCTCAAGTAAATAGCAAGAATAGAATAAAGCAAGCCCAAAGTTAGCAGAATGAAGGAAATAATAAAGATAGGAACAGAAATAAATAAAATAGAATCTAGAAAAACAATTTAAAAGATCCAAAAAACTATGAGTCTTTTTGAAAAGATAAAGAAAATTGACAAACCTTTTGCTAGCTTAACCAAGAAAAAAGGAGAACACTCAAATAAATAAAATCATAAATGAAAGAAGAGCCATTACAACTGATAACAGAGAAATACAATAGGTCAGAAGACACTATTATGAACAATTATAAGTCAACAAACTGGATAGCCTAGAATAAATGGCTAAATTCCTAGAGAAATATAATATACCAAGAAACACCAAGACTAACCGTGAAGAAACAGAAAATATGAACAAAACAAAAAAGAGCAAGGAGATAAAATCAGTACTCAAATATCTTCCAACAAAGAAAAGCACAGGATCAGATGGCTTCATGGGTAAATTCTACCAAGCACTGAAAAACTAATTAATGCCAATCCTTCTCAAACTGTTCCAAAAAACTGAATAGGAGGAAACAATTCCAAATATATTCTACAAGGCCAGCATTACCCTGATACCAAAGCTAGGCAAGGACACAAGAGGAAATTAAAATTATAGGCCAATATCCCTGAAGCAAATAGATGCAAAAATCTTGAACACAATATCAGCAAACCAAATTCAACAGCACATTGAAAGGATCATACACCACAATCATGTAAGATTTTTCTCTGGAATGCAAGGATGGGTCAACATACTCAAATCAATAAATGCAGTAAACAATACTAAAAGAATGAAGGATAAAAATCATGATCATATTAATATGTACAGAAAGAACATTAACAAAATTCAACATCATTTCATAATAAAAATTCTCAACATATAGGTAAATAAAAATATACTCAATATAATAAAGGCCATATATGACAAGCACACAGGTAACATCATATGCAATGATGAAATCCTGAGGAATAAGACAAGGATGCCTACTCTTGACACTTTTGTTCAACTTACTACTGGAAGTCATAGCCAGTGCAATTAGGCAATAAGTAAATAAATAAGTTAATTAAAATTAAAAGGCAACAAAATCTAAAAGAAGTAAAATTTTGTTTGCTAATGACATAATTCTATATATAGAAAATCCTATAAAGACCCCACCAAAAAATTGTTAGCACTGTAAAATGAATTCAGTAAAGGTTTGAATACAAAAACAACATACAAAAACAGTTGTGTTTTTATACAGTATAAACTATCCAAAAGAGGAATTAAGAAAACAATTCAGTTTACAATAGCTGACTAAGGAGATGAAATATTTGTATAGTGAAGTATAAAACACTAATGAAAGAAATTGAAGAAGACACAAATACACAAAAAGATATCTCATTCATGGACTGGAAGAATTTATATGGCTAAAATGTCCATACTACCCAAAGCAATCTACAGATTCAATGCAATCCTATGAAAATTCCAATGGCATTTTCTTCCCACAGAAATAGAAAAAAACAATCCTAAAATTTACATGGAACCACAGAAGATCTTGGATAGCCAAAAGAATCTTGAGAATAAAGAACAAAGCTGGAGTCCCTAATCTTCCTGATTTCAAACTATACTTTCAAGCTATAGTAATCAAAACAGTATGATACTGACATAAAAGTAGACAAATACACCAACAGAGCCCAGAAATAAACTCATGCATATATGGTCAACTAATTTTTGAAAAGGAAAACAAGCATACACATTGGAAAAAGGATAATCTTTTCAATACATGGTGTTGGGGAACTGTATATCCATTTGCAAAGGAATGAAACTGTACACTTGTCTTATACCATACAAAAATTAACTAAAAATAAATTAAACATTTAAACATGACTTAAAAATGTAAAACTCCTAAAAGAAAACTTAGGGAATAAGCCCACTAACATTGCTATTGACAATGATTTTTGAGTTGTGATTTTAAAAAACACAGGCAACAAAAGCAACAATAAGACAGACAACATCAAACTAAAAAGCCTCTGCACAGCCAAGGAGACAATCAACAAAATAAAAAGGCAATCTATGGAATGTGAGAACATAAATGCCAACAATATATCTGATATGAGGTTAACATCCAAAATATATAAGAACATCATGAAAGAAAAATAACTGAATAGAAAAAAAAATCCTGATTAAAAAATGAGCAAAAGAAAAAAGACATATAAATGGCCAACAGGTATATGAAAACGTGCTCAACATCACTGATCACCAGAGAATGCAAATCAACACCACAATGATGTATTACCTAAAACCTATTAGGATGCCTATTATTTAAAAAAAGATAACAAGTGTGGGCAAGGAAATATAGTAAAGAGAATCTTGAACTCTACTGGTGGTAATATAAGCTAGTAGAGTCAATAGGTAGAAGAGTATGGAGTTTCCTCAAAAATTAAAAAAATATTGGGAGAAAAATGGCACAATAGAAGGCTCCACCAATCGTCCTCACCCCCACAAGGATAGATAGTTAACAACTATCTATAAAGAAATAACACTTTCATAAGAACCCAAAATTAGGTGAGCACTCATAGTACCTGGTTTTAACTTCATATCACTGAAAGAGGCACTGAAGAGATACAAAAAACACTCCAGAATCACAGAAGCCACCCCTCCCCCAACCCTGACAACAGTGGTGTGGTGCAGAGAGCATCTCTGCCTGCTAGGGAAGAAAGAACACAGCAAGTGTGAGGCACTGAACACAGTGCTGTCCTGCTAGAGCAGATAGAAAAACTGGACCAAACTCAGCTGATGCCCACCCACTCACGGAGGGAGCATTCAAACCAGCCCTAGCCAGAGGGGAATCGCAGATTCCAGTATTCGGAACTTGAGTTTCTACAAACCTTGCCACAAAGGGCTACAGCCCTCTGTCTCCAGGTAAACTTGAAAGGTGGTCTACCCCATAAGGACTGAAACTTTTAGGTGAGTCCTAGTGCTGAAATAGTCCCAGAAACAGTGGACTGTGAGTCACACAACATGCTGAGACGCCAGCTGGAGCGGTCAAGGGAGTGCTGGTATCATGACTTCCCTAAACTCAGGCTGCACAGCTCTTGGCTTCAAAAGAGACCCCCTCCTTCAACTTGAGAGCAAAGGAAAGAGTGGGGAGAACTTTGTCTTCCATCTTGGATACTATCTTAGCCACAGCAGAACAGGCCACCAGACAGTTGTGAGGCTCCCGTTCCAGGACCTAGCTCCTAGACATTTCTAGACACACCCTGGGCCAGAAGGGAACCCACTGCCTTGAAGGAAAGGACCAAGTCCTGGCAACATTTATCACCTGCTGACTGAAGAGCTCTTGAACTCGAAATAACCAGCAGCAA
The DNA here is from genome assembly GCF_000001405.40 of Homo sapiens. Taxonomy (NCBI): domain Eukaryota; kingdom Metazoa; phylum Chordata; class Mammalia; order Primates; family Hominidae; genus Homo; species Homo sapiens. The sequence goes on along the minus strand of NC_000023.11, from coordinate 73,627,962 downwards.
TACCCAGGTACAACATCGAGGGCCTTGGGTGAGCCTCTGAGACTTGCTGGCTTCAGGTGAGACTCAGCACATTACCAGCAGTGGCTGTGGGGCAAAACTCCTGACTAAGAAAAGCAGAGGGCAAAGTAAAGAAGACTTTCTTAGATACCACCACGACCAGGGAAGGGCAGAGCACCAAGCTGGCTCTTGGGGTCTCTGATTTCAAGACTTGACTCTTGGACAGCATTTCTCAACCTACCATGGGCCAGAGGAGAGCACACTGCCCTGAAGGGTGATTTGAAGGCTGGGCAGCTTTCACCACAAGCTGACTTAAGAGCCCTTGGGGCTGAAGGAAACATTGGCTGGTGCTCCGGTAGAATTCTTCGTGGCATGAGGTGGCAGTGGCTATGGGGTCAAGCTCCTCTGCCTTTGGAAAGGGAAGAAGAGTGGGAAGGACTGCGTCTTATGGTTTCAGTGCCAACTTAGCCACAATACCATAGAACACCAGGTAGGCTTCTAAGGTTTTTGACTCTAGTCCCTGACTCTAGGACAGCACCTCTGGACCCATCCAAGGCCTGGGTGATCTTGCCATCCTGAAGGGAAGGACATAGGCCTGGCTGGATTTGCCACCTGATTGTAGAGCTCCAGGGCCTTGAGTGAACATAGGTAGTAGTCAGCGAGTGGTTACAGAAGGCCTTGGGCTATGCCCAGTGCTGTGATGGCTTCAGGTCTGACGAAGCACAGTCATAGTGATGGTGGCCACAGGGGTGCTTATGTCACTCCACTCTCAGCTTTAGATGGCTCAGAACAGAGAGAGAAAGACTCTTTTTTTTTTTTTTTTTTTTTGGGAGAACTTAAAGAAAGAAGAAGAGTCTCTGCCTGGAAATACAGATAATTCTTCCAGATCTTGCCCAAGACCAAAAAGGTGGTATCTCTACGAGTCTGCAAAAACCACAGGGTTAGTAGGCTCAGGATGCCCCATATGCAGACACAGTTTAGATCACAACACCCAAGCCCTTTAAAATATCTCCAAAACCTTCTCAAGAAGGATGTCTACAAATAATCCCAGACAATTAAGACTGCAATAAATACCCAACTCTTCAATGCACAGACACCAAAGAATATCTACTAGCATCAACAGCATCCAGGAAAACATGACCTCATCAAATGAATGAAATAAGGCACTAGGAACCAAACCTGGAGAAACAGAGAAATGTGATCCTTCAAACAGACATTTAAAAATAGCTGTGTTGAGGAAACTCAAAGAAATTCAAGATAACAAAGAGAAAGAATTCAGAATTCTATCGGATAAATTTAACAAAGAGATTGAAATAATTATTAAAAATCTAGAAGAAATTCTGGAGCAGAAAAAAGCAATTGGCATACTGAAGAATACATGAGTCTTTTAACAGCAGAATTAATCAAGCAGAAGCAAGAACTAGCTTTTTGAAGAAAGGCTATGAGAAAATGCAGTCAGAGGAGAAAAATGAAAATAAATAAAAAACCGTAAAGCATGCCAACAGGATCTAGAAAATAGTATCAAAAAGGCAAATCTAAGAGTTATTGGCCTTAAAAAGGAGATAGAGACAGAAGTAGTAAGTTTATTCAAAGTGATAATAACAGAAAAGTCCCCAAACTTGGAGAAAGATACCAATATCCAAGTACAAGAAAGTTATAGAACACCAAGCAGATTTATCCTAATGAAGACTACCTCAAGACATTTAATAATCATACTCCCAAAGGTAAACAATACAGAAAGAATCCTTTAAATGCAGCAAGACAGAGGAAACAACATACAATGGAGCTCTGGCTGTTCCGCTATGGAGTAGCCATTCTTTTATTTCTTTACTTTCTTAATAAACTTGCTTTCACTTTATGGATTCACCTCAAAATCTTTCTTGTGCAAGCTCCAAGAACCCTCTCTTGGGGTCTGGATCCGGACCCCTTTCTAGTAACATCTTCCTGGCGAACCATGAAGGGATGATACTGAGGAGACCCCCGACCCAAAGGAAATAGACTGCAGCAACAATTGACTGACTTTGGGTAAGTGGTGGGGTATCCAGTAAAGGATGGGATTGAGTTAGAGGCCCAATTTAGGGGAGTTAGAGCCTCTCCTAGAAACAGAGAGGGTTAAAGCACTTTCTCTAGAGATAGACAGGGTTAAAGGCCCCTCTTAAAAGGCAATGACACTTGACCAAACTTGGGTTTGAGGCCCAACTTAGGAAGGTTACAGACCTTCCTAAGATTTAGGGGGTTAGAGGATCCTCTCAATAAAGTCCCTGTCGGCTAAAAAATTGATTTGACACTATGGGATGTTAACTGTTACTCTCTTTGGATTAATCTGCCTTGCACTCTGCTGATGGCTGTGACAGGATTAGGCAGGTACAGGATCATGGGATAAGGGGAGCTTTTTTTTCCCTAAAGGGGAAAACTTGAGAGCTAATGGGAATGCTGGAGAAGATCCTTTGTGACCAACAAACAGCTGCCTGAACTTTTGATTAAATGTCACTGCAATGGGTGGGTCTTTCTCTAGCCTCCCTGAGCTCTTCGCCTTCCCCACCTTGCAGCAAGTAATGCTTTTCTCTCTCTCTCTTCTTTCCCTTTATTATTTTTTCTGTTACTTGGGGTGACCATCTTGCCCAGAGAACCACATGTTGAAACTATTTTAATCCACTTTGAATGGATTAAAGGTGACAGAGCCCATCAGGGGACAAGTTTGAGCTTTGCCAGCTCAATATTTGTATGGTTTGTCATATGTATTTTTCTCTGGCTGAATGGAAAATATTAATTCAGGTCCCCCATGCAACCAGTTGGGTGGCCACTTGCAAAATTGAGAGGCTTTTGCCTGCGGTTCCATGAAACAGAAAAAAAAAAATTCTTTTGTGTTGTGGCTTGGCCCCAAGGGCTTTGATGTAGCAAGCAAGGTTACTAGGGCTGCTCAGGGAAAGAGAACCCAGAAACCTGACATGTTAGCAAAAGGGTAAGGATTTCTTACTGATCAGACTTCTGTCCTCTTTCTTTATGCAAACTGGTTGAATGAATGGTAAAAATCACTGTTTATCTCCTCTGTAAAGTTTTGATTAATAGGAAAAACAATTTGTGAGGCTAGTCTTCAGCTGTAGCAAATCTGGTGTGCTTTGTGTGTCTTTCTGTATCATTCTGTCATAAAGAGGAATACCTTAGGATAGAACATGGGCTTAGGATCTCAGTTACAAACTGCTGCAGGTCTCTGAAACAACAAAAAAACTGGATGAAGTTTCCTTCTCATCTTGTTTCATATCCTTTGGAGCTTGACCTTGTAACCATGTGGTGGTACTCTCTTGGTCTCTGCTATCCAGGAAACAGAAATTTGAGGGCTCATGTCATAGTTAGCCCTAAAAATTATATTGAGCAGTTAAAAGCCTATGCAAGCTCAAAACTGACTGCTCTAGGATCCTTCTGGGAAGAGCAATAGAACTGTCCAGTGCTGTAGCTTAGTAGCTAAGGCTTATTAGTTTCACCTGGGAGAAAGTTCAAAAGCCAGAAATATTGGCCATTGGCCTGGCTAATGTCAGGTAATAAGAGATTAAAAAAATTTTTCTTTAAAGAGCACTATGGTTAAAAGTCAGCTTAATTAAAATCAGATAGATCCCTCTCAAAATCTAAGCCTCTGTTCTGTTTTGCATTATGTTATCTGATGGTTTTGACTTTTGGGGGTATCACATTATGAGAGAAACTTGGTGTGTAGTAACTAGGTAGAAAATGTACTTTTGAAAACAGCTAATGGCAGTTATGAAAAAATACATGGCTCTTTGCATGTTTGGATTAGAGAAGCATGCTCTTGACCACCTAGAAGTTATGGAAATTTCCCCACCCCCACCTGAGAGATAAGACTCCCATGGGGAATGGGCTGATTCCCTATTTTTTAAGATCCAGTATCTAGTATAAAAATGAGATCCTTAATTTTGGGGGATTTCTTTTGCCTTCCAGCTGTGCCTGCTTATTAGGCCCTAGTAACTGCATACTTTAAAGAGAAACTTTAAAACTGGCAAATGAAAACCCTTACAACTACTGGATCTTCTTTTATCTGTGTATTTATACGTGTTGTGTGTGATGTTTATATATGAAAGAGCTTTAATTGGTTTACAATAATAAAAGGTTAAATCAAATATTTTGTCAAAAAAGTAAAGTGTAATGCCTTTTAGTTCATGTGACTTAGGTAATCTTTGGGAAATAAAAACAGTTTTATAAAAGGTGTGTAAGAAAAGTGAAATGTATTTTTGGTAAAATATCATAAGAAGTTAAAGAAATGTAAATTTTTTTTGCTAAGTTTAGAGGGTTAAAACATTGTTTTAAGTTAGATAGGATAAAGCTGAAGGCTTAAGCAAGTTGTGGAAGATTTGTGAAAAATCAACCTTGTAAAAAATTCTACGTGTGTAGGCTAAAAATAAAGGATGGAGGAATGTTTACCAAGCAAATGCAAAGAAAAAAAAAACAGGTATTGAAATCCTAGTCCCTGATAAAACAGACTTTAAACCAACAAAGATCAAAAAAGACAAAGAAGGGCATTACAATAGGTAAAGGGATCAATGCAACAAGAAGAGCTAACTATCCTAAATATATATGCACCCAATACAGGAGCAACGAGATTCATAAAGCAGGTTCTTAGAGACCTAGAAAGAGACTTAGACTCCCACACAATAATAATGGGAGACTTTAACACCCCACTGTCAATATTAGACAGATCAATGAGACAGAAAATTAACAAGGATATTCAGAACTTGAACACAGCTCTAGACCAAGCAGAACTAATAGACATTTAAAGAACTCTCCACCCCAAATCAAGAGAATATACGTTCTTCTCAGCACCACATCACACTTATGCTAAAATTGACCACATAATTGGAAGTAAAACACTACTCAGCAAATGCAAAAGAACAGAAATCATAACAGTCTCTCAGACCACAGTGCAATCAAATTAAAACTCAGGATGAAGAAACTCACTCAAAACCACGTAACTACTTGGAAACTGAACAACCTGCTCCTGAATGACTACTGGGTAAATAACGAAATTAATGTAGAAATAAGTAAGTTCTTTGAAACCAATGACAACAAAGACACAACATACCAGAATCTCTGGGACACAGCTAAAGCAGTGTTTGGAGGGAAATTTATAGCACTAAATGCCCACAGAAGAAAGCGGGAAAGATGTAAAATTGACAGTCTAACATCATAATCAAAATGACTAGAAAAGCAACAGCAAACAAATTAAAAAGTTGGCAGAAGACAAGAAATAACTAAGAACAGAGAAGAACTGGAGGAGACAGAAACACAAAAAACCCTTCAAAAAGTCAATGAATCCAGGAGCTGTTTTTTTCAAAAGATTAACAAAATAGTTAGACTGCTAGCCAGAACAATAAAGAAGAGTGAAAAATAAAATACACACAATAAAAAATAAAGTGGATATCACCACTGATCCTACAGAAACACAAACTACCATCACAGAATAGTATAAACACCTCCACGCAAATAAACTAGAAAATATCAAAGAAATGGATAAACTCCTCAACACATAAACCCTCCCAAGTCTAAACCAGGAAGGAGTCGAATCCCTGAATAGACCAATAACAGGTTCTGAAATTGAGGCAGTAATTAATAGCCTACAAACAAAAAAGCCCAGGGCCAGACAGATTCACAGCCGAATTCTACAAGAGGTACAAACAGGAGCTGGTACCATGCCTTCTGAAACTATTCCAAACAATAGAAAAAGAGGGACTCCTCCCTAACTCATTCTATAAGGCCAGCATCATCCTGATACCAAAACCTGGCAGAGATACAACAAAAAAAGAAAATTTCAGGCCAATATCCCTGATGAACATCAATGTGAAAATCCTCAATAAAATACTGGCAAACCAAATCCAGCAGCAAATCAAAAAGCTTATCCACCATGATCAAGTCTGTTTCATCCCTGGGGTGCAAGGCTGGTTCAGCATATGCAAATCAAAAAATGTAATCCATCACATCAACAGAACCAATGACAAAAACTACATGATTATTTCAATAGATGCAGAAAAAGCCTTTGACAAAATTCAACAGCCCTTCATGCTAAAAACTCTCAATAAACTAGATATTTATGGAATGTATCTCAAAATAACAAGAGCTATTCATAACAAACCCACAGTCAATATCATACTGAATGGGCAAAAGCTGGAAGCATTCCCTTTGAAAACCAGCACAAGACAAGGATGCCCTCTCTCACAACTCCTATTCACCATAATATTTGAAGTTCTGGCCAGGGCAATCAGGCAAGACAAAGAAATAAAGGGTATTCAAATAGGAAGAGAGGAAGTCAAATTGCCTCTGTTTGCAGATGACATGATTGTATATTTAGAAACCCCATTGTCTCAGCCCCAAATCTCCTTCAGCTGATAAGCAACTTCAGGAAAGTCTCAGCATACAAATCAATGTGCAAAAATCACAAGCATTCCTATAAACCAATAATAGACAAACAGAGAGCCAAATCATGAGCGAACTCCCATTCACAAATGCTACAAAGAAAATAAAATACCTACAAATACAACTTACAAAGGATGTGAAGGACCTCTTCAAGGAGAACTATAAAGCACTGCTCAAGGAAAAGAGAGGACACCAAAAAATGGAAAAACATTCCCTGCTCATGGATAGGAAGAATCAATATTGTGAAAATGGCTATACTGCCCAAAGTAATTCACAGATTGAATGATATCCCTATCAATCTACCATTGACTTTCCTCATAAAATCAGAGAAAACTACTTTAAATTTCATATGGAACCAAAAAAGAGCCTGTATAGCCAAGACAATCCTAAGCAAAAAGAACAAAGCTGGAGGCATCACTCTACCTGACTTCAAACTATACTGCAAGGCTACAGTAACCAAAACAGCATGGTACTGGTACAAAAACAGATATATAGTCCAATGGAACAGAACAGAGGCCTCAGAAATAATGCCACACATCTACAACCATCTGATCTTTGACAAACCTGAAAAAATAAGCAATGGGGAAAGGATTCCCTATTTAATAAATGGTGTTGTGAAAACTTGCTAGTCATATGCAGAAAACTGAAACTGGACCCCTTACATACACCTTATGCAAAAATTAACTCAAGATGGATTAAAGGCTTAAAAGTAAAACCCAAAACCATAAAAACTCTAGAAGAAAACCTAGGCAATACCATTCAGGACATAGGCATGGGCAAAGACTTCATGACTAAAACACCAAAACCAATTTCAACAAAAGCCAAAATTGACAAATGGGGTATAATTAAACTAAAGAACTTCTGCACAGCAAAAGAAACTATCATCAGAGTGAACAGGCAACTTACAGAATGGGAGAAAAATTTAGCATCTATCCATCTGAGAAAGAGCTAATATCCAGCATCTACAAGGAACTTAAACAAATTTACAAGATAAAAACAACCCCACCAAAAAGTGGGCAAAGGATATGAATAGACACTTCTTAAAAGAAGGCATTCATGCAGCCAAAAAACATGTAAAAAAGCTCATCATCACTGGTCATTAGAGAAATGCAAGTCAAAACCACAATGAGATACCATCTCATGCTAGTTAGAATGGTGATCATTAAAAAGTCAGGAAACAACAGATGCTGAAGAGGATGTGGAGAAATAGGAACGCTTTTACACTGTTGGTGGGAGTGTAAATTAGTTCAACCATTGTGGAAGACAGTGTGGTGATTCCTCAAGCATCTAGAGCCAGAAAAACCATTTGACCCAGCAATCCCATTACTGGGTATACACCCAAAGAATTATAAATCATTCTACTCTAAAGACACATGCACGTGTATGTTTATTGCAGCACTGTTCACAATAGCAAAGACTTGGAACCCACCCAAATGCCCATCAGTGATAGACTGGATAAGGAAAATGTGACACATACACACCATGGAATACTATGCAGCCATAAAAACGGATGAGCTCATCCTTTGTAGGGACATGGATGAAACTGGAAACCATCATTCTCAGCAAACTAACACAGGAACAGAAAGCCAAACACCGCATGTTCTCACTCATTAGTGGGACCTGAACAATGAGAACACATGGACACAGGGAGGGGAACATCACACACCAGGGCCTTTTGGGGGGTGGGGGAAAAGGGGAGGGATAGCATTAGGAGAAATATCTAATGTAGATTACAGGTCGATGGGTGTAGCAAACCACCATGGCACATGTATACCTATGTAACAAACCTGCACGATCTGCACATATATCCCAGAACTTAAGTATAATAATTTTAAAGAAAAAAAGTGGGAAGGATAAAGTTAAAATGTAGAGTTTTTATTAGTTTTCTCTTTGCTTGCTTGTTTTTATATAATTGTTAACTTGTCATCAGTTTAAAATAATATATTATGTTATTTGCAAGCCTTATGGTAACCTCAAATCAAAAATTAAACATACAACATATAACAAAAAGAAGCTAGACATTAAAGAACAGCAGTAGGGAAAATCACTTTCACCAAAAGGAAGACAGGAAGGAAAGAAGGAGGGAAGAGAAGACAATAAAACACCAGTAAACAAGAAAATGAAAGGAGTAAATCATTACTGATCAATAACACTGAATATAAGTGGATTAAACTCTCCAGTGAAAAGAAATAGAGTGGCTGGGGAGAGGAAAGAAAAACGGCAGATAGGAGGCAGGACTAAATTGCGGCTCCCACTCAGAAGGACAGAGCAGTGTGTAGAGATTCACATTGTGAACTCTTGCTCCAAGGACTACTGCATGAATATACAAAGAAAGCTAAGAGAATCCATAGACCCTTTGAAGGAAGTAGATTGCTCCTGCATACCCCGGGAGACAGCCCAAAACCTGTGCGTCCCCAAAGTGTAAAAGTGTGAAAGGTGGATCATCTTACCCCTGAACACACACCCTCACTGGGGAACCTAAGGTCCAGATCATGGGAGAAAGATTTGACCCTACCTGGAACTGAGACGGTTTTAGAGAGCCGAGCAAAATGCAGGGGTAGAAGAAGCAGCAGGAAGTGCCCTGTGGGCTCTCTTGGCCCCCAAAGAAGCCATTTCTGACTTTGTCTTGCAGAGGTCCTTAAGGAGGGCTGCCAGAGGAACTGGGAAAAGACCAGAGGAAGAAGAAAACTTCTAGCTGAACTTTGTAAAAAAGAAAATCGACCTAGTGTGAATTTTCTTGGACAGAAATCAGGGGAGGAGGTGAATCCAGAGTGCAGATATAGCACAGAAGCCACAGCAGGCGGGGAGGAATAAAACCTGAAAGCCCTGCTTGCTTTCGCAGCCAGGAGGCTGGTAGCCTGGGGCAGGTTATCAGCCCTGCTTACCTGCTGCCTGAAAACCAACTTGGTGCTGTTGGGGGTGGGGCATGGTGGAAGTGAGACCAGCCTTTTGGGCTGCATGGGAGCTGGATGAAGCCTGTAATGGCTCTCTTTCCCCCAGTTCCCTGACAACCTGCATGACACAGCAGAGGCAACCATAATCCCCTGGGAACATAACTCCACTGGCCTGAGAACCACACCCCCAGCCCCTACGGCAGCCACAGCAGACCCCACCCAAGGAGAGTCTGAGCTCAGACACACTCAACCGTACCCTCATGTGATAGTCTTTCTCTACCCACTCTGGTAGCAAAAGACAAAGGACATATTATCTTGGGAGTTCTAGGACCCTGTGCATTGCCTGATCATCCCTATACTACTACAGCTGATGCTCTATTGAAAGTGCCACCTCCTGGCAAGCCAAACAGCACAAAACTAGTGCAATAAAACTACAACTAAGGACCCTTGCAGAGTCCATTTCACTCCACTGCCACCTCCATCATAGTAGGTATGGCTATCCATGGCGGAGAGACCTGAAGACAGTTCACGTCACAGAACTATGTGCAGACACCTCCCAGTACCAGCCAGGAGCCTGGTAGCTCCGCTGGGTGGCTAAATCCAAAAAAGAAATAATCACTGCAGTTCAGCTCTAAGGAAGCCACATACCTAGGAAAAGGGGGAGAATACCACAGCAATGAAGCACCCCATGGGACAAAAGAATCTGAACAGCAGCCCTTAAGACGCAGATCTTCCCTCTGACATAGTCTACCCAAATGAGAAAGAACCAGAAAAACAATTCTGGTAGTATGACACAACAAATTTCTTTAACACTCTGATATGGTTTGGCTGTGTCCCCACCCAAATCTCATTTTGAATTGTAGATCCCCTAATTCCCATGTGTTGTGGGAGGTATGTGGTGAGAGATAATTGAATCATGGGGGCAGTTTCCCCCATACTGTTCTCATGGTAGTGAATAAGTCTCATGAGAACTGATGGTTTTATAAGGGGAAATCCATTTTGCTTGGTTCTCATTCTCTCTTGCCACCACCATGTAAGTGCCTTTTGCCTTCTGCCATGATTGTGAGGCCTTCCTAGCCATGTAGAACTGTGAGTCCATTAAACCTCTTTTTCCTTATACATTATCCAGTCTCAGGTATGTCTTTATTCGCAACATGGGAACAGACTAATACAGTAAATTGGTACTGGTAGAGTGGGGTCCTGCTGTAAAGATACCTGAAAATGTAGAATGACTTTGGAACTGGGTAACAGGCAGAGGCTGGAACAGTTTGGAAGGCTCAGAAGAAGACAGAAAAATGTGGGAAAGTTTGGAACTTTGTAACTTGTTGAATGGCTTTGACCAAAATGCTAATAATAATATGGACAATGAAATCCAGGCTGAGGTGGTCTCAAATGAAGATGAGGAACTTGTTGGGAACTGGAGTAAAGGTGACTCTTGCTATGTTTTAGCAAAGAGACTGGCGGCATTTTGCCCCTATCCTAGAGATTTGTGAAACTTTCAACTTGAGGGAGATGATTTAGGGTATCAGGCAGAAAAAAAATTTCTAAGCAGCAAAGCATTCAAGAGGTGACTTGGGTGCTATTAAAATTATTTACTTTTAAAAGGGAAACAGCATAAAAGTTCAGAAAATTTGCAGCCTGATGATGTGATAGAAAAGTAAAACACATTTTCTCAGAAGAAATTCAAACTGGCTGCAGAAATTTGCATAAGTAAAAAGGAGCCAAATGTGAATTGCCAAGACAATGAGGAAAATGTCTCCAGGGCATGTCAGAGACCTTTGTGGAAGCCCCTACCATCACAGGCCCAGAGGCATAGAAAGAAAAAATGGTTTTGTGGGCCAGGCCTAGGGGACCCCTGCTGTGTGCAGCCTAGGGACTTGGTGCTCTCCATCCTAGCCACTCTAGCCATGGCTAAAATGGGCCAAGGTACAGCTTGGGCCATGGTTTCAGAGGAAGCAAGCCCCAAGCCTTGGCAGCTTCCATGTGGTGTTGATCCTGTGCGTGCACAAGAGTCAAGAACTGAGGTTTGGGAACCTCCACCTAGGTTTCAGAGGATGTATGGAAATGCCTGGATGTTCAGGCAGAAGTTTGCTGCAGGGGTGGGGCTCTCATAGAGAACATCTGCTAGGGCAATGTAAGGAAAATGTGGGGTTGAAGCCCCTCACTGGGGCACTGCCTAGTGGAGCTGTGAGAAGAGGGCCATTGTCCTCCAGACACCTGAGTGGTAGATCCACCGACAGCTCTCACCATACACCTGAAAAAGCTGCAGACATTCAACGCCAGCCTGTGAAAGCAACTGGGAGGGAGGCTGTACCATGCAAAGCCACAGGGTAATTAAGATACCTCCAGTGTTGTACATTCCCACTGCAGACTACTGCAATTCCAGCCACAGGAGAGCCCCTAGATGCTTATGGGTCCTAAGGCTAACAAAGGCCTGCCTGGAGATCATGTGAAGGCACTGCTCCATAGAGGGTAGTCACATTGGGTCCCATGCCCCCACAAGTCCTAAGCAGCTACAGTAAGGTGCACACTGAGAGCCCAGCCCCTACTATACTGCCTCCTGCCTGGGGGGAGGGGGGCCAATAACCCTGGAATCTCCAAATTCCTAGAGCTCCATTGATCTTCCCTACCTGCAATACCTCTGTGACTGTCTGTCCCAACCAGGGCTGACCCCTGAATCATTGGTAACAACCCCACTGCCCTCAGCAGCAAACCCACCACGTAGCTGCCTCTACTGTGAGCTGCCACCACCAGGGCCAAAGCACAAGCAAAACACATGCCCCCTAGCCACCTGCATATAGCCACTGACACTAAAAGCAACCCCACCTGACCCAGGAACAAGGCTGTGGTACAATCACTGTTGCCCCCAGCCAAACATTCCACCAGGAGCCTGGAGATGACCCTGCCGCTGTGTACCAAACCAAGCACTTGCACACACTACCAGAGGGCCTGAGGACACATCCATCTGGACCAGCTCCACCAACCCCACCCCCCAAGTGCCCAAGCACATTTTCCAGCAGCCTAGAGACCGCCAACCCCACAATACCATCATTGACACCTGAGAACTCCTCCTAGGAGGCTATGGTCAGGCCTACTCAACCACTAGTACCACAGCTGACATCCAATCACAAGCACCATTTGAAGGCCTGGGGACTTGTCTGCTCAGCCCAGTGCAGGCACTGCCAACACCAGTGTGGACATTTTAGGAGCCAGAGGGTTGTCCTGCCACTCCTACTGCCATTGTCTTTGCCACGTCCACTACCCCCCAAGATCCTGTCCACCCAACCGGCCCACCACTGTAACTACCAGCACTGAAGCACCCTGACTGGAGACCAAGAATTGGTTTGACTGGACCTGCTAACACTTGTGCCAGCATATGCTGTCTGGGGACCCGCTGCTGTCACCACTGGGGCAAAAAAAGGCTTACATAGTGTTGTCATCCCCAGCAAAACTTCACCACAAGCTCCACTAACAACCACACCCTAAGCCACCAAAGGAATCAAAGACACCACTGATGCTTTTACAACTGAAAATACCATGAAGACTAGACTATACATCAAGAATTAAAGCCAAAGTGCTCTACCCAACCAACACCATAAAAACATTTTCTTAAAAAAGTCCTCCCCTAAAAAGCAAATTTGAAAATTTGGAAGAAGCAACTGTTATATCAGATGCATACATACCAACATAAGGACACACACAAAAAAACATCAAAAAGCAAGGAAGTTTGACATCTCCAAAGAACACAATAATTCTCCAGGAACAGGCTCCAATCAGAAAGAAATTTATAAAAACTTGGAAAAAGAATTTAAAACAGTGATATAAAAAAAAGCGCAGTGACATACACAGAGTAGAGTAAAACAATACAAAGAATCAGAAAAACAATTGGGTATCCGAATAAGAAATTTATTGAAGAGATAGATACCATAAAAAAGATTTAAACAGAAGTTCTAGAAATAAAGAATTTATTACATAAAATAGAAAATGTAGTCAAAATCTTTAACAGAAAAGTTCAAGCAGAAGAAATAATTTCAGAACATAAAGACAGGTCTTTTGAAATAACCTAGTCAGACAAAAATAAGAAAAAAAGAGTAAGAAAAAAATGAACAAAGCCCACATGACATGGGACAGCATAAGGTTACTAAATGTTTGAATTTTTGGTGTCTAAGAAGGTGAAGAGAAAATGAAAGGGATAGGAAACCTACTTAATTAATAGCTGAAAACATCCTAAGTTTCCTAGCAAGAGATTTAGACATCCTGATACAGGAAGATCAGAGATCTCCAAATAGATACCATTCAAAGAAGTCCCCTCCAAAACACATTATAGCCAAACTGTCAGAAGTCAAAGACAAAGAGAGAATTCTAGAAACAGCAAGAGAAAAGTGTCTTGTCACTTATAAAGGAAACTTACAGACTAACTAGATTTCTCAGCAGAAACCTTACAGGCCAGAAGAGAATGGAATGATATATTCAAACTGCTGAAATAAAAAAAAATAATGCCAGCCAAGGATACTATACCCAGAAAAGTCATCCTTCAAACATGAAGAAGAAATAAAAGTCTTTTCCAGATAAGCAAAAGCTGAGGTAATTCATCACTACTAGACCCATCCAACAAAAACTGCTTAAGGGAGTCCTACACCTGGAAGCAAAAGCACACTACCTGCCCTCATGAAAACACATGAAAGTATAACATCTACCAGTAAAGCAAATACAAATAAGAAAGAAAAGACTCAAATATTAACAATATAGAAAACCAGCAAAGCACAACAGATGGATGGATGGATAAAAAAGGAAGGAAAGAAGGAAGGAGGGAAGGAAGGAAGGAAGGGAGCAAGGAAGGGAGGGAGGGAGAGAGGGAGGGAAGGTATATAAAACAACCAGAAATCCAATGATAAAATGAGGGGAATAAGCTCTCATCTACCAATAGTAACACAGAACAAATAAAACTTTCCATTTAAAAGAAACAGACTGGCTGAATGAATAAAAAATTATGAATCAACTGTCCCAGTCAATTTGTGTTGCTATAAAAAATACTGGAAACCAGGTAATTTATAAAGAAAATAGGTTTATTTGGCTCAAAGTTCTGCAGGCTCTACAAAAATGCTGGCTGTAGTATCTGCTCTTGGTGAGGGCTTCTGGTTGCTTCCACTTGTGGTGGAAGGGGAAGATAAGCCAGCATGTGCACAAATCATATGATAAGAGAGGAAGCAAGAAAGAGTGGAAAGGGAGGTACCAGGATCTTTTCAATAACCAGCAAAACCAACAGAATGAGAACTCACTCATTACCATGAAGATGTCACCAAGCCATTCAGGGGGGATCCCTCCCCATAACCCAAACAACTCCCATTAGGCCCCATCTTTAACAATGGGGATCAAATTTCAACATGAGATTTGGAGGAAACAAAGAAATCAAATTATAGAACCAACTATATGCTGACTAAAGAAACTCATCTTACCTGTAAAGACATATGTGGACTGAAAGAATAGGTATGGATAAAGATACTCCATGCAAACAAAAACTATACATACATACATACATCAGATAAAACAAACTTTAAGAAAAAACAGTAAAATGAGACAGAAAGTTCACTATGTAATGATAAAGTGATCAGTTTAGCCTAAGGATATAAAAATTCTAAACATATATGCACCTAACAAGCTTGAGCACCCAGATACATAAAACAAGTATTACTAGTTATAAAGGAAGAAATAAACTCCAATACAATAACAGTTGGGGACCTCAGCACCTCACTCTCAGCATTAGATAGATCATCTATCCACACAGAAAAGTAACAAAGAAACATAATACTTAAACTACATATTAGACCAAATGGATCTAAAAAACATTTATGGAAAATTTCATTCAACAGCTACAGAATCCACGTTCTTCTAATCAGCACATGGAACATTCTCTAGGATAAACCATATGTTGGCACATAAAACAAGTATCAACAAATTTTAAAAACTCAAAATTCTATCACTGATCTTTTCAGGTCACGATGGAACAAAACTAGATATCAATAACAAGAGGAATGTAGGAAACTCTGCAAATACATGGAAATTAAACCACATGTTCCTGAATGACCATGGGGTTAACAAGAAATTAGGGATGAAATAAAAACATTGCTTGAAACAAATGAAAACTGAAACACAACATACCAAAACCTATGGGATACAACAAAAGCAACACTAAATGAAAGTTGATAGCATTAAATGCCTACAACAACAACAAAAAATAGAAAGCTCACAAAATAACAACCTAACACTGCATCTCAAGGAACTAGAAAACAGAAAATAAACCAAACACAAAATTAATAGATGAAAAAAAATGAAGATCAGAGCAGAACTAAATGTAACAGCGATTCAACAATACAAGAGATCTATTAAACAAAAAGCTGGTTTTCTACTGGCTAGCCATATGTAGAAAGCTGAAACTGGATCCCTTCCATACAACTTATACAAAAATTAATTCAAGATGGATTAAAGACTTAAATGTTAGACCTAAAACCATAAAAACCCTAGAAGAAAACTTAGGCAATACCATTCAGGACATAGGCATGGGCAAGGACTTCATGTCTAAAACACCAAAAGCAATGGCAACAAAAGACAAAATTGACAAATGGGATCTAATTAAACTAAAGAGCTTCTGCACAGCAAAAGAAACTACCATCAGAGTGAACAGGCAACCTACAGAATGGGAGAAAATTTTTGCAATCTACTCATCTGACAAAGGGCTAATATCCAGAATCTACAATGAACTCAAACAAATTTACAAGAAAAAAACAAACAACCTCATCAAAAAGTGGGCAAAGGACATGAACAGACACTTCTCAAAAGAAGACATTTATGCAGCCAAAAAACACATGAAAAAATGCTCATCATCACTGGCCATCAGAGAAATGCAAATCAAAACCACAATGAGATACCATCTCACACAAGTTAGAATGGCAATCATTAAAAAGTCAGGAAACAACAGGTGCTGGAGAGGATGTGGAGAAATAGGAACACTTTTACATTGTTGGTGGGACTGTAAACTAGTTCAACCATTGTGGAAGTCAGTGTGGCGATTCCTCAGGGATCTAGAACTAGAAATACCATTTGACCCAGCCATCCCATTATTGGGTATATACCTAAAGGATTATATAACATGCTGCTATAAAGACACATGCACACGTATGTTTATTGCGGCACTATTCACAATAGCAAAGACTTGGAACCAACCCAAATGTCCAACAACGATAGACCAGATTAAGAACATGTGGCACATATACACTATGGAATACTATGCAGCCATAAAAAATGATGAGTTCATGTCCTTTGTAGGGACATGGATGAAGCTGGAAACCATCATTCTCAGCAAACTATCACAAGGACAAAAAACCAAACACCGCATGTTCTCACTCATGGGTGGGAACTGAACAATGAGAACACATGGACATAGGAAGGGGAACATCACACACTGGAGCCTGTTGTGGGGTGTGGGAGAGGGGAGGGATAGCATTAGGAGATATACCTAATGTTAAATGACGAGTTAATGGGTGCAGCACACCAACATGGCACATGTGTACATATGTAACTAACCGGCACGTTGTGCACATGTACCCTAAAACTTAAAGTATAATAATAATAAAAAAAGCTGGTTTTCTAAAAAGAGAAACAAAATCAATAAACTGCTAGTTAGACTAACCAAGAAAAAAAGAGAAAAAAAAAACAAAATCAGAAATGAAAGCAGAGACATTACAATTGATAACAAAGAAATACAAATCATCCGACACTATTATGAACAACCAAACACTAAAAAACTAGAAAACCTAGAGCAAATGGATATTCCAGGACACTATAACCTACCAGCATCAAATCAACAAGAAACAGAAAACCTGAACAGACCAATATCAAATAATGAGATTGAAGCAGTAATTTAAAAAAGTGTCCCAACAAAGAAAACTCCAGGAATGGATTGCTTCACAGGTGAATTCTACCAAACTATCAAATAAAAACTAACACCAATTCATCACAAACTATTCAAAAAATTGAAGAGAAGGGAATTCTTCCTAACTCATTCTAATAGGCCAGCATTACACTGATATCAAAACCAGACAAGGACACAACATAAAAACAAATTGGGAAGGGGCCAAGATGGCCAAACGGGAACAGCTGCAGTCTGTAGCTCCCACCGAGACCAACACAGAAGGCAAGTGATTTCTGCATTTCCAACTGAGGTACCCAGTTCATCTTGTTAGGAATGGTTAGTCAGTGGGTGCAACCCACGGAGAGCGAGCAGAAGCACGGTGGGGCATCACTTCACCCGGAAAATGCATGGAGCCGGGGAACCTCCCTCTCCCAGCCAAGGGAAGCAGTGAGGGACTGTGCTACCCATGCCGAGTACTCTGCTTTTCCCATGGATAAAGATACTCCAAGCAAACAAAAACTGCTATTAAAAAATGAAATGCATTTGCAGCAACGTGGATGGAAATGGAGGCCATTTTGTTACATTAAATAAGCTAGGCATGGAATAACAAACAGTGCAGGTTCTCACTCATGTGGGAGCTAAAAACATTGATTTCATAGAGGTAGAGAGTAGAATGATACTTCCAGAGGCTTGGAAGGGTGTGTGATTGGGGGAAAATAAAGAGATGTTGTTTAATAGGTATAAACATGCAGTTAAAAGGAGTAAGTTTGAATGTTTGATAGCACTGGGTATGAATGTTTTCATACCCAGTGGCACCTGGAATGCCAGCGAGACATGTAGTTAAAAGGAATAAGTTTGAATGTTTGTTACAACTAAGGTGACTATAGTTAATTACAATGTATTATATACTTCAAAATAGCTAGAAGAGAGAACTTGAAATGTCCAACACATAGAAATAATAAATATTCAAGGTGATGGACACCCCAAATACCTTGACTCATTCCACAGTCTATGTATGTTACAAAATATTATATGTACTCCATAAATATGTAGAAATACTAAGTATCAATTAGAGAAAACAAGGCTGAGGTAGGAGGATGGCCTGAGGCCAAGAGTTCAAGGCCAACCTGGACAACACAGAGAGACCCCATCTCTATAAGTATTTTAAAAGAAAACATTAGCCAGGTGTGATGGTGTGTCACTGTAGATGCCGCTACTCGGGAGGCTGAGGTGGGAGGACTGCTTGAGCCCAGGAGTGTGAGGCTGAAGTGAGCTATGATTGCACCACTGCACTCTAGTATAGGCAAGAGAGCAAGAAATGGTCTAAAACAAAACAAAACAAAAGACACCAAACAAATTAGGAATGGAAAGAAACTTACTCAACATGATAAAGGCCATACATGAAAAATACACAGCTAATCTAATATCATAATAAATAGTAAAAGACTAAAAGGTTTTTGTTTCAGAGGGGAACATGGTAACAATGCACACTTTCACCGCTTCTATTCAATTTAGCACTGGAAATTCTCACCAGGACAATTAGGCAAGAAAAAATTAATAAAAAGCATCTAAACTTTTTTTTTTTTTTTTAGAGATGGTGTCTCACTCTGTCACCCAGGCTGGAGTAGAGTGGTGCAATCTCGGCTGACTGCAACCTCCACCTCTTGGGTTCAAGTGATTCTCCTGCCTCAGCTTCCCAAGTAGCTGGGAATACAGGAGTGTGCCACCACACCCAGCTAATTTTTGTATTTTATAGTAGAGATGGGGTTTCACTATAAGTTGGCCAGGCTGGTCTTGAACTCCTGAACTCAGGTGATCCACCCACCTCTGCCTCCCAAAGTGCTGGGATTACAGGCATGACCCACTGCGTCCTGCCAAAAACGCACCTAAATTTTAAAGGAAAAAGTAAAAATATCTCTGTTCACAGATGACATAAACTTATAGGTAGAAATCCCTAAAGAATCCACAAAAATATATTAAATCTCACAAAAATGAGCAATGTCACAGGATACAAACTGAATACACAAAAATCAGTTTGTTTCTGTGCAATAATAAACACGCTGATGAAAATGAAAAAAAATTCAATTTACAATAGCATCAAAATGAATAAAATACTTAGGATTAAATCTAACCAAGGAGGCAAAACACTGATACATAGAAAACCACAAAATACTGCCAAAAGAAATTTCAGGAGACTTATTTAAGACAGTCTGCTCTTATGGATTGGAAGACTTCATATTGTTAAGATGACAATACTACCCCCGAAAAATGTACCGATTGAATGTAATCCCTATCAGAATCTCAATGACTTTTTCATAGAAATAAAAAAAATCCTAAAATTCACAGGAAAACTCAAGATACCCCTATTAGCCAAGCAATCTTAAAAATGAGAAAAAAAATGTTGGAAGACTCACATCTTCTGATTTAATAATTTACTACAAAGCTCAAGTGATCAAAAAAGTGTGGTACTGGCATAAAGACAGACATATAAACAAATGAAATAGAACACCGAGCCTAGAAGTAAAGTCTCAAATACGTGGTCAACTATATTCAACAAGAGTATCAAACATTTGAAGGAGAAAGTATGTCTTCTCAACAAATGCTACAGGGAAACCTGGATATCCCCATGCAAAAGAGTGAAGTAGGATGCTGACCTCACATAGATAAAAATTAACTCAAGTGTATCAAAGCACTAAATGTAAGAGCTACAACTATAAAACACTCAGAAGAAAACAAGAAGAAATCGTCATGACACTGGATTTTGCTATGATTTCTAAGATATGATGTCTTAAGGAGTAGCTGGCAAGATGGCTGAATAGAAACAGCTCTGGTCTGCAGCTCCCAGCGAGATCAGTGCAGGAGGCAGGTGATCTCTGCACTTCCAACTAAAGTACCCGGCTCATCTCACTGGACTGGTTAGACAGTGGGTGCAGCCCACAGAGGGCGAGCAGAAGCAGGGTGGGGTGTCGCCTCACCTGGGAAGCACAAGGGGTCAGGGAACTCCCTCCCCGAGCCAAGGAAAGCCATGAGGGACTGTGCCGTGAGTGAGGAACAATGCATTCCGGCCCAGTTACTACACTTTTCCCACAGACTTCACAACCCACAGACAAGAAGATTCCCTTGGGTGCCGACACCACCATGGCCCTGGGTTTCAAGCCAAAAACTAGGTGGCCATTTGGACAGACATTGAGCTAGTTGCAGAAGTGTTTTTTTTTCATACCCCAGTGGCTCCTGGAATGTCAGCGAGATAGAAATGTTCACTCCCCTGGAAAGGGGGCTGAAGCCAGGGAGCCAAGTGGTCTAGCTCAGTGGATCCCACCCCCAAGGAGCCCAGGAAGCTAAGATCCACTGGCTTGAAATTCTCAATGCCAGCACAGCAGTCTGAAGTCAACCTGGGATGTCTGAGCTTGGTGGGGGAAGGGGCATCCACCATTACTGAGGCTTGAGTAGACAGTTTTACCCTCACAGCGTAAACAAACCTGCCAGGAAATTTGAACTCGGCAAAGCCCACCACAGCTTGGCAAAGCCGCTGTAGCCAAATTACCTCTCTAGATTCGTCCTCTCTGGGCAGGCCATCTCTGAAAGAAAGGCAGCAGCTCCAGTCAAAGACTTATAGATAAAACTCATATCTCCCTGGAACAGAGCACCTGGGGGAACGGGCGGCTGTGGGCGCAGCTTCAGCAGACTTAAACGTTCCTGCCTGCTGGCTCTGAAAAGAGCAATGGATCTCCCAGCATAGTGCTCAAGCTCTGCTAAGGGAAAGACTGCCTCCTCAAGTGGATCCCTGACAACCGTGCCTCCTGACTGAAAGACAACTCCCAGGAGTAGTCAAGAGATACCTCATAGAGGGGAGCTCCAGCTGGCATCTGGCAGGTGCCCCTCTGAGACGAAGCTTACAGAGGAAGGAGCAGGCAGCAATCTTTGCTATTCTGCAGCCTCCGCTGGTGATACCAAAGCAAACAGGGTCTGAAGTGAACCTTCAGCAAACTTCAGCAGTCCTGCAGCAGAGGGCCCTTTTAGAAGGAAAACTAACAAACAGAAAGGAATAGCATCAACATCAACAAAAAGGACGTACACAAAAACCTGTTCCAAAGGTCACCAACATCAAAGACCAAAGGTAGACAAATCCATGAAGATGAGAAAAAACAAGTGCAAAAAGGCTGAAAATTCCCAAAACCAGAATGTCTCTTCTCCCCCAAAAGATCACAACTCCTCACTAGCAAGGGAGCAAAACTGGACGGAGAAGAAGTTTGGCGAAGTGACAGAACTAGGCTTCAGAAGGTGGGTAACAACAAACTCCGCTGAGCTAAAGGAGCATATTCTAACCCAATCAATGAAGCTAAGAGCCTTGAAAAAAAATTAGAGGAATTGCTATCTAGAATAACCAGTTTAGAGAAGAAGATGAATGGGCTGATGGAGTTGAAAAACACACCACGAGAACTTCGTGAAGCATACACAAGTATCAATAGCTGAATCAATCAAGCGGAAGAAAGGATATCAGAGATTGAAGATCAACTCAATGAAATAAAGCATGAAGACAAGATTAGAGAAAAAAGAATGAAAAGGAACAAACAAAGCCTCCAAGAAACATGGGACTATGTAAAAAGAGCAAACCTACATTTGATTGGTGATGGGGAAAATGGAATCAAGTTAAAAAAACACCCTTCAGGATATAAGCCAGGAGAACTTACCCAACCTAGCAAGACAAGACAACATTCAAATTCAGGAAATACAGAGAACACCACAAAGATACACCTCGAGAAGAGCAACTCCAAGACACATAATCATCAGATTCACCAAAGCTGAATTGAAGAAAAAAATGTTAAGGGCAGCCAGAGAGAAAAGTCGGGTTACCCACAAAGGGAAGCCCATCAGACTAATAGTAGATCTCTCTGCAGAAACCCTACAAGCCAGAAGAGAGTGGGGGCCAATATTCAACATTCTTAAAGAAAGGAATTTTCAACCCAGAATTTCATGTCCAGCCAAACTAAGCATCATAAGTGAAGGAGAAATAAAATCCTCTACAGACAAGTAAATGCCGAGAGATTCTGTCATCACCAGGCCTGCCTTACAAGAGCTCCTGAAGGAAGCACTAAACATGGAAACGAAAAATCAGTAACAGCTACTGCAAAAACATATCAAATTTTAAAGACCATCGACACTATGAAGAAACTGCATCAACTAACAGGGAAAATAACCAGCTAGCATGATAATGACAGAAGCAAATTCACATATAACAATATTAACCTTAAATGTAAATGGGCTAAATGGCTCAATTAAAAGACACAGACTGGCAAATTAGATAAAGAGTAAGGACCCATCCATGTGCTGTATTCAGAAGACCCATCTCAAGTACACACATAGTCTCAAAATAAAGGGATGCAGAAATATTTACCAAGCAAATAGAAGGCCAAAAAAAGCAGGAGTTGCAATCCTATTCTCTGATAGAACAGACTTTAAACTGACAAAGATCAAAAAAGACAAAGAAGGGCATTACAAATGGTAAAGGGTTCAATGCAACGACAAGAGCTAACCATCCTAAATATATATGCACCCAATACAGGAGCACCCAGATTAATAAAGCAAGTTCTCAGAGACCTATAAAGAGACTCAGACTCCTACACGATAATAGTGGGAGACTTTAACACCCCACTGTCAATATTAGACAAATCAACGAGACAGAAAATTAAGAACGATATTCAAGACTTGAACTCAGCTCTAGATCAAGCAGAACTAATAGACATCTACACAACTCTCCACCCCAAGTCAACAGAATATATATTTTTCTCAGCACCACATCACAATTATTCTAAAATTGACCACATAATTGGAAGTAAAACATTCCTCTGCAAAAGAACAGAAATCAAAACAAACCATCTTTCAGACCACAGTACAATCAAATTAGAACTTAGGATTAACAAACTCACTCAAAACAGCACAACTACATGGAAACTGAACAACCAGCTCCCGAATGACTACTAGGTAAATAACTAAATTAAAGCAGAAATACATAAGTTCTTTGAAACCAATGACAACAAAGACACAACATACCAGAATCTCTGGGACACAACTAAAGCAGTGTTTAGAGGAAAATTTAGAGCACTAAATGCCCACAAGAGAAAGCAGGAAAAATCTAAAATTCATACCCTAAAATCACAATTAAAAGAACTACAGAAACAAGAGCAAACAAATTCAAAAGCTAGCAGAAGGCAAGAAATAATTAAGATCAGAGCAGAACTGGGAGATAGAGACACGAAAAACCCTTCAAAAAAATCAATGAATCCAGGAACTGGTTTTTTGAAAAGATTAACAAAATAGACCGCTAGCCAGACTAATAAAAAAGAAAAGAGAGAAGAGGAAAATAGACACATTAAAAAATGATAAAAGGGATATCACCACTGATCCCACAGAAATACAAACTACCATCAGAGAATACTATAAACACCTCTATGCAAATAAACTAGAAAATCTCGAAGAAATGGATAAATTCCTGGACACATACACCCCCTGCCCCCAAGACTAAACCAGGAAGAAGTCAAATTCCTGAATAGACCAGTAACAGGTTCAGAAATTCAGGCAATAATTAACAGCTTACCAACTGAAAAAAGCCCAGGGCCAGATGGATTCACAGCTGAATTCTACCAGAGGTACAAACAGGAGCTGGTACCATTCCTTCTGAAATTATTCCAAACAACAGAAAAAGAAGGACTCCTCCCTAACTCATTTTATGAGGCCAGCATCATCCTGTTACCAAAACCTGGCAGAGAAACAACAACAAAAAAAGAAAATTTCAGGCCAATATACCTGATGAACATTGATGCGAAAATCCTCAATAAAATACTGGCAAACCGAATCCAGCAGCAAATCAAAAAGCTTATCCACCACCATCAAGTCAGTTTCATCCCTGAGATGCAAAGCTAGTTCAACATACACAAATCAATAAATGTAATCCATCACATAAACAGAATCATTGACCAAACCCACAAGATTATCTCAATAGATGCAGAAAAGGCCTTTGATAAAATTCAACAACCCTTCATGCTAAAAACTCTCCATAAACAAGGTATTAATGGAACATATCTCAAAATAATAAGAGCTATTTATGACAAACCCACAGCAGATATCATACTGAATGGGCAAAAACTGGAAGCATTCCCTTTGAAAACCGGCACAAGACAAGGATGCCCTCTCTCACCACTCCTATTCAACATAGTATTGGAAATTCTGGCCAGGGCAATCAGGCAAGAGAAGAAAATAAAGGGTATTCAAACAGGAAGAGAGGAAGTCAAATAGTCTCTGCTTGCAGACGACACGATTGTATATTTAAAAAACCCCAGCGTCTCAGCCCAAAATCTCCTTAAGCTGATTAGCAACTTCAGCAAGGTCTCAGGATACGAAATCAATGTGCAAAAATCACAAGCATTCCTATATACCAATAATAGACAAACAGCCAAATAATGAGTGAACTCCCATTCACAATTGCTACAAATAGAAAAAATGCCTAGGAATACAACTTACAAGGGAAGTGAAGGATCTCTTCAAGAAGAACTACAAACCACTGCTCAAGAGAGGACAAAAACAAATGGAAAAACATTCCATGCTCATAAATAGGAAGAATCAATATCGTGAAAATGGCCATACTGCCCGAAGTAATTTATAGATTCAATGATATCCCTATCAAGCTACCATTAACATTCTTCACAGAAGTAGAAAAAACTACTTTAAATTTCATATCAAATCAAAAAACAGCCCATATACCCAAGACAATCCTAAGCAAAAACAAAGCTGGAGGCATCACGCTATCTGACTTCGAATTATACTACAAGGCTATAGTAACCAAAACAGCATTGTACTAATACCAAAACAGATATATAGATCAATGGAACAGAACAGAAGCCTTATAAATAAACACCACACATCTACAACCACCTGATCTTTGACAAACCTGCCAGAAACAAGCAATGGGGAAAGGATTCCCTATTTAATAAATGGTGTTGGGAAAACTGGCTAGCCATAAGCAGAAAACTGAAACTGAACCCCTTCCTTACACCTTGTACAAAACTAACTCAAGATGGATTAAAGACTTAAACGGAAGACCTAAAACCATAAAAACCCTAGAAGAAAACCTAGGTGATACCATTCAGGAGATAGGCATGGGCAAAGACTTCATGACTGAAACACCAAAACCAATGGCAACAAAAGCCAAAATAGACAAATGAGATCTAATTAAACTAAAGAGCTTCTGCACAGCAAAAGAAACTATCATCAGAGTGAACAGGCAACCTACAGATTGGGAGAAAATGTTTGCAATCTATCCATCTGAAAAAGGGCTAATCTCCAGAATCTACAAGAAACTTAAACAAATTTACAAGAAAAAAAACAAGCCCCTCAAAAAGTGGGTGAAGGATATGAACTGACACTTTTCAAAAGAAGACATTTATGCAGCCAACAAACATGAAAAAAAGCTCATCATCACTGGTCATTAGAGAAACAGAAACCAGCTTTGGTATCAGAATGATGCTGGCCTCATAAAATGAGTTAGGGAGGATTCCCTCTTTTTCTATTGATTGGAATAGTTTCAGAAGGAATGGTACCAGCTCCTGTTTGTACCTCTGGTAGAATTCAGCTGTGAATCCATCTGGCCCTGGGCTTTTTTCAGTTGGTAAGCTGTTAATTATTGCCTGAATTTCTGAACCTGTTACTGGTCTATTCAGGAATTTGACTTCTTCCTGGTTTAGTCTTGGGGGCAGGGGGTGTATGTGTCCAGGAATTTATCCATTTCTTCGAGATTTTCTAGTTTATTTGCATAGAGGTGTTTATAGTATTCTCTGATGGTAGTTTGTATTTCTGTGGGATCAGTGGTGATATCCCTTTTATCATTTTTTAATGTGTCTATTTTCCTCTTCTCTCTTTTCTTTTTTATTAGTCTGGCTAGCAGTCTATCAATTTTGTTGATCCTTTCAAAAAAACCAGCTCCTGGATTCATTAATTTTTTGAAGGGTTTTTTGTGTCTCTATTTCCTTCAGTTCTGCTCTGATTTTAGTTATTTCTTGCCTTCTGCTAGCTTTTGAATGTGTTTGCTCTTGCTTTTCTAGTTCTTTTAATTGTGATGTTAGGGTGTCAATTTTGGATCTTTCCTGCTTTCTCTTGTGGGCATTTAGTGCTATAAATTTCCCTCCACACACTGCTTTGAATGCGTCCCAGACATTCTGGTATGTTGTGTCTTTGTTCTCGTTGGTTTCAAAGAACATCTTTATTTCTGCCTTCATTTCGTTATGTACCCAGTAGTCATTCGGGAGCAGGTTGTTCAGTTTCCATGTAGTTGAGCGGTTTTGAGTGAGATTCTTAATCCTGAGTTCTAGTTTGATTGCACTGTGGTCTGAGAGATAGTTTGTTATAATCTCTGTCCTTTTACATTTGCTGAGGAGAGCTTTACTTCCAAGTATGTGGTCAATTTTGGAATAGGTGTGGTGTGGTGCTGAAAAAAATGTATATTCTGTTGATTTGGGGTGGAGAGTTCTGTAGATGTCTATTAGGTCTGCTTGGTGCAGAGCTGAGTTCAATTCCTGGGTATCCTTGTTGACTTTCTGTTTCGTTGATCTGTCTAATGTTGACAGTGGGGTGTTAAAGTCTCCCATTATTAATGTGTGGGAGTCTAAGTCTCTTTGTAGGTCACTCAGGACTTGCTTTATGAATCTGGGTGCTCCTGTACTGGGTGCATATATATTTAGGATAGTTAGCTCTTGTTGTTGAATTGATCCCTTTCCCATTATGTAATGGCCTTCTTTGTCTCTTTTGATCTTTGTTGGTTTAAAGTCTGTTTTATCAGAGACTAGGATTGCAACCCCTGCCTTTTTTTTTGTTTTCCATTTGCTTGGTAGATCTTCCTCCATCCCTTTATTTTGAGCCTATGTGTGTCTCTGCACGTGAGATGGGTTTCCTGAATACAGCACACTTTTAGACCAATATCCTTGATGAACATTGATGCAAAAATCCTCAATAAAATACTGGCAAAACGAATCCAGCAGCACATCAAAAAGCTTATCGACCATGATCAAGTGGGCTTCATCCCTGGGATGCAAGGCTGGTTCAATATACGCAAATCAATAAATGTAATCCAGCATATAAACAGAGCCAAATACAAAAACCACATGATTATCTCAATAGATGCAGAAAAAACCTTTGACAAAATTCAACAACCCTTCATGCTAAAAACTCTCAATAAATTAGGTATTGATGGGACATATTTCAAAGTAATAAGAGCTATCTATGACAAACCCACAGCCAATATCATACTGAATGGGCAAAAACTGGAAGCATTCCCTTTGAAAACTGGCACAAGACAGGGATGCCCTCTCTCACCACTCCTATTCAACATAGTGTTGGAAGTTCTGGCCAGGGCAATCAGGCAGGAGAAGGAAATAAAGGGTATTCAATTAGGAAAAGAGGAAGTCAAATTGTCCCTGTTTGCAGATGACATGATTGTATATCTAGAAAACCCCATTGTCTCAGCCCAAAATCTCCTTAAGCTGATAAGCAACTTCAGCAAAGTCTCAGGATACAAAATCAATGTACAAAAATCACAAGCATTCTTATACACCAAAAACAGACAAACAGAGAGCCAAATCATGAGTGAACTCCCATTCACAATTGCTTCAAAGAGAATAAAACACCTAGGAATCCAACTTACAAGGGATGTGAAGGACCTCTTCAAGGAGAACTACAAACCACTGCTCAACGAAATAAAAGAGGATAAAAACAAATGGAAGAACATTCCATGCTCATGGGTAGGAAGAATCAATATCGTGAAAATGGCCATACTGCCCAAGGTAATTTACAGATTCAATGCCATCCCCATCAAGCTACCAATGACTTTCTTCACAGAATTGGAAAAAACTACTTTAAAGTTCATATGGAACCAAAAAAGAGCCCACATTGCCAAGTCACTCCTAAGCCAAAAGAACAAAGCTGGAGGCATCACACTACCTGACTTCTAACTATACTATAAGGCTACAGTAACCAAAACAGCATGGTACTGGTACCAAAACAGAGATATAGATCAATGGAACAGAACAGAGCCCTCAGAAATAACGCCGCATATCTACAACTATCTGATCTTTGACAAACCTGAGAAAAACAAGCAATGGGGAAAGGATTTCCTATTTAATAAATGGTGCTGGGAAAACTGGCTAGCCAGATGTAGAAAGCTGAAACTGGATCCCTTCCTTACACCTTATACAAAAATCAATTCAAGATGGATTAAAGACTTAAACGTTAGACCTAAAACCATAAAAACCCTAGAAGAAAACCTAGGCATTACCATTCAGGACATTGGCATGGGCAAGGACTTCATGTCTAAAACACCAAAAGCAATGGCAACAAAAGACAAAATTGACAAATGGGATCTAATTAAACTAAAGAGCTTCTGCACAGCAAAAGAAACTACCATCAGAGTGAACAGGTAACCTACAAAATGGGAGAAAATTTTTGCAACCTACTCATCTGACAAAGGGCTAATATCCAGAATCTACAATGAACTCAAACAGATTTACAAGAAAAAAACAAACAACGCCATCAAAAGGTGGGCGAAGGACATGAACAGACACTTCTCAAAAGAAGACATTTATGCAGCCAAAAAACACATGAAAAAATGCTCATCATCACTGGCCATCAGAGAAATGCAAATCAAAACCACAATGAGATACCATCTCACACAAGTTAGAATGGCAATCATTAAAAAGTCAGGAAACAACAGGTGCTGGAGAGGATGTGGAGAAATAGGAACACTTTTACACTGTTGGTGGGACTGTAAACTAGTTCAACCATTGTGGAAGTCAGTGTGGCGATTCCTCAGGGATCTAGAACTAGAAATACCATTTGACCCAGCCATCCCATTACTGGGTATATACCCAAAGAACTCTAAATCATGTTGCTATAAAGACACATGCACATGTATGTTTATTGCGGCATTATTCACAATAGCAAATACTTGGGACCAACCCAAATGCCCAACAATGATAGACTGGATTAAGAAAATGTGGCACATATACACCGTGGAATACTATGCAGCCATAAAAAATGATGAGTTCATGTCCTTTGTAGGGACATGGATGAAATTGGAAAGCATCATTCTCAGTAAACTATCGCAAGAACAAAAAGCCAAACACCACATATTCTCACTCATAGGTGGGAACTGAACAATGAGATTACATGGACACAGGAAGGGGAATATCACACTCTGGGGACTGTGGTGGGGTGGGGGGAGGGGGGAGGGATAGCACTGGGAGATATACCTAATGCTAGATGACGAGTTAGTGGGTGCAGCGCACCAGCATGGCACATGTATACATATGTAACTAACCTGCACAATGTGCACATGTACCCTAAAACTTAAAGTATAATAATAAAAAAAAAAAGAGAAATGCAAACCAAAACCAAAATGAGATACCATCTCATGCCAGTTAGAATGGTGATCATTAAAAAGTCAGGAAACAACAGATGCTGGAGAGGATGGAGAGTGTAAATTAGTTAAACCATTGTGGAAGACAGTGTGGCAATTGCCCAAGGATCTAGAACCAGAAATACCATTTGACCCAGCGATCCCATTACTGGGCATATACCCAATGGTTTGCAAATCATTCTCCTATAAAGACACATGCATATGAATGTTTTCTGCAGCACTATTCACAATAGCAAAGACTTGGAACCAACCCAAATGCACATGAATGATACTCTGGATAAAGAAAATGTGGCACATGTACACCATGGAATACTATGCAGCCATAAAAAAGAATGAGTTCATGTTCTTTGCAGGGACATGGATCAAGCTGGAAACCATCATTCTCAGCAAACTAACACAGGAATAGAAAACCAAACACTGCATGTTCTCACTCATAAATGGGAGTTGAACAATGAGAACACATGGACACAGGGAGGGGAACATCACACACCAGGGTCTGTCAGGAGGTGGGGGGCTAGGGGAGGGATAGCATTAGGAGAAATACCTAATGTAGATGACAGGTCGCTGGGTGCACCAATCCACCATGGCATGTGTATACCTAGGTAACAAACCTGCACGTTCTGCACATGTATCCCAAAACTTATAGTGCGTATATATATATATATGTGTGTGTGTGTGTGTATATATATATGTGTGTATATATGTATATATATAATTATGTTATATATATAAAAATATATTTTTTTAAGATATAATGCCTAAGCCCAGGCAAGAAAAGAAAACTAGTTTAATGGGACTTCATAAAAATCAACAATTTTGTGCATCACATGGCACTATTAAGACAGTGAAAAGACAAACCACAGAACGGTAGAAATTATTTGTAAATTATATATTTGATAAGAGATTAACAAGATTATATAAAAACACCCACAACTAAAGAACAAATAAACAACCTAGAGAGAAAATGGACAAAGGATGTAAACAGACATCTCTTCAAAAAAGACATACAAATGTTCAACAAGCAAATGAAAAGACACTAAATATCACTAATCATGAGGGAAATGTATGTCGAAATCACAATGAGACACCATTTTATGCTCACTAGGGTGGCTGTTATAAATGAAATGGAAAATAACACACATTGATGAGGATCTCCATAAATCTGAACTCTTCTGCATTGCTGGTAGGAATGTAAAATGATATAGCTCCCATGGAAAAGATTGTGGTGTACAGAAGCTCTTTAGTTTAGTTACATCCCATTTTTCAATTTTGGCTTTTGTTGCAATTGCTTTTGGTATTTTGGTCATGAAGTCTTTGTCCATGCCTATGTCCTGAATGGTATTGCCTAGGTTTTCTTCTAGGGTTTTATGGTTTTGGATCTTACATTTAAATCTTTTAATACATCTGTAGTTAATTTTTGTATAAGGTGTAAGGAAGGGGTCCAGTTTCAGTTTTCTGCATATGGCTAGCCAGTTTTCTCAACACCATTTATTAAATAGGGTATCCTTTCCCTATTGCTTGTTTTTGGCAAGTTTGTCAAAGATCAGGTGATTGTAGGTGTGTGGTGTTATTTCTGAGGCCTCTGTTCTGTTCCATTGGCCTATATATCTGTTTTGGTACCAGTACCAAACTGCTTTGGTTACTGAAGCCTTGTGGTATAGTTTGAAGTCAGATAGTGTGATGCCTCCAGCTTTGTTCTTTTTCCTTAGTATTGTCTTGGCTACATGGGCTCTTTTTGAGTTCTATATGAAATTTAAAGTAGTTTTTTCTAATTCTGTGAAGAAAGTCAATCATAGCTTGATGGGGATATCATTGAATCTATAAATTACTTTGGGCAGTATGGCTATTTTCACAATATTGATTCTTCTTATCTATGATCATGGAATGTTTTTCCATTTGTTTATGTCCTCTCCCATTTCCTTGAGGAGTGGTTTGTAGCTCTCACTAAAGAGGTCCTTCAGATCCCTTGTAAGTTGTATTCCTAGGTATTTTATTCCCTGTGTAGCAATTGTGAATGGGAGTTCACTCATGATTTGGCTCTCTGTTTGTCTATTATTGGTGTATAGGAATGCTTGTGATTTTTGCACATTGATTTTGTATCCTGAGACTTTGCTGAAGTTGCTTATCAGCTTTAGAAGTTTAACTATCATCAGAGTGAACAGGGAACCTACAGAATGGGAGAAAATTTTTGCAATGTATCAATCGGACAAAGAGCTAATATCCGGAATCTACAAGGAACTTAAACAAATTTGCAAGAAAAAAGCAACCCCATCAAAAAGTGGGCAAAGAATATGAACAGACATTTCTCAAAAGAAGACATTCTTGAAGCCAAGAAACATATGAAAAAAAGCTCGTAATTACTGTTCATTAGAGAAATGCAAATCAAAACCACAATGAGATACCATGTCACTCCAGTTAGAATGGTGATCATTAAAAAGTCAGGAAACAAAAGATGCTGGAGAGGATGTCCAGAAATAGGAACACTTTTACACAGATGTTGGGAGTGTAAATTAGTTCAACCATTGTGGAAGACAATGTGGCGATTCCTCAAGGATCTAGAACTAGAAATACCATTTGACCCAGAAATGACATTACTGGGTATATACCAAAAGAATTATAAATCATTCTACCACAAAGACACATGCACACGTATGTTTATTGCAGCACTAGTCACTATAGCAAAGACTTAAAACCAACCCAAATGTCCATCAATATTAGACTGGATAAAGAAAATGTGGTACATATACACCATGGAATACTATGCAGCCATAAAAAAAGAATGAGTTCATGTCCTTTGCAGAGACATGGGTGAAGCTGGAAGCCATCTTTCTCAGCAAACTAACACAGGAACAGAAAACCAAACACTGCATGTTCTCACTTATAAGTGGGAGTTGAACAATGAGAACATATGGGCACAGGGAGGGGTACAGCACACACCGGGGCCTGTCGGAGGGTGGGGGTAAAGGGGAAGGATAGCATTAGGACAAATACCTAATGTAGATGATGGGTTGATAGGTGCAGCAAACCACCATGGCACGTGTATAGCTATGTAACACACCTATATGTTCTGCACATGTATCCCAGAACTTAAATATAATAAAAAAAGGGAAGATTTTGGTGGTTCCTCAAAAAGCTAAACAATTGCCATATGACCAGCAATTGTACTCCTAGATATATACCCAAAAGAATTGAAATCAAAGACTCAAACAGGCACTTGTATAGTAATGTTTACTACAGCATTATTCCCAATAGCCAAAAGGTGGAAACAACTCAAGTGTCCATCAATAAATAAGTGGATAGACAAAACTATGATATTTACACAAAATAGAATGCTATTAAGCCATAAAAGGTAATGAAATTCTGAAATATGATATGGATTAACAGCGAAGACTTTATGGTATGTGAAATAAGCTGAATCTAAAAGAAAAAATATGGCATTATTTCACTTACATGAGGTATCTAGAACAGGCAAATTTGTAGAGACAGAAAGTAGATTAGAAGTTAGCAGAGTATGAAGAAAGGAAGAATTGAGAAGTTATTACTTAATGGCTATAGAGTTCCTA
The DNA here is from genome assembly GCF_000001405.40 of Homo sapiens. Classification (NCBI taxonomy): domain Eukaryota; kingdom Metazoa; phylum Chordata; class Mammalia; order Primates; family Hominidae; genus Homo; species Homo sapiens. The sequence goes on along the minus strand of NC_000023.11, from coordinate 73,594,722 downwards.
TTTGGGGTAATGAAAAAAAATTGGAAATAGGTATTGGTAATGGTTCCACAACAGTATAAATGTAACTGAGGGCTCCAAGTCGTGTACTTGAAATGCATATGCATTGAAATACAAAAGAGGCACACTACTGAGTAAAATCCTATCTGCTGGCCCTTACATTTAAACTCTATCTACTGGATTGCAACCTGAATTATAGCAGCAAACAAAAATAAATTTCTTCAGCATGCAATGCCTATGAAATCCAATGCAGAAAACTAAGGAACCCATACAGAACCATGACCCTCTGAAAGCACTCAAAAAGAAAGCAGGCGGATCACCTGAGGTGAGGAGTTCAAGACCAGCCTGGGCAACATCGTGAAACCCCATCTCTACACAAATACAAAAATTAGCCGGGCATGATAGCAGGTGCCTGTAATCCCAGCTACTGGAGAGGCTGAGGCAGAAGAATTGCTTGAACCCAGGAGGCAGACATTGCAGTGAGCTGAGATCATGCCTTTGTATTCCAGCGTGGGTGACTGAGCGAGACTCTGCCTCAACAAAACAAAACAAAACAAAACAAAACAAAACAAAACAAAACAAAGGAAAGCACCTGTACACAACATTCACCAGTCAAACCTTCAAGAGGGAAAAAAAACCCCTATAAAATAAAAAAGTCCCATCCAAATAATAGCAATTTCAAAATGAGAAACACAAGAACCCCCAGAGCAGAAAAAAAAATCAATGCAATAACTCCAGCAATTCAAAAAGTCAGTGTGTTTACTTATCTAACAATGATTGCACTATGTCCCCAGAAATGGATCCTAAACAGTTTGAAATGTCTGAAATGACATAGAATTCAGAATCGGATGGCAAAGAAATTCAAAGAGATTCAAGAGAAAGTTGAAGTCCAATCCAAGGAAGCCAGTAAAATGATCCAAAAATTGAAAGATGAAATGACCATATTAAAAAAGCACCAAACTGAACTTCTGGAATTGAAAAATTCACTACAGGAATTTCAACATAAAATTAGAAGCATTAAAAAGATTAGATCAAACTCAAGAAAGAGTTTCAGAGATTGAAGACTGGCCTTTTCAATCAAGCCAGTCAGGCAAAAATAAAGAAAACAGAATTATAAAAAAGGAACAAAGTCTCTGAGAAATAGGGAATTATGTAGATAGACCAAACCTATGACACATTAGGACTCCTGAGACAGAAGGAGACAGAGTAAGCAACATGGAAAACATATTTGAGGATACAGTCCATGAACATTTCCCTAATCTTGGTAGAGGTCGACATGCAAATTCAAGAAATTCAGAGAACCTCTCCATGATACTATACAAGACAATCATCCACAAAACACAAAATCTCTAGGATGCAGCAAAAGCAGCATGAAGAGGAAAGTTTACAGTGCCAAATGCCTACAGTCAAAACTTAGAAGGATCTCAAATTATCAATCTAACATTGCACCTAGAGGAACTAGAAAAACAAAAACAAACTAACAAAGCTAGCAGAAGAAAACAAAAATCAGAGGAGCACTGAAAGGAACTGAGACCCCAAAATCCATACAAAGGGTCAATGAAACCAAAAGTTGGTTTTTTGAAGGGATAAACAAGATCTGTAGATTGATAGCTAAATTAACAAAGAAAATTGAGAGATGATCCAAATAAGCACAATGAGAAATGACAAAGGAGACATTACAACCAATCTCACAGGAATATAAAAGATCCTCAGACATTATTATGAACACCTCTATGCATACTAATTAGAAAATCTACAGGAAATGAATAAATTTCTGCAAACACACAGGCTCTCAAGATTGAATCAGGAAAAAAAAATGGAAACCCTGAACAGAACAATAACACGTTCCAAAATTGAAACAGCAATTAAAAACCTACCAATGAAGAAAAACCCTAAACCAGATGGATTCACAGCTGAATTCGACCAGAAGTACGAAGAAGAGCTAATACCAATCATACTAAAATTATTCCAAAAAATAGAGGAGGAGAGACTCCTCCTTAATTCATCCTATGAAGCCAGCATCATCCTGATACCAAAATATGGCAACGACACAATGAAAAAAAAACTTCAGGCCAATATCCCTGATGAACATAGACACAAAAATCCCCAACAAATACTAGCAATCTGAATCCAGCAGCACATCAAAAAATTAATTCTCCACAATCAAGTAGGCTTTAATCCTAGGATACAAGGTTGGTTCAACATATGCGAATCAATAAATGTGATTCACCACATAAACAGGACAAAAAACAAAGACCATATAATCATGTCAACAGACACAGAAAAAGCCTTTGATAAAACCCAATTTCACTTCATAAAAACCCTTAACAAACTAGCCATCAAAGAAATATATCTCAAAATAGTTAAGAGCCATCTATGGCAAACCCATAGCTAACATCATATAGAACAGGCAAAAGCTGGAACCATTTCCCCAGCCTTTTTGAGAACTGGAACAAGAAAAGGATACTCACTCCCACCACTCCTATTCAACACAGTACTGGAAGTCCTAGACAGAGCAATCAGTCAAGACAAAAAAATAAAAGGCACATAAATAGGTAAAAAAGTGAAACTACCTCTTTTTGCTGTTGGTATTATTTTATACCTAGAAAAACCCAAAAGACTCTGCCAAAAGGCTCCTTGAACTGATTAAAAAAAAAACTTCAGTAAAGTTTCAGAATGCAAAATCACAATGTTTTGTGATTATTGAAAAAATGATTCTAAAGTTTATATGGAAAAGTAAAAGATCCATAATAGTCAACACAGTATTTAAGGAGAACAAAGAGGACTGATACTACTTGACCTCATGACTTACTATAAAGCTACAGTAATCAAGATAGTGTGGAATTGGTGAAAGAACTGATTAGTTATTCAATGGAACAGAATAGACAAGGCAGAAATAGACCTCTGACAAAAAGGCAATTCAAGGAAATTGTTGTCTTTTCAACAGATGGTGCTGGTACAAATGGACATCAACATGCAAGGAAAACTGAATGTATTCACATACCTTACACCTTTCACAAATGCCAAACTCTTAAAATTCCTAGAATATAACATAAAACAAAATCTAGGTGACCTTGGGTTTGGCAATGAATTCTTACATACAACACCAGAAAGCAAGATGCATAAAAGAAAACATTAATAAGGTGAAATTCATTAAAATTAAAATGTTCCACTCTACAAAATATACTATTAAGAGAGTAAAAAGACAAACCACAGGCTGAGAGAAAATATTTGCAAAACACATACTTTGTAGAAAACTGGTATCCAAAGTATACAAATAACTCTTTAACAACTCAACAATAATAACATAAACAACCCAATGAAAAAGTGTGCATAGGCTCCTCAGTCCTCACCCCACTAGAGTCTCCTCCAGAAATTGGTGAGTGAGGGAATTTGGAGGCCACTAAGCCCTCTTTTCCTTCAGGAACCATCCTGTACCCATGTCATTAAAAAAAGGGGGGTCATAGGCCTGATCAGAAACCTCTTCAAAGAAGATACATAGAAGGAAAATAAGCTTGTAAAAAGCTGCTCAATATCGTATGACTATGCAGAATTAGAAATTAAAACAATAGTGAGATATCACTACCTACGTTTTAGAATGGCCAAAATCCACAATACTGACAACACCAAACGTTGATGAAGATGTAGAACAACAGGAAGTCTTATTCATTGCTGGTGGGAATACAAAATGGCACAGCGACTTTGCAAGACAGTTTGGCAGTTTCTTACAAAACTAAACATACTCTTACCACATGATCCAGCAATCATCAAATGAGTTCAAAACTGTCCACTCAAAAACCTGTACTTGAATGTTTATAACAGTCTTATTTATGATTGTGAAACCTTGGAAGTAACCAAGAAACCCTTTAATAGGTGAACAGATAAACTGGCAAATCTCAAAACTGGAATATTATTCAGTGATAAAAAGAAATGAGCTATCAAGCCAGGAAAAGACATGGAGGAACCTTAAATGCATATTGGTAAGTGAAAGAAGCCAATATGAATATATTCTATATAATTTCAACTTATATGACATTCTGGAAAAGGCAAACCTATGGAGACAATAAAAAGTTAGGTGATTGCTCAGGATATGCGGGTGGGATGAAATAGGTGTAGCATAATGGAGTTTTAGGGCAGTGAAACTGCTATTCTGTACGATACTATGATGATGGCTACATATCATTATACACTTGCCAAAATCCATAGGATGTAGAACACAAAGAGTGAAGCCTAATGTAAACCATGGACTTTAGTTAATTATAATATATCAATATTGGCTCATCAATTGTAACAACTGTACCACACTAATGTAAGATCTCAATAGTAGGGGAAATTGGTATTGGATGAGGGGGTTTATGGAATCTGTGCTTTTTGCTCATTTTTTTTTCTGTAAACCTAAAATTGTTTTTAAAAATCTATTAATTAAAAATTGCATATTAAAAAGTGAAGACAAAATAAAGACATTCCTAAATAAAAACTGAGAGTATCTGTGGCCTGCAGACCCAGCTTATGTGAAACACTAAAAGAAGTTCTTCAGGCTGGCATCAAGTGACACCAGATATTAATTTGAAACTGCACACAGAAAAAAAACATTCCAAGAAGCCAAATAAATTCCAAGTAGGATAAACTCAAAGTGAACCATACCAAGATAAAGTATAATTAAACTGTTGAAAGTAAAAAACAAAGAGGGAAATCTTGAAAGCAGTAAGAAAGAAGTGACTTGTTAAGTACAAGAGACTCTCCATAAGATTAACAGTTAATTTCACATCAGAAACCATGAAGGTCAGAGGCAGTGGGATGGCATATAGTATTTAAAGTGCAGAAATTACAAAACAAACAAGCAAACTGTCAACCAAAAATTCTATACTGAGCAAAATTATCCTTCAAAAAAAGAAATGAAGAAATTCCCAGACAACCAAGGGCTGAGGGAGTTCATCACTATTAGGACAGCTTTTCAATAAATTCTAAAAAGAGATCCTTAGGCTGAAATGAAAGGACACTAGACAATAACTTGAGGCATGTGATAAAGAACACTGGTAAAGGTAACTGCACAAATATATTTAAAAGCCAATATTGTATTTTTGGGTTGGAACTCTTTTTCCCGTATGATTAAAAGACAAAATGATAATCATAAATCTGTTAATGGACACACAATATATAACATATAATTTGTGATAACAACAACATAAAAGGGGAGGTATAGATATACATAGCAGTAGAATTTACATACTATTAAAGCTAAGGTGATATTAATTCAAACTAGTGTGTTATAAGTTTAAGATGTTAATTGTAACAACTAAGAAAATAACTTAAAAAGATACAGAAAAGGAAATAAGGTATACAGTACAGTAAAAAACTCAATTAAACATAAAATAAATAAGTAATGAAGGAATTGAGGAACAAAAAACATACGACATGGAAAACAAATAGCAAAATAGTGGAAGTCCTTCCTTATGTGTTATGGGCTGAATTATATTCCCTCAAAATTCATACAATGAAATCACAACTCCCAGTATCTCAGAATGTGAGTAAGCAATGTTTCAAAGAAAACTGAGGGCGGTAAATGCCTACATTAAGAAAGAAGAATGATCTCAAATCAATAACCTAAATTTAGACCTTATGGAACTAAAAAGAGCAAACTAAACCCAAACATAGCAGAAAAAAGGAAAAAATAGAGTGGAGAGAAATGAAATACAGAATAGAACAACAGAAAAAATGAACAAGACCAAAAGTTTTTTCTTTGAAAAGAAATTTGACAAACTTTCAGCTACAAGGATTAAGAAAAAAAAGAAGACTGAGATGACTAGAATCAGAAATGAAAATAGGGACATTACATATCACTCTTACAGTAATTTAGAAAAAAATTAGAAGTGAATACTAAAAATAATTGTAGGCCTACAACCTAGACGAAATGAACAAACTCCTAGAATTGACTCAAGTAGAAATAGAAAATCTGAATAGACCTATAACAAGTAAATATTGAATGTGTAATCAAAAACCTACCAAGAAAAAAAACTCAAGATCAGATAGTGTCACTGTTATGCCCAAAAGAAAGGAAATTCTCCCAAATGTTTAAAAGAAGAATACCAATCCTTCTTAAACTTTTGTAAAATACAGAAAAGAGGGAAACACTTTTTAACTTCCTGAGGGGAAGGAAAATGAGAAATGACTGCTTAATGGATATGAGATTTTCCTTGCAGGTGATAAAAGATTTCTGAAACTAGATAGTGGATGGTTGCATAACACTGTCAATGTAGTTAATGCGACTGAATTTTATCCACTTTAAAGTGGTTAAAAATGCAAATTTTATGTCGTGTATTTTTCCACAAAAAACATTATGTTCAGTTTTAAAAGCCATGAAAGAGTACATATCATATAAAATGTTCAAAAATGCAAACATAAGAGAGAAAGTAGATCAGTGGTTGTATAGGGCTGGGAGGATTGGAGGGAAATTGGGAGTGACAAAAAGTGATCACAAGGTTTACTCTTAGGATGATGGAAATGTTCTAAAATTAGATTATGGTGATAGTTACACAACTCTGTAAGTACAATAATATTCAATGAATTGTTCTCTTAATATGAGTTAACTTTATGTTCTGTAAATTATTTCCCAATAAATTATTTTTTAAACCAGATGGCTGACTCTCAAGCTGACCAGAAAAGTATCAAAGTTAGCTTAATACCAATCACTGTACTTCTGCAGAGCAGATACAATCCTACATTCAATACAATTAGCCAGTAAAGCTAACAAAAAAGGAAGCAAACTTATCAGCTTTTAGTATTAACATGCCATAAACATCATTTTCTTATATATGGCTCAAATGACTCAAGGTTGACACATAAATTAAAAGGTTCAAAGACAGTAAGGAAAAGGCAGTCTATGACCAAGTTATAATACTCTATGCACTCACTTTATGCATGTTGTCTTTGCCCAAGAGCACAAAACGTATTTTATGAAAGGCCTAAATTATACATAGATTACACGTAATTTGCTTAATTCTTGGCAGAACTATTTGTCTCTCATTGCAAAGACTGATTTTCTTTTCCAAATGGCATAATGTATGGATGGGGCATTTGTTTCTATCATATGCTTTTCCTTCTTTTTATAATTAGCTACAAAAACACAGAATCAAACAGGACAGTGAATTATAACCTCTATCTCCTAAAACATCATATTTATGTCATGAGTCAGAAAGTAGTCCTTTCCTCTGACCATCTCTCTCAATTTAATGAGTATCAAAGCAAAAAAGGAAAGGATAAAAGTAATTTCAAATTTTGAGTCATAGCATGACTGGGGCTGAAATTGACTATGATATCACAGTTGGTTCAGTGGTAGATAGAAGAACAAGTAAATGAAAAGCCTCACTTAATGTATCATGTAGCTGCGAAATCGCACCAGAGTCAAGAGAGATTAGGGGGAACTCAAGGCACTCTGACCTATATTTCTTTATCACCTAATTTGCTAGAGAAAATTCTCATGAATTATACTGCCAAAAAATTATAAGGCAGACTATCTACATAAAAATTCTTTTGCTGGAAATATTTTCAATAATTGGCTAATATAGCATCTTCATTATTATTTCCATTTTATTTTGTGAGCAAACAGAGATATGACTTCCATAAAGCTAGATACCCAATTAGAGATGGCTAGAGCAAGGTGTCAAACAACAGCCCATAGGCCAGATCTGGCTTGCTGCCTGTTTTTGTAAATAAAGTTTTATGAGAACACAGTAATGCTCACTCATTTACATATGCTTATGGCTGTTTACATGTGACAATGCCACAGTTGAGCGGTTGCAACAGAGACCTCTGGCTCACAAAGGCTAAAATATTTACTATTTGGTTCTTTAAGAAAAAGTTTTCTATCCACTGCTAAAGAATTAAAATTCAGTGGGCTGTTTATTATACAACTTACGCAAACATTTCTGGTCTCAGGACTAGTCAATTTGATGTAAGAAACATGATGTAGTCAAGAGGATGCAGTATTAAAGACAAAAACAAAAACAAAATAAAGCAAGGATTATTTTTGTGGCTGTGCTATTTGCCATGTGATTCTGAGAAAGTCACTTCACCCTCTGGATTTATGTCCACACCTGTAAAATAAGGGATTTGAACTATATGAATGTGAATCATACTTCCAATTAAACTATTATAGTCTATTCAACTTATTTTACATATTAGAAAATCAGTAGTGAATGTATAAAAATTCTTAATTATATTTTATATTTCTTCATGTAGACAAAAATCTTTGAGTTGCTTTAAATTTCATCATAAAACCATGTTAAAAGTAACTAGTAGTGTCCTGATTTTATAGGTGAGAAAACTTGAGGCTACAGAAAGAACAGTGACTTGCACAAGGTTACCAGCATGTTCTTAATGTTTTGCTGTCTAGTATAGTGTTGACAACATGGCACATACAAAATCAGAGGCCGTGAACTATAATGCTTACAGAGCAAGGCAGATAATGTAAACTATGGGTGGTTTCTAAGATGAACCAGAGAATGTATGTTCTACTTAAAGGAAGCAGCCACTACTCAGAGCCAACTGCTGACATATAGCCATGTGGGCCCGGTATTGCCAGATCTTTAGATTTTACAAGAGGCTGGATATCATGAATTTTATTTTAAATATTACAATGTTTAAATGTTGGCAAACTGATTAAAATGTTTAAAAACAGAGTGGGCTGGATTTGGCTCATGGATGACAATTTGCAAATCTATATTAAATAAATTTTTTAAATTGACAGATTTGCGAACCAGAATATACTGATGCCTCAACTTCACTATGAGCTTTTAATTATCCAAAGTAATGGAGGATAGGAGAGATCACAGCATCAGTATTATCTTAGTTTCCATTGAATATTCTATTCAAAGTATTGATAGTAAAATCAAATGACTGAAAAAAAAATGTTTCTCCTTATTTCAGGCCTTCTGGTGAAGGTATTAACAAATAGACAAAGTGTAAACAGGTCATCAGAAAAAGGGATAGTCCTGGATAATACAGAAACAAACAAACAAAAAAATCTGTTCTTAAGTAACTGAGATTAGCTGTATTTACATGATGGGAAATTCAAACATGATTATTTCATACTGAGGCTTTTAAAATAATAGGGATGGGTAGGAGTTATTGATTGTGACTTTTAAAAGTAAGATATGACAATTAAGAAAAGGAATTTATGCTGTCAGCTTTTTTTTTATTTATAGAAAACCATTTGAGAATACTGTACCTGCTCTGACAAACAATAGACTAAGCAATATTTAAAGTGAAGCTCTGACCTACTTGTGATTACCAACAGACTAAAATGCTTAACTTTTCCATTCAAAGAGTCATAGAGTTGGCAATATTTCATTATTTGTCTTTTTGAAGTAAACATTAAACCAGGCAGGAAAAGAATAGAGATAAAAAAATAATGAGTACTTCTTGGGAATATTTTTGGCTTTAATAAAATAACTGCACCACTAATTATTCTTCCACAAGGCACTATAATTTTGAATCTGATTTCATTGGCTACTTATTATTTAAAAGTTTAAATGAAATCATTCATACAGTACTAGGAAAAACACTTTAGGTAAAATGAATTAATTTTCCTCATTGGCTTCAATTAAAATATTTTAAAGGCATCTTCCCACCAGAGGAAAAAATTTACAAAAACTAATGTGAAATTTTAAAAAAGACAAGATTAAGACAGTACTCTTAAATCCATGACATAAGTAGTAATGCTATGCTAGCATGTTATTGTAACATGTTTAAAACTAAGGATTTGCCCTGCAAACTTTGTAGGTTACTCTCACTTTTGCCTTTCTTCAGATCAGAAGCTCTCCTTTATACCTATAACTTGGAAATACCTTAAGGCACAGCATCAGGTATTTTAAAAAGAATAAGTAGCCCACTTACATTTATAATTACTTAATATTTAACTTATACTGCTTTTATGTGAAATGATGGGAACCCATATTAAATGGTAAAGTGTTGACAAAAGTTGGACAAATAACAATGTACCTGTCCCCAAGTTTCCTTATCTCTAAAATAAAGATAGCATTGTTACAAGAATTAACTAAATTGTGTAAAGTACTTGAAAAGAGTTCATAGCACATAGTAAGTTTTCCATAAATGTTAGTTATTATTATTATTATACAATAAAACAGTTACTCACTCTTTTGTTGAGACAAATAACAGGCCATAGGCTGCAACCCAGTGTGCAACAGCAGCAGAGACAACCACACAGCAGCCATTTCACATTGACCGGGAGAGCCTTTTTCAAACATGCATTCACACGGCCAATGCTGGTTTTAAATTCTTCTGGGGCCACCTACAAGAGGGTACAATCTTTAACAGTTTGTGGGCAGCTTTTCACTGTTTATCTCTAAATCTAAGAAAAACATTTATTACAAATAATTTAAGGAATCACAAATATCTAAATAGATATATTCCCCATAAATATGTTCACGCACTCTAGGATGACGTTGAAAAGCACAACAATATAATTTCAAGTTCATAGAACTTAGCCTGATGTTGAAAATCAATCTTCTGAAATGACCACCAATAAAATGACTGCAATAAAATTGACGGAAAAGGATAACTTTCAAGCCTTTTTCTTACCAAATATTCTCATTATCAAGGCAGTATAATTGATAGTCTCTAGTCATTCTGAGTAAAAGCTGGGTAAGACTAGAAGCATAACACAACAATAAAAAACCCAAATACTACTAGAGAAAATGCAATTAAAATTAGACCTTGGCAATACTCCTGGATTACTTTGAAAAAAGGCAACTCTCAAACCCTTATTCCCTGGCAAATTTGCAATATAACAATTTTAACATTAGCCACTGTTAGTTACACTAACAAAAGACAATGCCTAGTGATTGCATTCAAAACAGCCTGTTAATATTCAGTATAAAATGGATTCATAACTGCGGTAAACTTTTAAAGTTGAAAGGTCTTTAAATACACAAGTTTAATATTTCTAGTTACTACCTCCATTCTTGGAAGTGGCTGCTTGTGCTTCTCTGTAAACAAGGACAAAGTCAGTTCAAAGGCATGCACATGACTGGAATAATTAGATTTATACCAAAAATTCTGCTTGAATGTTATACAATTCAAACATATACTAAAAATAGTTTGCTTTCAGTGAAATCACATTTCTAGATTACAAAAATGATTCCCTTTCATTTAGAAAGCTGTCAGACTATAAAGTTTATGAAAGAACATTTAGCATCTGGCTATAAAAGCAAAAATTAGGCAATGGTTAGGAAAAGTAAGGTATTATAAAATAAAAACCGCATTAGCAGGTTAGGAATCAAAAATATAGAGCTTTACTACTACTATTCCAAATAAAAATTGTACTCGAGGAATCAATTTATTACATTTTTGTCTCTTAATAGAGATGTCTTAGAATCAACACTACAAAACATATACCTATTAGCAAATGTTATAAAAATACATGATCACATAATTCAGCACTAAAGTAAGCTAAACATTACATATATAAGCTTTATTAGAAGTTTTATTAGAATTGTTCATGTCACTCAATAAGGTTAATTGCTTAGCCCATGAATCTGATTTTCTTACTAATATGTTAACAAACAATAGTTGTGAAATTATAAGGCTCAAAACTGTGTTTACACAGAGCAAGTAAACTAATTTCATTCTCCATCTAGACTGTCAGCAACATGATGTAAAGACAATCACTGGGTGCAAAGAATTCCAATTAAATGGCAAAATTTCTAAGTAAATATGAAAACAAATTCACACAGCCTTGCCTTATAATTGAAATTAGAAAACACTAACAAACTTAGTGCACAAGAGTGCACTAAGCACATTAAACTAAGACAAACTAAAAACACTGAAAAACAGATCGAGAGACTTGAATTATAGTTACTTATTAGCTATGAAAAATCCTAGGCAAATTCATTTAATTTTTCTGAGTTTCAGTTTCCCACCGATAAAATGAGAATAATAATCTTTGTTTTATATACTTCACAGAAAATGTAAATTAATCCTTGGAAGTAACCTCCTGCCTGAAATGCTTTGAAAAAGAAAGTCCATAAATCATGTCTCTGAGAAGGTTTGGAGAAAGAAAAGAAACAGCTCTCTTCTGCATGAAGTCTCACCTGAAGGCAATGGGTTTACTCAAGTAACTATTAATATTCCATAGTTTTCCTATATACTACATTATAAACAAAAGGATAATTTGTTTATAATCTGCTGCATGTTAAATGCAGATTCAATGCTCTTTAATTCTTCAGCAAAAAAAAAAGAAAAATCAAGCTCTTCTTTCTAAAAACAAGGTACCAAGTTTCTATCTTAAGATTTACCTCTCCAACAGCAATATTCAACTTCTTTTCTCCTAGGGAATCATTGGGCAACCAAATAGAAGTTAAAATAAAGAAAAAATATGAACATATTTAGCTTTAATCTGTAATATTACATTACTGTCAACTCTCTTTAAATTATGTATCCAGAATAGCTAACATATTTTTAAATATGGTAAATTTTGATATAAACTCATGCAAATCATAAAATTATTAAATCTGTCCATTTACAAATTTAAATGCTTATAATTGGAATTTACATTTTTATTTAAAAAGTAAGTACAAACACAGATGGAAAAAAAATAAAACCAAAAGGTGCAGAAATGAGTCAGTCCAAAAGAAAAAAAAAATTGTTTATAAGGAGCCTTAGAAAAGAAAGCTCCACTTCTACCAGGGATGAAATAGTGTTAGAAGACTGAGGGAGACAAAAGCTAGAGAATAAAAGAGGGAAGAGAAAATAGCTTTTTATTTCAAACACTGTGAATAAAATAAATTGTATGTTGAGGTATATAAAATTTGTTATAAAATTTGCCTTTTATTATATGCTTCTGGAATTGAAAACAAAAACATTACCTAAAAATGTGGTCATTTTCCTTCTTTCCTGCCAACACTTTCTTCTTTTTAACATATAATGGTCTCAATTTCTATTTTCTTACCATAGACGAATTAAAAACTAAAATATTCAAGTTACTAAAAATGAGAATTCAAATTTTTTTTGAGGTCATAAGACAAATATATTGAAAAGAAAAGCTTTTACTAGAGTTTCAAACAATAAACTAAAATCTGCATTTTGACTTTAAAAGGAGACCAGGATTGTCTTTGAAAGAAATCTGTATCTGAGCAACAGTAAAAGTCATAAAACAGAGCTAAAGACATAAGAAGTGAGAATTAGTAAACTCAATTTTAAACAACGTGAAAGAAATGTTTAGTTAACTGTGTAGAATCAGAGTTAACATTTTACTCATTTACTTTCATATAATTGAGTGTCTCTAGCAATGAAGGTTAGACAGCAGAAGACCCTTACTTTCTAGCTGAACAGTAGGTTGTAAAGAAACATTTCATTTCTTTTGGCTTTCTTGGAATGAAAAAAGAAAACCACACCATAAAGGTGGGGTAAAGGGTCATAATATTTTATAACAGGATGCAAGAGACTCTGTAAACAGAAGAAACTCTAAGCAAACCGCAGCAGGACTGATCTGCCTTCTTCAGTCATGGGGAACACAACCCTATCAATCAGCTGTCATACTGTAACACAATAGTAAAGGTCGGTTTTTATTGCTTACAATCCCCAAACACTGCACACTAGTCTCCCCATAACACAGTTTAATTGTTTCAAGCTGAGGGCCAAAAGCTTTACTTTCTTTTCTAAATTTCTGTGGTTCTTCCCTTTTCTGGTCACTAGAATCTGTGTATATACATCTGTTCGATATGAAATAGGGAAAACAATCTTTTCTGCACTTAATATAAAAGGTCATCTTTTTGTTTGCATTAAAAGCATTAACACATAAGAAGCAAAAAATTAATATTGAGCTACAGAGCTTGTCAAAATGGTTTTTTTAGGTTTTCAGACTTCCCTCTGCAATTTTGCTTAGCTCAGGCATCAGGCAGGCATAAAAGCTATTTAGAATCACATTCATATTGGAAGACTGATTTCATAAAAGGTAGATTTTTTTTCTACTTTAGCTATCACAGTTATTCATTTTAAAATATTTTAATGTAAGAGCTGTTAAGTCTGGAATTTAGACCTTTTTTCTTTTATTTTTTTCCTCAGATATACATTAATTATGTTTGCCTTTTCTCTCCAGTTATCTGAGAAGCATTTTGATAATGCAAAGGAACCTAAACAAATGAAAGTGCCTGTCGGAGAAAAATTATCTCATTAATGAGAAAATGAATAAAGCTAATGTTACCACCATGTGACTTTTAAATCAGATCTTCAGAATTCCTTTTAGTGTTTTTCCCATCACCAAACACATGCTAAGAAAAATATCACAGTTATAATTTATGCCTTATCCAACACATGATAGATTTTGTACACTATACATAATGTACACTTAAATACTCAAGTCATTATGACAATGTGCTACAAAAACAATCACTTGAAAAGAATGGATATATTTATGAGCAGCTCATATCCAGATAATTTAGGTTGTGTGAGTGCATACCAAAAGCAGCTTATTATTCTTACTCCTCTAGTTTAAAACAGTCTACTACCTTTGGGGCCACTGGAATTTTTAGTTTCAGAAGGCTTGTAAAGAAATGAGAAGGTGTGAAAAGATATTCTGAAGATTCCTTGAGCATATAAAATTGGCCAATTTTGAAAATGGATAATTTGTATGCCTGGGAATTTTATACACTGACATATTTTTTTGATTATTCATTTCTAGAATTTCTTGGACCTGTATTTCAAAGCCAATGGTAAAGTTGGATATAACTACACCTACAACACATGCAGCAGCATCAAAGGAAACATGAAGAATAAGTTTTTTACTGAAGTTCTTATAATTCACATTCTCTTTAATTTTAATAATGAATTTGCCATCTTTCTACAAAAATACACTATTATTCAAGATATATTTCCATAGCTACTTTATTCATTTGAAAAAACATTTATGATTAATTCATATAAAACAAATCTAAGTATAGGCTGCCGCTTCAATTGGTAAATTACTCCAATTGATCAGGATAGGAAGGTAGAACGTACTAAAGAGTGAGCCAAAATCTCACACCAAAGGGTTCTTTGTGTCCTAAAATGTTAAATGGCCACATATTCTCTAAGGCTAACTTAGCCAGGAACTATGATCACCTGTTTAGTATTCTGTGAAATGATTTGATATTATACCTCAGGAGAGACAGAAAAGGTCAACAGTCAACAGAACAAATTAGTGGTGAGGCCAGAGAATAATAATGTATTCTCTTAGAATTAGATGAAGAAAATTTGCAAAAGCAATGAAAAATTGAAAGCCAGTGAGTAGAATGAAAAGCAACCAGGGTGAAACTACAATACAATGATGAAGAATAGTCAACTGCAACTACAAACTAACATTGGGAAGCTAATAAGTACATGACAAAATACTAGGAATTTTATATATGCTGTCTCATTTAGCTCTTAAAAAGTGAGGTAACTATCAGCATCATCTCTATTTTTCACATAAGAACAGGCTCAGAGAAGTGACTTGCACAAGGCCACACAGTAAGTGACATAACCTGGATTCCAACCCAGATTTGACTGCAAAGCTTGTTTAACTACTATATTCTGTCTCAAGCTACCTCCAATTTTTCAAGGGGAAAATGAGGCAAATAAAGTGTAACATACCTTGCAGGGTTAAATTAAACAGAATTTCTTATGATTTCAAAGATATTCCTTGAAAAAAGAAATAGGTCTGCTGTCTACCCTGCAAAGAGGCTGGGGGGAAGATTGTGATTACGCCAAAAGCAAAAAGAGTACATAGTTGGAAAATCCATGACAGAAAGAAGCAAATATCAGTAGAAGCATCTTATCTGGTTTTCAAAGAGTTTAGAACAAGGGACAGTGAATTAAGAAAAAATTAAAGTTCAAAAGGTAATATAGTCACATGGTTTAAAAATGAAAGCAATACTAAAAGATATCAGAAAAGTCTCATCCTTACCCTTGCCTCTATCCATCACATTCCTCTTCTCCCATCAAAGGTAATAACTTTTATTAGTTTCATGTGTATCTCTCTAGAATTTCTTTATGTAAAAATACATTTATTAATGGGCTTATTTCTCCAATTTATTATACATACTAAACACAGTGATTTTCATTTTGCTTTTCTCACCAACAATATGAGAATAATTGACACTACAATAGAATAAAAAGCCTGTTAGATAATGAGATAATTTTAAAATATGACCAAAATCTATACTGACAAATACCATTATTCTAGTACTAAAATTAAATATGTTGAATTTAAAGGCTCCAAAATACAAAAAGTTAACTTCCTTTAACCCCTAATCATGTTTTTAGCTATCCAAGCATTCAACTATTAACCATTTGGCAATGACTGAGTATTCTGTAATATAATGGTTTTTCTCTCCTGTTCTACACTTCCTCAAGTAACAAACGTATGTAAATAACTTTTTGCCTTAGGCAGAGCCTTCTCCTTTGGGCACAGAAAGTTCACATTATTGTCATAAGATGATCTTCCAAATATAGTTTCTTTTTAAAAATTGTATATATTTAAGGTGTACAACATGATGTTTTGATGTACATATACACAGTAAAATAATTATTAGTCAAACACATTAGCATATCCATCTCCTCACAGTCACCTTTTTGTTATTTTGTGATAACACCTGAAATCTACTCTCAGCAAATTTCCAGTATATAATACAATATTATCAATTATAGTAATCAGGCTGTGCATTAGGTCTTTAAATTTATAGTTTTGAATCCTAGTAAATCTTTGAATTTACTAGGAAATACTACTCAATGTAGAGGAACCAGGGAATAGAAAGGTATGAATTTATTACAGTGAGTCCAATCTTACCAACTCCAACTATCTAAAAGTCAGAAAAACATCTAATCAAAAATTTAATTATTTTCATGTATAACAAATCATACCATATGGTACTTTAAAAATTAATAGAGTGATACAGTTAAAAAAATAACTTTAACTCTAAAAGCACTGGAAATTAATGACCCAAATAAAAACAATTATAGCTACCTATGCTGAGAAAAAAAATGCAAAAGTGAAAAAGCTGAACGGACAAATAAATAATGGCTGGCATTAATGGACAATGAACAAAATAACTGGTCAGAGGCTGGTAGCCATGGCAACAGCTTTCAAACACTATAAACACAGCTTCCAACTACTGAGGCCTCCTATTACTTGACTTCATTAACAATGATTCAAAGCATTTGTCATAACAATGAGTAAGCCATAAAACAATGCTTTAGAACTGAAAAGTTCAAAGCAAATTCTCACTTACCTTCCCTGTTAGAACGGAGGGAAATTCAGTATCAAACTTGTTGCTCAAGCCAAACCTTCAAAACAAACACAGAACAAAATATGTTCTACCCAGCATACTTAAATCTTCCCTTTTTTTTAAAAAAAAGTTATAAACCCATGCATTTTTCTTTTGGCCTTTTAATTTAAAAATGTGCCCTGAAAAATTTTTATATGACATTTATAGAAAATAAATCTTTGATTATTAATCCAAACTAACATATTTTTTAAAAAGCTTAACAAAAAGCAAACATTAAAGTGGGATTCTAACTCAACTCATGATGTAGGATTAAAAAATAATAAGTTAGAGAAACACATATTGAGCTGGAAGTGTCCATTTTTAACTGAGATGTTTCCGTTAAAACCTACTTTAGTTGATAACTGTTGGAGCTGGATTATGGGTACTATGTGGGATTTCATTATACTATTCTTTCCACTTTTGTGTATGTATGCAAATGTTCCTAATAAAAACTACCCCTCCACAACTAATACAGCCTTTGGAACTACAGAGTTTGACTACTTGTGACCAGTTGCTATTCAGATACTCAAAGTTTAATCCTTATGAATGGCTTTCACGTCTGTGCTCGACCAATTTTGAGAAAACAGATCCCAGACTTGAAAACTCTCTTTTCCAGTACACTCAGTGAAATCTGCATTAAGAAGTCAAAATGAATTTTATAAGGCTTTGCTCACTTGCTTGTTCATTTCAAGGATAACAAAGGTCACTTCCTGAATGTTAGATGATACTATTTCATATTAACTACAATGTTACATTAGCGGAGGATAGGTTGTAAGCAAAAAGGAAAAGACAGTAACATTTACTGAGAACTCCATATGAGGTGGGCAATAACAGTAACAGCTACCAATAACTATGTACTCACCATGGGCTAGACACTGTGCTAAGTAAATATAGTCACATGCTACATAACATGTTTCAAAGATAGAGTGCATATATGATGGTGGTCCCATAAGATTATAATGGAGCTGAAAAATTTCTATTGCTTAGTGTTGTCATAGCCCTTGTAATGTTATAGTCATAGCCTTCATAACATCGTAGTACAATGCATTACACACGTTTGTGGTGATGCTGGTATAAACAAACTTACTTTGCCACCATAGCAAAGTATAGCACATATAATTACATACAATACATAATACATGATGATAACAAATGACCGTTACTGGCTTATGTATTTACTATAGTATACTTTTTATTGTTATTTTAGTATATATTCCTTCTTCTAACAAAAAGTTAACTGTAAAATAGCCTCAGGCAGGCCCTTTTAGAAGTATTCTAGAAGGTACTGTTATCACAGGAGATGACAGCTCCGTGATTATTGTCCCTAAAGACTTTCCAATGGGATAACTGTGAAGGTGGAAGTGATATTGATGATCATGACCCTGTGTAAACTTAGGCTAATGTGTGTGTTTGTGTCTTAGATTTTAACAAAAAAGTTTAAAAAGTAAAAAAAAAATTAATAGAATAAGGATATAAAGAAAATATTTTTGTACAGCTGTACAATGTGTTTGTGTTTTAAGCTAAGTATTATTACAAAAGAGTCGATGAGTTTCTAAAAATTGGACAGTTTATAAAATTAAAAAGTTACAGTAAGCTCAGGTTAATTTATTATGGAACAAAGAATAGCATTTGAAAATAAATTTATTGTAGCCTAAGTATATGGTATTTACAAATTCTACAGTAGTATACAGTAATATTCACATTCACTTACCACTCACTCACTCACTCACTCACACAGAGCAACTTCTGGTCCTTCAACATCTATTCATGGTAAGTGCCCTATTAAAGGTATACCATTTTTTGTCTTTTATATTTTCTCTGTACTTTTTCTATGTTTAGATACCCAAATACTTACCATTGTGTTACAATTGCCTATAGTAATCAGTACAGTCACATGCTGTACAGGTTTGTAGCCTAGGAGCAATAGGCTTACCATATAGCTTAGGTGTGTACTAGGCTATACCATCTAGGTTTGTGTAAGTACACTCTATGATGTTCACACAATGATAAAATTGCCTAACAATACATTTCTCAGGAGGTATCCCCATTGTTAAGTGACACATGACTCTACATTACTTTTACGCTTTAAAAGCCTTCAAGAGAAGTATTGTCAACCCCATTTTAAAGACAAAGAAGCTAACAACCAGAAAAAAATTTAAAAAATAAATTAAATGACTTGCCCACAGTCATGTATTAAGTGGGGGAAACCAAAACTCCAATGTTGACCCCCTAAATCCTTATTTTATCCTATATTAAGTTCCTTGAAAACAGGAACTATGGGTTATTTTGCTATTTTCTATTATACCTAGTAGCATAATGAAATCTAATCAGTGTTGAAAAATGTTTGTCAAATAATAAACTACTGTACTGTTTAACTGATTTATCGCACTTGGTTGTAGGGTCACTTTAAAGAAATGTTAAGAATCCAATGTCTGATTAAAACTCTATGCAGGACCTAGAGGAACTATGAAAACAAGAACAAAATAACCCCAGAGCTAGCAGAAGAAAATCTGAGACCCAAAAATCCATACAAAGAATCGATGAAATCAAAAGTTGGTTATTTCAAAGAATAAACAAGATTTACAGACTGCTAGCTAGAATAACAAAGAAAAAAGAGAAGATCCAAATAAGTGCAATCAGAAATGACAAAGATGACATTACAACCTATCCCACATAAATACAAAAAATATTCGTATAACTATTATGAACACCTAGCACACAAAATAGAAAATCTAGAGGAAATGGGTAAAATTCTGGAAACACACAAGCTCCCAAGATTGAATCAGGAAGATTTGAAGCCCTAAACAGACCAATATCAAGTTCCAAAATTGAATCAGAAATAAAACACCAACCAACCAAAAAAAGCTCAAGACCATACTGATTCACAACCAAATTCTATCAGATGTACAAAGAAGAGCTGGTACTAATCCCACTGAAACGATTCCAAAAAATTGAAAAGGAAGGACTCTTTCCCAACTCATCCTATGAAGCTAACATCATCCTTATAGGAAAAGCTAGCAGAGATAGAAGGAAAAAAGAAAACTACTGGTCCATATCCCTGACGAACATAGACACAAACATCCTCAAAAAAATACTAGCAATCCGAATCCAGCAGCACATCAAAAAGTTAATTCACCACGATCAAACAGCCTTTATTCCTGGGATGCAAGGTTGGTTCAACATACACAAATCAATAAATGTAATTTACCACATAAACAGGATTAAAAACGAACAAAAAATGATCATCTTAATAGGCACAGAAAAAGCTTTCGATAAAATTCAATGTCCCTTCATGATAAAACCGTCAACAAACTAACCATCAAAAGAATGTACCTCAAAATGATAAGAGCTATGTATGAGAAACGCACAGCCACCATTATACCGAAGAAGCAAAAGCTGGAACCATTCCCCTTGAGAACTGGAACAAGAAAAAAAATGTCCACCTCACCACTCCTTTTCAACATAGTACTACAAGTACTACTCAGAGCAATCAGGCAAGAGAAGAAAAAAAGGCATGCAAACAGGAAAAGAAGAAGTCAAACTATCTCTTTTTGCAGACAATATGATTCTATACCTAGAAAACCCTAAAGACTTGCCAAAAGGCTCCTTGAACTGATAAAGAAAAAACTTCACTAAAGTTTCAGGATATAAAATCAATGTAAAAAGTCAGTAGAATTTCTATACACCAATAACGTTTAAGCTGAGAGCCAAATCAAGAATGGCATCACATTTACAATAGCCAAAACAAAACAAAAACAAAATACCCTAGGAATACATCTAACCAAGGAGGTGAAAGATGTCTACAAGGAGAACTATAAAACACTGCTGAAAGAAATCAGAGATGACAGAAACAAATGGAAAGACATTTCACGCTTACGGATTGGAAGAATCAACAACATAAAGCAATCTGAAGATTCAATGCTATACCTATCAAACTACAAACATCATTCTTCACGGAATTAGAAACAACTATTCTACAATTTATACAGAAACAAAAAAGGACCTAAATAGCCAAAGCAATCCTAAGCAAAAATAACAAAGCCAGAGGCATCATATTACCTGACTTCAAACTATACTACAAGGGTACAGTAACCAAAACAGCATGGTACTGGCACAAAAACACACATAGACCAATGGAACAGAATAGACCACAGAAATAAAGCTGCGCACCTACTACCATCTGATCTTTGACAAAACTGACAAATCTGAGTAATGGAGAAGGGCCCCTCTATTCAATAAATGGAGCTGGGATAACTGGCCAGCCATATGCAGAAGAATTAAGCTGGAACACTACCTGTCATGATATACACAAATTAACTCAAGACGGATTAAGTACTTAAATGTAAGACTTCAAATTATAAAAATCCTAGAAGAAAACCTGGGAAACACCCTTCTCAACATTGGCCTTGGCAAAGGATTCATGACTAAGTCCTTAGAAGCAACTGCAACAAAAACAAAAATTGATTAAGACCTAGTTAAACTAAAGAGCTTCTGCACAGCAAAAGAAATTATCAATCAACAGACAACATACAGAATGGGAGAAAATATCCACGATCTATGTATCAACAAAGGTATAATATACAGAATCTATTAGGAATTTAAATAATTCAATAGGCAATAAACAAATAGCCCCATCAAAAAGTGGGCAAAGGGCATGAATATACATTTCTCAAAAAAACACATGTAAGTGGCCAACAAACATATGAAAAAATGCTCATCATCACTAATCATTAGAGAAATACAGATCAAAACTACATCTCATGCCAGTCAGAATGGCAATTATTAAAAAGTAAAAAATAACAGATGTTGGCGGGGCTGCTGAGAAAAGAGGACACTTATACAACATTGGTGGGAATTTAAATTATTTCAGCTACTGTAGAAAGCAGTTTGGAGATTTCTCAAAGAATCAAAAACAGAACTACAATTTAAACCAGCAATTCCATTACTGGGTATATACCCAAGGGAAGATACATTGTTCTACCAAAATTACACACGTGCCCATATGCTCATCGCAGCATTATGCATAGCAGCAAGGATATGGAATTGACCTAGGGGTCCATCAATGGCGGACTAGATAAAGAAAATATGGAACATATACACCATGGAATCCTATGCAGCCATAAAAAAGAACAAAATCATGTTCTTTGCAGTAACATGGATGCAGCTGGAGGCCATTATTCTAAATGAATTAACACAGAAACAAACAAAACCAAATACCGCATGTTCTCACTTATAAGTGGGAGCTAAACATTAAGTACACATGAACATAAAGATGGGAATAATAGACACTGTGGACTACATGAAGGGGGAAGAAGGGAGGTGAGTAAGGGTTGTAAAACTACCTATTGGGTACTATGCTCACCACCTGGGTGATGGGTTCAATTGTACCCCAAACCTCAGCATCATGTAATATACCTTTGTAATAAAACTGCGCATGTATCCCCCAAATCTAAAATTTGACAAAGAAAAAAAAAACCTCTATGCAGGAATTTCATACTGTCCTTGTATCATTTATGCTAATAACTCATTTTCAAGGACACAGGCAATTTTAAGCACAAAAACTCTCTATATTTAGCAGCTAGTAGCAAGATACATACCTGTACATAAATATACTATATTATGTATGTTTAAAATGTATTTTAAAACAAATTCTGTATTTTAAAATAGTCGAGTAAATAAATCAGCAATTGAAAAAAGATTTTAACTACATTTTAAAAAAATCCTTCATTAATTCTGTTCAGGTGTGTCAGTACAACATGTAATGAGAATATTATATGCAAATACATATTCCCTTTAAATCAATACATAGACACAAGAGTATAGCTAAACTGAAAACAAGATGGGACACCACTATGCATGAATTTTTACGGCAATCTTCATCTGCTTCTTGAGAAATTGATATTCTAGTATTAAACCTATTGTAATTATTTGCTAACTTAGCAATCAATAACAAATATTTAATATTACAAGAAATATTTCATTTAAATCTATTTAGCTAGTGAAGTAGTGACTTTATCACTAGTGAAAAGATGCAATTCATTATTACACGAAGAGTAAATTCTTATGTACAAAGACATAGATGCAGTTTTCATTTTTAGAAAGTAGATATGATCATTTTAAATAGACCTCTATTTCCACATCTTGTCTAAATGCCTTATAAATGCAACAACAGTAACATGTTCCTACCTTGATTAGCAATTGCTGCTAATTTAGCTTTTGCCAGCTGTCATTCCCCTACTAGATATCAAATATATAGTCAATACAGACAGATATATCCTTCAAAATGTATAGAATATTTTTGTTTTAAAAATTCTTAGCTTTACTATTCTCTTTTCACTTACCACCAGACAAATGAACTGTCCACTGCTTCCATTTCCCTAATATCTCCTTTCTTAAGAAATTTTGAAACTTGATTTTTGATACTGTCATTTTGCTGAAAATAATATCTTATTCAGTAAATTTACTCAAAATGACAAGTCCATCTTGTCTTCTTTATTGCCAAATTCAATGTCTTCTCAGAACTTTTTCTCTTGACTTTGTTTGCAGCTATGACACTGTTGATCACTTCCTTCCTAACATTCCCATTCTTTCATTCTGCCCTTAGACTCTATACTTCTTCCAAAATTTAGCTTTTAGTCTTCTGCTTTTTTTTCTTTCTAAGCAAACTACAAAAGTTCATCTGTATTTGACAACTTTGACAATCATTTATCTGTTAACGATCACCAAATCTATAGCTCTAGTAATATATTTTCATACATGCTCTGGTCTCTCATCTTTAATTGTATACTGAAAATTTCTGTTTGGACATCTTGCCACAAAATAATACCACCTTAAGTGAAACCTGTCTAAAACTAAATGTTACATTTTCTTGGAACCTGGTTCCCCCTTTCAAATTCATTTCTATCAATGGCACATTACTCTCTTCCTTTAACCTATACCTTGGTATCATATTTGCACCTTCCCTCTCCTATGTTTTGCATCTTGCTTACAGCCAGGTGGTCCCTAAATCCTGTTATTTGCTCCTTTGAAATCATTCTCATAATGTTCCCTTCCTTCATTGTCACTGCTACATTGGCTCTTGTCCTTGCTCATGTGGTTCTCCTTGCTTCCCCTCCAAAGTTTAAGTCTAAGTCCTATGCAGCCTTCAAGGCTCAAATCAAGTTCCAACCCCTGCTGTAATGCCTTGAATGCCCAAGGCTTCATGGATTCCTTCTTTCTCTGAATACTCACAGCCACTTCTAATGTGCACTATACAATTCAACAGTTAACAAAATGTTGTCTTTTATTCCTTGCTGCTCCATATCAATATCTTAAAGGCAATGTTCCTGTTAGCTTTGTAAAGCAAAGCCTATACTTTGTTTTCTCTATATTCTTCACAGTGTTTAGCCCAGTGCTCAAGTTCTAGAGAAATACTTGCTATATTCACATTACTAACTTTCTTCTCCAATATATAAAGGGATTTCCTTTTCTAAAATATAAAAAGTATATTAGAAATGGTAACTAAAGTGTTGCTTAATTTCTTAAAATACTCCCTTATGACCTAAATGTATCTATATAAAAAAGTATGAAGAAAGGCAAAGTAGGCTTGATACTCTCATAGTTTTGGCTAATAGGCAGCAGCAATCTTGTTCTTGCCTATGAGATATTTTTTCCCTTAACTTTCCCTTTTATAGACTCAGCACACTAAAAAAATACTTAAATAACTTTAGGTACATTTCACTTAGCAGCTACTAGGAAAATGTTGAAATGGCTGCTGCTGAATAAACACCTCAGTTAGGTTTCATAAACAAACCATTAAGTTAAGAATTATGAGTCCAGAGAGGCTAGACAAACTCATCTACTTATTACTGATCAGTGGTAGAAATTAGCCAAGATGTGGGGCTCAGCAGGCACTTGGGAAGTGCTCACACTATCATTTTATCAACTTCATTAAATATACAATCTACTGTATGTTTGAAGCCGACCCAGCTGGTAGTTCTCAATAATTGTATTTTCTTCATCAAATGTCTTCAACGCCCACATTTTTAATTTCTTAGACAAATTCTTTGAAGTAAAGGAAACTGAGGCAAAGGATCTATACTCTTAGTTCCTCTTCCCTTTTGTCTCCCTCCCTATACCTCTCACCATTTTTCATATTTGAAAATGGCTATATACCAGCCTTTCAAAATCTTGCACAAATTAAAGTTCACGTACTCAGTTTGTTTAAGAAAATGTCGTAAAATTCTGCCAATAAGACATGACTTCACTAGAAAACCATGCACTTATAGGAATACTGATTCTGAAGCATGTGCACTGAACTCTATTTGCTACACCAAGGAAAAGGCTATGCCACAAAACAAAAGGAGATTTTTAAAAGATTCTAGTTAAATCTCTTTAATATTTCATATGGGAAAAATGTCTTTCCACACTATACAATGGCAAGTTACCATGGCTTCAATATTCTCAAAGCCTAAAACCTTAAAAAAATTCACCTTATATAAAAACAAATTAACAATCATCACTGTAATTTCTCAGACAACTGTTACAGAAAAGGCATTCCATTCCCTGATTTGAGAAGTTATCAATATTTGTAGTGCTAAGTTTTTGGAGAAATGCACTGTTTGGCAAAATTGGCCATCTTTTTCAATTATATAATCTAATAACTTCAGCTTTCTTAGATTAATTTTAATGAGAATGTTATGAGCCTCTGAGGATCAGTAATATGCTGTCTCTACTAATTTTTATGCAGGTGTAATATCAATGGTAAACATCTATCTATTTTAAGTAATACAAAGAGGGTGGTAATGTCTATAAGGAAAAAACCTCATGTGATGTAATATTTTTTTCTGTATTTCAATACATTAGATCCAAATACTTATCCTAAAAATATCAAGAAGAAATGTGATACTGTTATATTATTCAGATGTATAATATTTTTGAAGCACAATACTTCCAAGAGACATTTCATTATTTCTCTTTCTATAGTCTCAAATCTGTAAGAGTTAATATAATCATATTTTTTAAAATTTGGAAAAAGATCTCCTAATATCCATTTATGATCATCATCTCAGAATTGGAAATACAAGTAGTATGATTAGGTCATTCTACTTCTTAAGAAATCATAATGAATTTCATGTTAAAAGATTAATATCTTGTTAAAGTAACTAGAAACCCAAAACATTAAGATAATACTCTGACACACAGGGGATAGCTTAACAAAGCTTTCAGAGGTAAGCTCATGCCATAAACGCCATCACTGGTGATACTGGTACTGGTGATATTGTTGTATTCGTACACATCCATGCTCAGAAACCAGTGCTCTCCACAGCATGATTCAACTACGTATTTGTTGAGGGCCTATAGTATTGTTTGTACTACGTGGGCACACTGAGTGTTACTAAAGTGAACCAATATTCATTCAACTCACCTCTTGTCAGGTACTGTGCTATGCACTGAGGATTCATAGGGAATCAGAAATTGTTCTTGTCATTGCAATTTACAATTTAGTGGAAAAAAAGAAGACTTGCAGAAGGTGGTGACATACAGAGAGCCAGGGAAATGGGAGCCAGGGAAACGGGAGGTGAATATTAGCATTCTAGGTGGAGGCCCCAGATTGAGCAGAGGCAATGAGATTAAAAAAAAAAACAGCATGCTGTGAACAGGAACATACAAGCAGTAAGGGAAATGGCAAAAGTTTAGGCTGATAGATACACAGGGTCCATTTCTGTATGCTCTGTTATGGAGCTTAGTCTCTATCTTGCAGGTGAAGGGAAAAACCACAAGATAATCTTAAGTAGGAAAAGTGGTTTGATTAGATATGTACTTTTTGTGTCTTAATCTAGCAGCAGGCTGGAGGATGGATGTGAGGATGACAAGGATGAAGGCAACATGACTAGCTAGGGTAGTGAAAGGGTCCTGAATCAATGAAGTGGTGGTAGAGAGGAAAAGAAGAAATTCTTAAGCCATGTATTGTTGATATTTGCTAATTGCTTAGCAGTGGGAAGTGTGAGTGGGGAGAACCAAGCATGCTTTAATGGGATAGGTGGAGGTACATTCAACTGAGGTTGCGAATACAGAAATAGGAAGGCTTTTTTGAGCATTTGGGGGTGGGGATATGAGAGGGGTGTCGGGAGGTTTTTGTTTATGTCAAATTTAAGATAACAGTAAGCTATTGAGTGAAGAAGCCCAGATAAGAGCCCACGCAGAGACTGGTAAAGAAATCCCTACTTGGGAGCCATGAGATAACTGAATCTATGAGAGGTAAGATGAGACCATCTAGGGAGAGCAGGGAATAAGAAGAGTAGTGGGCTGAGAACAAAACTCTAGAGATTGCTGGTATTTAAGGGTCAAGAAGGAAGAGAAGCCCATGAATGAACAGTTAAGAAACTGCCAGAAAAATAAAAGGAACACCAGGAGAATGAAGTGGCCAAGGAGTTCTGTGATTTTTTTGGCTGGCAAAATGTTTTTTCTTAAATTAGAATTTGAATACCATTAATTGAGACGTATAACTTTCAGTTCAACTAAAGCCCCATGTCTCCTTATGCTGCACTATTTTCTGTGACCTGCCTTGCCTCTGAAGGCCTGTGTGTTTGTGAACCCTGGAGTAGAAGCTTCTGAAAAAGAAGAAATCATCATAAGTGTCAAATGCAGCAGAGAGAACCTGAAGGATAGGGAATGAAAGATGTCCAGTAATTTAGCAACAAGAGGGTCACAGTGATATTAATTAAGGATAGCTCCTCTGTGGTTTTGGTAGCAGAATCCAGATCAGAGAGGGGTAAAGAGAAAACAGATAAGGTAAATGTAGCTACTTTTTTAGAAATTTGAAGGATAAGAAAGAGAGATTGGATAGTAGCTAAAGGGAACATGGGCATAGGAAGGCTTTTGTCTTATTTTGTTTTTTAAAAATTAGAGACTGAATATGGGTACAGGCTGAGAGAGGTAATACTGGAGAGATGGGAGGCCTGGTTGAGCAAGATCTGGGAGGAGGCTGGAAGAGAAAGGTATGGAAGGCACAAATGGACAGGTGAGCATTGGACAAATGGAGGGTCTCCTTGAACTCTGAGATTGAAGGAAGATGGCACAGAAACTCAGAGCTAATTAATATCCAATGCAGGTTTTCAGCAGGAAAGTGACATGATTAAACTGTGTTTTAAGAAAATTAGTTTGGCACAAGCACACAGGATGGACTGGAGTAGGGAGAGGCAGCAGACTGTGGCAATAAGTCAAGCAGGAGATGATGGCAACCCAAACTAGAGTGGTGCCAAATAGGAATGAGAAAATGAAAAATCTAAGAGATATTTCAGAAACTATGATGATATAATTCTGGGGCAGACTGACACAGGGCAATTCAAGGAGAAGGAAGAGTCAAAATGACTCAAAGGTTTTGAATGTTACCCTGGGAGATCAGAATGGTGGCATCAAGGAAAGAAATGAAACAAATGAAAAGCACGGGCAATGTGGAGAGGATGTTGAGCTTAAAATATACTGAGTTTGAGGTGAGGGCTCTCAAATTTTAAACTTTGAGAAGAAACAAAATGCTCTATACAACAGAAGGCTGCACAAAGAATGGAAAAAAATCAGGGCTGGTAGAGAATATTAAATATTTCATTCAGATAGGGTATATAGTTTAAGGCAACTCTAACACTCCTATGCCAGAAAAAAAATAAACAGAAGTTGATATTTTAGAAGTCGCAGAATAAGATTACCTACTTCATAAGGATATTACTTTAACTGATAAAAGGAAGGCTTCACTACCATACAAAGACCCATTTCTCAGATCCAGTTAAATTTTCTCCAAGACATGTAATCTCTTTCAAATCCCAAGACATTTAATATCATATGTGATTTCTAGGTATAAGAATGTGTACAACAAAACTAAATAAGTTTCCAAAGTATATACAATGGTTAGTGAGTCTAGTACTGGTTTGCTTCTTTTCAGGTTTTGGTTTCAGTCAATGAATACCAACAGTACTACCCGCATGCTCCTAATTAGAAGGACATTATACCAATCAGAAGGGCCTGGGCATGGCAAGTGTCAGTGTTCTTCTAATGAAGCAAATAGGTTGGTAAGTACCTGTGCAGGGTCGAATGGAACCATAAATAAATTTCAGGTAACTTAAATTTTATTTTCTTGTTCCTTCTCCTTTGCCTGAATTTTGCAAATGTGGAGGTGGAATGTTGGAGTATAAAATTATGGACTAAACGGTCATGTAACATAATCTGCATAAAAGTAACCTTTGGTACCAGCCATCATAATTAGTTTGAGTAATAAATTGTCTCCCTAGTGACAAAAGGAATGGAAGTAAAACCGTGCAATAAGTTGGCATCTGAATATTGTAGGCTATCTGCAAAATTCTTGGACCAAGAAAAATTGTCTTAAAATTTCCTAATCAAAAAGCAGCTCTAAAACCCTCCCCCAACACTTCCCCAATTTCAAAATATTTGTTAATATATTTGATGCAAAGATTACGAAAGTATATTACAATTAAAATACTCAACATATCACGCCTGTAGTCCCAGCTACTCAGGAGGCTGAGGCAGGAGAATTGCTTGAACCTGGGAGGCAGAGGCTGCAGTGAGCCAAGATTGCGCCACTGCACTCCAGCCTGGGCAAAAGAGTGAGACTCTGTCTCAAAAAAAAAAAAAAAAAAAAAAACTCAACATGTTAAAAATTGAAGCTAATATAAGGGAGGTAGCATATATATGATTTAATGTAACATGAACTCAATTGAAAGTCAAAGGGACTAGGTGAGCCATTATCAAAACCAGAGGCAGCATGACATAACAACAAAAGGCAACCTATTTTGAAAATGCAGTAAAAGATAGCATAGTTCAGAGGATGAACATGACACAGTACTCAAACTTCCAAATAGTTATGGTCCAAGCAAATAAAAATGAGGAAGCACTCTTTAAATCCCGGAGAATCATCAACATTTTTGCCTTGTAGCTGTTATGAAGTCCCTCCCCATTTTATTTTCTGAAATATTCAATTTTTCCTCAAGATTTCAATTTTTTAAAAAACCACCCTGGATAAATTTTAAAGAAATTATGCTCAGCTCCCAAAGTATTAATTTCCATATATATTTAATGCCTGTATATTTCATACTTGGGCATACAAAATCCCTTGGAGGTAAATTATCTCAGAACTGAAAAGCTTTAGAAACCATCTACTCCAAACCCTTCATTTTAGAGATGAAGAAATCAAGGCGCAGAAATGAGAAAAAGCAACCTGACCAAGGTCACAGGGCCAGTAAGAAGCAAAACCGGGACCAGCGTCTAAGAGCCCTGACTCAATCCATTTCTTTTTCTACTTTCCATAGCTGCCTCTCATCCTGAACCTCTAATCGAGTGATATATAAGGAAGGATTCGATAGGAAGAATGGATGGATGAATACGTGGGTGAATGAACATTCTATTATTATTCACAAAATATATCATGTTTCTGTTTTGAAGAATGCAAGCCTAGTTCTTGTCACATGTCACAGCAATTGCTGTTTCCCACAAAGTATCAATCTTGTCAGCAAAAAACCCTCTGGTACATCCTGCAGTTTAGAGACTGTTCACTTGCCAGCATACATACAAGAAAGGAGACTCACCCCTACTCCAATCGCTCTGGCTCCCAAACCCCTAACTTCCCTCTCCTATACTCACTCTTTACCTGGCATTGGTGCATCATATTTACATTCTCCTCACTTCCTTCACACGTATCCACCCATGGTTTCCCCATTTAGACCAGGTGTCCTTTCCTAAGTGTACGCCTCAGTCAATCAGTCAACCCTCCCCCACTCCACAGGCCCCTCGATCACTTCTCATTCCTCTGTTGCCAAATCTCAGGCATTTCAAGTCCCAAGACCCCCTCTCGCTTACACAGTGATGTGGCCGGCACCCCGCACTAATACAGGGTCGGGAGCATATCTCCGCAGATGCTCCTCGCTCACTACCCGAGGCGGGGGCGGCGCTTCCTCCTCCTCTTCCTCCTCCTCCTCTTCTTCCTCCTCCTCCTCTTCCTCCTCTTCCTCCTCATCCTCCTCGTCATCGTCGGGCCCAGATACCGACGACGACGACGACGGCGACGACGACGACGTTGCCGCTTCTTCTTCCTCCTCCTCCTCCAGTTCCGAGATGGTGTCGAACTCCGCCATGTTGGGCAGCAGGATGCTCATCACGTGACCTCGCGATCGCCGCCACGCTCCCGGAGAAGAGTTTGAACCTGCCGAGGTGCTGCAAGAGGAGGGGGAACGAAATGAAGAGAAAGAGGAGGGGTGTAGGGACAGGATTTGAGGAGACGCGCCTGCGTGTTGGGCAGACGGGGGGGTGGGGGGGCGGCTGCTGGAGGCGGGGGCACTAGAGAGGAGCAAAGTCAGTGTACGCTTGCGCAGCTCCAAGGGGAGGGGGCCGCTAGAGGTGAACTCCAAGGAGTTATCCAGGTCCGGTCTGCGGGTGCTCGCCTTAATACTGCTCTCTGAGCGTCAGCTACTTGTATTCGGGGTATCTTCTGATTTTATTGCTTATTAATTAATGCTGGGCATTATTAACCCAACTGCAGGCGGGTGAGAGAAAGCATATTGTATAAAAGTAAGGTTAGAACTTTGTCCAAAATATCTCAAGGTATATACCAATCCCTTACGTTTGTTCAGCATTACAGTTTAAAAGCCTTGCGTCATAACTTTGCCACAATCTTGGGAGGCAGGGTAAGCACTTTTATTAGCATTTTACTTAAGAGGAAACTTTTTACTACTTCTCCTATGTAATACTTAACGGAGGACTTATTAACTCAGGGACTGTGCTAAGTGCTCTGTATGTATATCTCATTTAATCCTCTGCAACCCTATGAGGTATGTATCATGATGATTTTATATTACAGATGGGAAATCTAGGTGCAGAGAAAATAAGTAATTTGTCCAGTGTCAGGGAGCTACTAAATGGGAGACCTGGTTTTAAATTTGGTGGTCTCTTCTGATTCCAGAAGCCCAGTACTCTTAACCAAAGGGCTGTACTGCCTGAAGTTGTTTGGAAAGATTTTGTAGAATGGTGCCTCTTGGGCTCTTCCTTAAAAGATGAATCAGAATATGCATGTTTGAATTTTGGAGTGTTTTTTGGGGGAGGGGGCGGATGGAGGGGGTGAAAGGAGCATTCCAACCTAAGGAAACCTTAATTAACATCATCCATTTTCCAGACACTGAGCTAGACCCTCACATACAATATTTCAGTTAACCCTTAATCCTGAGAGGTAAGTATCATTATATCTATTTTATTACATGACAAAAGTGGGTCTCAGAAGTTTAAGTAATTTATTCAAGTCTATGGTGACCTTTTGTTCAAAATTTTCCATTTTAAATGGTCTATCCTATCTTCTTTACACTCACTAAAATGTTGTGGGGATCACATATTTTGCGTATCTAAATAGTGTGCCAAACTGTTTCATACTTGGCAGCAGCACAAAAATCCATATCATTAAGACAGTAAAGTCACACAGCTGCTAAGTAACAGAACAAACACTGTAATCCAGGCATTCTAATACCAGCTTCACTGCTCTTTCTGCTACTCTACGGCTGCATCCCAATCAGATGGTGTGTCTCTGGGGAAACAGACATAGTCAAACTTTAATTTAGGATGAGCACGACATTATCAGTATAAACAAAGCATTTAATGTGTGTGAAGTAGGAAGAAATTAGTTCTGTAAGAGAAATGAATCAAACCATTATCATCAAGGAGTATGTGTTATTAAAATGAAAAGCCCATTTTTATTCAAAAGTTGGTTTATTTAGGGAACTTTAAAAATAAGTCGGAGATCGAGACCATCCTGGCTAACAAGGTGAAACCCCGTCTCTACTAAAAATACAAAAAAAATTAGCCGGGCGCGGTGGCGGGCGCCTGTAGTCCCAGCTACTCGGGAGGCTGAGGCAGGAGAATGGCGTGAACCCGGGAAGCGGAGCTTGCAGTGAGCCGAGATTGCGCCACTGCAGTCCGCAGTCCCGCCTGGGCGACAGAGCGAGACTCCGTCTCAAAAAAAAAAAAAAAAAAGTCATAACATTATCAATAAGCAACAAATTATAACTTTTTGTAGTTTAGATAACTGTATCTACTAGCCAGGAATTATAGAAGATAGAACCTTAAAATATTTTGTATAGCCTTCTGGCAAGACATATATATCTTTGCTTTTTTGGGGTGTTAATAAATGTGTCAGAGTTAAGATCAAAATTAATACTTTGCAACAGTTCTTCTCTTTCAAGAGGCAAAAAAAAAAAACTGTAAATGACATTTAAAATTTTTCCAAATATCTTATCCACGAAGGTCCACTAAGTCTGTGTCTAGAGGGAAAAGTATTTCACTGACTACTGCTTAAATGGTAGTTTCTCCTCACACTCAAGATTAGGCTAGGAAAGGCTATTTGAAGTACAGGAAGGGAAAGGAGTAGGGGGTGGACTTTGTAATGAGTGCAAGTAAGATATTGGAACTATGGTAAAAGTGGAGAAATTATGGCCTTGAAGAATGAGAAGGAAGGAAAGGGATGGGGAAAATCTGTTAAAATAGAAAGAGGCCCCTCATGTTTAGTCAGATGTCAAAAAGACCAAACATTCAGGGAAGTGCTATACTTGGCTAAACACACAAGTGTAGTCAAATCTGTCCATCTGTTTTCTGGCTTATATGTTGTGATTAAAAGTCATATGTGATTCCAAAGGTAATTTGTTTTGCTTAAATATAGGAGAATTTGGAATTAAGCAAGCTGAAGAAAAATACATTTTGTTTATCTATTGTCAGTAAACACGAGTAACACCATGGTTTCTAAATGATACCTTAGTATTAAGAATAGTAAATCGAGGAGTAGATGGAGAAGAAAGCAGGTCATGTAACATTATGCCTAACTTGCTAAGTGGGGTATGGGGGTATTTCTCCCATATAATTAATAGAGACCTGAGGCATGAGATCATTAACCATCTGAGAGGGTTTCAACCTTAAACAGCTGAAAAGAATTGTAACCTTTTAAAGACAGCTTTATTTTATTTATTTATTAAAGCATTCAATTTATTGATTTTAGTCACAGTTGTGCAACTGTCACTACAAACTAAAACATTTACATCATCCCCAAAAGAAATCTCTGTCCCATTTTTCAGCCATTCCCCATTCATCCCCAACACTTGGTAAGCATTAATCTACCTTCTTTTCTACAGATTTGTTTAATGGACATTTAAATAAATGGGATCATACACTGTGTGCTCTTTGTGTCTAGCTTCTTTCACGTAGCATATAATGTTTTTGTGGTTCATCAATGTTGTTTCATGTATCAGTACTTTATTCCTTTTAATTGATGAATAACATTCCATTGTTGGGATAAATTGCATTTTGTTTATCCACTTACCAGTTGATGACATATGGGTTGCTGCCACATTTTGAATGTTATGAAAATGCCGCTACGAACATTTACACACATGCTTCTGTTTGAACATAGGTTTTAATTTCTCTTGGATAGATAACCTATGAGTGGAATTCCTGAGTCATATGCTAAGATGATGTTGAACTTATTAAGAAACTGCCAAGCTATTTTTCCAAAGAGACTTCATCAATTTACATTCCCACAAGCAATGCAGGAGAGCTTCACTTTTTTCACATCCTCTCCAACACTTGTTATTGTCTTTTTTATTATAACTATTCTTATGGGTGTGCATCATGGTTTTACTTTGCATTTCCCTAATGACTAGCGATGAACATCTTTTCATGTACCTGTTGTCTGTTTGTATAGCTTCTGTGATGAAATGTCTACCCAAATCTTTAGCCCCATTTTAAAATAAAGCTCTTTTTGAAATACTTGTAGATTCATATGTAGGTGTAAAAAATAATACAGAGAGATCCTGTTTACACTTTACTTAGTATCCCCCAATAGCAACATCTTGCATAACTATTGTTATGCAGATTTAACAACCGCAAAATTGACATTGATACAATCCATCTGTTTTATTCAGATTTTCCATCATAGATGTACTCATTTGTGTCTGTGTGTGTGTCCATTTAGCTCTGTGCAATTTTATCAGAGGTATAGGTTCTTATGACCATCACTACAGTCGATACAGAACAATTACATCACCATAAGGATCCCTCCTGTTATATTTTCATAATACTTCTTACCCTCCTCCTTACATTATGTAAATTGTGTTATACTATATGTAATTTTGGGGGCTTAGATTTTTTTCACTCAGCATACTTACACTGAGAATCATCCAAGTTATTGTGTGTATCAGTGGTTATTTTTATTGCTGTGTAATATTCCACAGTATAGATTTACCACAATTTGTTTAGCTATTCACCCACTAAAAGGCATGTGTTGTTTTCAGGCTTCAGATGTTATGAATAAACTGCTATAAAAAAATTGTGCACAGCTTCTTTGCCCTTTAAAAAATTGGGCTATTTGTCTTCTTATGGATTTATAAATGTTCTTTATGCATCCTAGATAGAAGTCCTTTATTACATATATGATGTACAAGTATTTTGTCCCAGTCTTTGGCTTGCCTTTTCTCATGGTTAATGATATCTTTAGAATGGAAAAGTTTTAAATTTTGATCAATTCATCAATTTTTAATCACTTATGCTTCTGATGACATACCTAAGGAATTTTTGGCTAACCCATTATCACAAATATTTGCTCTTATGTTTTCTTCTAAGAGTTTTATTTATTTATTTATTTATTTTTGAGACAGAGTCTTGCTCTGTCACCCAGGCTGGAGTGCAGTGGCACGATCTCGGCTCACTGCAAGGTCCGCCTCCCGGGTTCACACCATTCTCCTGCCTTAGCCTCCCAAGTAGCTGGGACTACAGGCACCCACCACCCTGCCCAGCTAATTTTTTTTTTGTATTTTTAGTAGAGATGGGGTTTCACCATGTTAGCCAGGATGGTCTTGATCTCCTGACCTCGTGATCCCCCTGCCTTGGCCTCCCAAAGTGCTGGGATTACAGGCGTGAGCCACTGTGCCCGGCCGAGTTTTCTTGTTTTAACTCTAATATTCAGGTCTGTGATTCATTCTGAATTAATTTTTTGTGTATGGTATTAAGTAAGGGTCTAAATTTATATTTTTGCATTGTGGTTATGAAATTATTCTAGCACCATTTACTGAAGACTGTCCTGTTTTCATTGAATTGCCTTGATATTGATACAGGAGATAAAAAGAAATTATTTAGGCAAATAGCAAGGGCAAAAGAGTGTCCTCAGCAGAACTTCTTTTCCAACAAAAAGCAGCCCGAGAAATCATTTCTTTTCTGACAAAGGGAAGCCTGGAAGATCGTGCTGCAAACATAGATAAGGAAGCTGGAAGCTTGCACAGGGGATGCCAGCAGCTGTACCTATATTATAGAAAGGGCTACCTGGGGCCAGGCATGTCCACCATGGGGTCTCCACCTTCCCTTTTTTGTTAGCATGTGCACAGTAAGAAAGAAATAAGCAACATGGAGTAGCTCAGGCAGAGGACCCACCTGCATAGTAAAAGATTGGGGTTAGGGCTGCCAGAGATTTGCACCCTATGCAGATGGCACATATGGTCCTAAACGGTTTTTCAGGTCCTATGTCGATCAGATACTGCCTCCCAACTAGCTCATCTATAAAAACCCTTGCATTTCACTGCACGTTGGCAATCCATTTTTCTGGGAACCCTTTCTGTGGTGGACAAATTTCTTTCGCCCATTAAAATTCTGCTCTAAACCTCACCCTTTGTGTGTGTCTGCATCCTTGATCTCTGTGGCCATGAGACCAAGAACGTCAGATGTCACCCCATTCGATGAGGCTGCTTCAATATCTTTGTTGAAAACTGACCATTAATGTTTGGGTTTATTTTGGGACTCTTAATTCTAGTCAATTTTTCTCTACGTCTATCTTCATGCCAGCACCAAATCATCTTGAATATTGTAGCTTTATAGGAAGGTTTTAATTAGAACATTTAAGTCCATCAAATTTACTCTTTTTCAATATTATTTTGGCTATCCTGAGTCTTTGCATTTTCATGTAAATTTTAGGGTCATGTCATCAGTTTCTTTTTAAAAAACCAGCTGGAATTTTGATAGGAATTGCTTTGAATCTGTAGATCAATTTGAGAATGTCATCAACCTCACAATGTTGAAGTTGCACATTGTTTTGCAAAATTCTGGGATAAATTCTAATTGGTCTATATATTTTTTTTCCTTGTGATGTTGGTTTGGCTGTGTTATCAGACTGAGGACTTTCCCTGTTTTCTCTATTTCCTGGGAGAAACTGTGAAGTATTGTTATTTTTCTTCTTTAAACGTTTGATAGAATTCAGCAGGCCTGGGCTTTTCATTGTGGGGTATTTTTTTTATTACTAATTTATTCTTTTTACTTGTAATAGTTCTATTGAGATTTTCTATTTCTTCTTAAGTCAGTTTCAGTATTTTTGTCTTTCTAGGAATTTATTTCATATAAATTGTCTAATTAGTTGGCCTAAAATGTTTTATAGTTTTTCTTGTAATTTTTTTAAAAATTCTGTAAGGTTAGTAGGTAGTTATGTCCCCTTGTTCATTATAAATTTAGTAATTTTGTGTTCTCTTTTTTTTTACTTGTACTGCCTAGCCATAGATTTTTCTATTTCATTCATATAAACCAAGAATAAAATCCTAAGTCCCCCAACCCAATGAACAGACCACCTTTTGGCCAGGGGACCCCAGAGAAACCTGAAAAACTGACCAACAATGACAGAAAGGGAGGTCAGACATGCCTCATTACACCCCATCATTTTGAAGATTAGGCACTACTGACCAGCATTAACATTGAACTAGAGATCATAAGACTGACAAAACACTCTTTGTGGCAATAAGTTACCAAATTCCAACCTGATTCTGATGTAACATCACATGACGGCATATCCTTAAAAAATAAAAATATTTGACCCTAAAGTATATTTCTTTGATGTATTTTGAAATGGTCCTGCAAAACCATCTCTTGTTAGGGAAATTTGCATCTGTACAGAACCTCCATTAATGCAGCTGAGGCTTCCTTTCTAGATCTTTCCAAGATCTAGGAGAGATTAGATGAGAGTCTGACACCATTAAGGTCTGAAAAAAGACATTTACCATCTATTCTCTCTGAAGGGTGCTACCTGGAGACTTCATCTACATAACAAGAGCTTTGGCCTCCATAACCCTTCTTATCTTAACTCAAGCATTTATTTCTACTGACTTCAAGTTTTTTAAAAAAGTTAAACTCTTTCAACCAATTGTCAATCAGAAAATCTTTGAAACCACCCATGACTCCTGAGCCTCCACTTCAAGATATCCTCCCTCTTTAGGCTGTACTAATGTACACCTTCCATGGATTAATTTATGATCTTACATAAAATTCCTGTCTCCCTAAAATCTATAAAACCAAACTGTAACCTGATCACCTCAGGCACCGCTTGAATCTGTTCCCCAGGTCTTGGTCATTCATATTAGCTCTAAATAAACCTTCTTAAAATATTTTACAGGGTTTGGTTTTCCCATTAACGTGTATCTTTTCACAAAATCAACTGTTGGTTTCACTGATTTTCTGTATTATTTTTGTTACCGATTCCTTTGATTTGTCCAGTGTATAGTTTTGTTGTTTGTCCCCTTCAAATCTCATGCTGAAATATAATCCTCAATTTTGGAGGTGAGGCTTGGCAGGAGGTGTTTGTGTCATGAGGGTAGATCCCTCATTAATGACGTGCTGCTCTCCCCACAGTAATGAGTGAGTTCTTGCTGTATCTATTCATGCAAGAGCTGGTTGTTTAAAAGGGCCTGGCACCTCTTGCTCTCACTCTTGCTCCCTCTCTCACCATGTGAAATGCTTGCTGCGCCTTTACCTTCCATCATTAGTAAAAGCTTCCCATAGCCTCACCAGAAACCAAGCAGATGCTGGTGTTATGCATGTACAATCTGGAGAAGTGTAAGCCAAATAAAACTCTTTTCTATATAAATTACCCAGTCTCAGGTATTCCCTATATAGCAATGCAAAATGGACTACTACATAGAGTAGTCTTTATTCTTTTCTTTCTTCTGCTTGCTTTGGGTTAAGTTTGCTCTTCTTTTTCTAGTTTATTAAGGCTGAAACTGAGGTTATTGATTTGAGATCTTTCATATATTTTATGTATATATATATATATATATACTGATATGGTTTGGCTCTGTGTTCCCACCCAAATCTCATCTCAAATTGTAATCCCCTGGTGTTGAGGGAGGATCACCTGGTGAGAGGTGATTGGATCATCGGGGTCGTTTCACCCATGCTGTTCTTCTGATAGTGAGTGAGTTCTCAGGAGATCTGATGGTTTTATGAGGGGCTCTTCCCCCTTTTTCTTATTCTCTCACCTGCTACCATGTAAGACATGTCTGCTTCCTCTTCCACCATGATTGTAAGTTTCCCAAGGCCTTGCCAGCCATGTGGAACTGAGTCAATTAAACCTCTTTCCTTTATAAATTACTCAGTCTTGGGTATGTCTTTATAGCAATGTGAAAATGGACAAATATATGTACTCATTTATTTCCTTCTAGGGACTGATTTAGCTATCTCTGATACATTTTTCCATGTTGCATTTTTCTTTATACCCAGCTCGAAATTTTTGCTAATTTCTCTGATGATTTTTCTTTGCCCTATAGGTTATTATAAATTTGTTTAACTTCCAGATATTTGAAGATTGCCAAAATTTCTAAGTTAATTCCAGTATGGCTTCAGAGCATAAAAGTTATATAATATGGACCCCTTAAAATTTATTGAGACTTTCTTATGACCTATCATATTGTTTAATTTTTAGAAGGTTTTACATGCATTTGGGAAGAATATATATTCTGCTGCTATTGGTTGGAGTATTCTGAAAATATCATTTATGTCTACTTTATATTGCTATGCAAATCTTTTATATCCTTGTAGAATTTCTGTCTCTATTTTTTTGTCCATTACTGAGATTGGGGCATTGAAGTCTCCAGCTATTATTGTTGAATCTTCCATTTCTTTCTTCAATTTTGTTAGTTTTTACTTCATGTAGTATTGGGTGCTCTTGCTAGGTGAAGATATATTTATATTTTCCAATGAATTGATCATTTAATTATTATAAAATACATTTATTTATATCTAGTAATACAGTTGGTCTTAAAGCTCATATTTTTATTTTAGTATACATACTCCAGCTTTGTTATTGTTACTGTTTTCATCAGTTTCCCATCCTTTTCTTTAACATTATTTGTATCTTTGAACCTAAAATGTATCTCCTGTAGGCAGCATACCATTGGATCTTTTATTTTTAAATTGAGTCTCACATTTGCTGAATTTTTATTGGAGGCTTTAATCCATCAAATTTAATATTAATATTGATATGGTTCGATTTCTGCCTGCTTTTTGTTTTCAATACGTCTCGTGTTTTTTTGTTTATTGCTCCTTTACTTTGTTCTTTTGGATTTACTATCTTCCTAATGCACCATTTTAATTTATTTGTGTATTTTTAAACTATCTTTGGTGGTGTTTTCTTCATGGTTCCTCTAGGGATTAAGATATGCATTTTACCATATCACAGTCTATTTCATATTGATGCCAACTCAATTTCAGTAAAATGTAAAAACTTTGTGCCAATATAATTCCATTGCCTCATACCATTTTTTGTGCTATTATTGTCATGTATTATGTATAAATTTGTGTTTAATTAAATAATATACTTTTAATTTTTGCTTTACACAAATTTAATATCTTTCAAAGACATTAAGAAGAAAACACTTTATGAGTCCTATCTATTAATCTAAGTATTAACAATTTTTACTACTCTTTCTACCTGTAGATACAAGTTGGCTTTGGGAGTCTTTTTTTTTTTTTTTTTTTTACTCCAATAAGCTTCATTCCCTCATTATTCTTTTGTTTTATTGTTGTTATATATATCTTTATATGTTATCAGTCCAACAATAAAATATTATAATCGTTATTT
The DNA here is from genome assembly GCF_000001405.40 of Homo sapiens. Classification (NCBI taxonomy): domain Eukaryota; kingdom Metazoa; phylum Chordata; class Mammalia; order Primates; family Hominidae; genus Homo; species Homo sapiens. The sequence goes on along the minus strand of NC_000023.11, from coordinate 73,553,523 downwards.
TATGTAATTTTCTTTTGAATCACATGAGAGAGATAAAGAAAAAATATATACTTATACCATCTTTTATACTTATCACTATAATTACCTCTACAGGTGATCTTTGTTGTTGTTGTTGCTGTTTAAATGTAAATTTGAATTACTATCTAATGTCATTTCCTTTCTTCCTGAAGAATTTTCTTTGGTATTTCTTGTAAGTCTTCTAGCAACAAATTCTCTTTCTTTGCTTATTGTACATGTATTTATATTGCCTACATTTTTTTGAAGAATAGATTTGCTGGATATAGGATATTTGGCTGACTTTTTTTTCTAGTGCTTTGGGTATGTCATTCCATTCCCTCCTGGCCTCAATTACTTCTGATGACAGGTCAATTTTGGATTATATTGTGGTTGCCTTGTACATATTGAGTAGTTTTCCTCTTGTTGCTTTCAAGGTTTTTACTTTGCCTTTGAACAGTGTAACATATGTCTAGATGTGAACCTCTTTGTGCTTATCTTACTTGGAGTTCATGGGAAATTTTCAACCATTATTTGTTCAATTATTTTTTTTCCTACTCAATTTCTCTCTATCTTCTCCTGAGACTCCCATTAAATGTATGATGGCACACTTAATCAGGTCTTGAAGGCTCTGTTCATTTTTTAAATTCCTTTTTCTATTATTCAGATTAGAGAACTTTTATTGATCTATATAAAATTTGGCTGGTTCTTGCTTTGCCTACTCAAATCAGCTGTTAAGCACCTTAGTTACTGTCATTTTCAACTTTAGAATTTCAATTTTTGTAATAATTTCTTTTTTTATTGTCCTGTATTTAGTGATTCCCTTTGTCATACCTTTAATTTTTAAACATGGTTTTTATTAGTTCTTTGAATATATTTACAATAGCTTTATTGCTTTTTTTTTCTTTTTCAACTTTTATTTTAGGTTTGAGGATACACGTGCAGCTTTGTTACATGGGTAAATTGGGAGCCACTAGAGTTTGGTGTATAAATGATTTTGTCACCCAGGTAGTGAGCATAGTACAGTATAGGTAGTTTTTTGACTACTGCTCTCTTCCCAGCCTCCCCACTCAAGTAGGCCCCAGTGTACATTGTTCCCATCTTTGCGTCCATGCATACTCAATGTTTAGCTCCCTCTTATAAGTGAGAATATGCTCTATTTGGTTTTCGGTTTGTGCACTAATTCACTTTGGATAATGGCCTCTAGCTACATCCACGTTGCTGCAAAGGCCATGATTTCAAGGGGTTTTGTGGCTGCATAGTATTCTGTAGTGTATATGTACCACATTTTCTTTATTGATTCCACCATTTATGGACATCTAGGTTGATTCTATGTCTTTGCTGTTGTAAATAGTGCTTCAGTGAACATATGGGTGCATGTGTCTCTTTGGTATAATTATTTATATTCCTTTGGGAATATACCCAATAATGCCATTGCTGAGTCAAGTGGCAGTTCTGTTTTATGTTCTTTGAGAAATCTCCAAACCACTTTCCACAGTGGCTAGACTAATTTACATACCCACCAGCATTGGATAAGCATTTCCTTTTCTTTGCGACCTCACTAAGATCTGTTATTTTCTTAATTTTTAATAATAGCCATTCTGACTGGTGTGAGATAGTATCTCATTGTGGTTTTGATTTGCATTACTCTGATGATTAGTGATGTTGAGCCTTGTTTCATATGCTTGTTGGCCACTTGTATGTCTTATTTTGAGGAGTATCTGTTCATGCCCTTTGAACATTTCTTAAATGGAGTTGGGGTTTCTTTGCTTGTAAATTTGTTTAAGTTCCTTATAGATGGTGGATATTAGACCTTTGTTAGATGTATAGTTTGCAAATATTTCTCCCATTCTGTAGGTTGTCTGTCTACTCTGTTGAAAGTTTCATTTGCTGTGCAGAAGTTCTTCAGTTTATTTAGGTCTCACTTGTCTATTTTTTGTTTTGTTGCAATTGCTTTTCGAAATGTCATTATGAAATCTTTGCCAAGGCCTGTATCCAGAATGGTATTTTCTAGATTTCCTTCTGAGGTTTATGACTTATTTTTAGGTCTTTAATCTATTTTGAGTTGATTTTTGTATACGGTGAAGGTAAGGAGTCCAGATTCAATCTTCTGCATATGGCTAGCCAGTTATCCCAGCATCATTTATTGAATAGAAAGTTCTTTCTCTAGTACTTGTTATTGTCAACTTTGTCAAAGATAGATGTTGTCAGTGTGCAGCCTTTAGTATTTTTGTAGGGTGGATCTGTTGGCAATGAATTCCCTCAGTTTTGTTTGTCTAAGAAAGAATTTCTTTCCACTTTTGAATGATTTTTTTTACATTATGTAGAATTTTGTATTAACTTTTTTTGTCCTTCAATAATTTAAATATATCACTCTATTTTCTTTTTTTTGATAGTTTGAATTTCTTTTTTAAATTATTTTTCTTATTTATTATTTATTTTATTTTAAGTTCTAGGATACGCGGGCATAATGTGCAGGTTTGTTACATAGGGATACATGTGCCATGGTGGTTTACTGCACCTATCAATCTGTCTTCTAGGTTTTAAGCCTCACATGTATTAGGTATTTGTCCTAATGCTTTCCCTCCACTTGGCCCCCACCCCCTGACCAGCCCTGATGTGTGATGTTCTCCTCCCTGTGTCCATGCATTCTCATTGTTCAACTCCCACTTATGAGAACACATGGTATTTGATTTTCTGTTCTTGTGTTAGTTTGCTGAGAATGATGGGTTCCAGCTTCACCCATGTCCCTGAAAAGGACATGAACTCATTCTTTTTTATGGCTGCATAGTGTTCCATGGTGTATATGTGCCACATTTTCTTTATTTGGTCTATCATTGAAGGGCATTTGGGTTGGTTCCAAGCCTTTGCTATTGTAAATAGTGCTGCAATAAACAAACGTATGCATGTATCTGTGTAATAGAATGATTTATAATCCTTTGGGTATATACCCATTAATGGGATTGCTGAGTCAAATGGTATTTCTGGTTCTAGGTCCTTGAGGAATTGCCACACTGTCTTCCACAATGATTGAACTGATTTACACTCTGACCAACAGTGTAAAAGTGTTTCTGTTTCTCCACAGCCTCACCAGCATCTGTCGTTTCCTGACTTTTTAATAATCACCATTATAACTGGAGTGAGATGGTATCTCATTGTGGTTTTGATTTGCCTTTCTTTAATGAACAGTGATGTTGAGCTTTTCTTCATATGTTTGTTGGCCACATGAATGTCTTCTTTTGAGAAGTGTCTGTTCATACCCTGCACCCACTTTTTGATGGTGTTGTTTTTTTTTCTTGTAAATTTGTGTAAGTTCCTTGTAAATTCTGGATATTAGACCTTTGTCAGATGGTTAGATTGCAAAAATGTTCTCCCATTCTGTAGGGTGCCTGTTAACTCTGATGATAGTTTCTTTTGCTATGCAGAAGCTCTTTAATTAGATTCCATTTGTCAGTTTTGGGTTTTGTTGAAATTGGTTTTGGGGTTTTAGTCATGAAGTCTTTGCCCATGCATGTGTCCTGAATGGTATTGCCTAGGTTTTCTTCCAGGATTTTCATGGTTTTGGATTTTATATTTAAGTCTTTAATCCATCTTAATTTTTGTATAAGGTGTAAGGAAGGTGTCCAGTTTCTATTTTCTGCATATGGCTAGCCAGTTATTTCAGCACCATTATTTAATAGGGAATCCTTTCCCCATTACTTGTTTTTGTCAGTTTTGTTGAGGATCAGATTGTTGTAGATGTGTGATGTTATTTCTGAGGTCTCTGTTCTGTTCAATTAATCTATATATCTGTTTTGGTACCAGTACCATGCTGTTTTGGTTACTGCAGACTTGTAGTATAGTTTGAAGTCAGGTAGCGTGATGTCTCCAGCTTTGTTCTTTTTGCTTAGTATTCTCTTGGCTATATGGGCTTCTTTTTGGTTCCATATGAAATTTAATGTAGCTTTTTCACATTGTGCAAAGAAAGTCAATGGTAGCTTGATAGGAATAGCCTTGAATCTATAAATTCCTTTGTGCAGTATGGCATTTTCATGATGTTGATTCTTCCTATCCATGAGCATGGAATGTTTTTCCATTTGTTTGTGTTGTCTCTTATTTCCTTGAGCAGTGGCATGTAGTTCTGCTTTAAGGGGACCTTCACATCCCTTGTAAGTTGTATTCCTAGGAATTTTATTCTTTTTGTAGCAATTGTAAATGGGAGTTCACTCATGATTTGGCTGTCTGCTTGTCTATTGTTGGTATGTAGGAATGCTTGTTATTTTTCCACATTGATTTTTATATCCTGAGACATTGCTGAAGTTGCTTATCAGCTTAAGGAGTTTTTGGGCTTAGACAATGGAGTTTTTAAATATACAATCATGTCATCTGCAAACAGATAATTTAACTTCCTCTCTTACTATTTGAATACCCTTTATTTCTTTCTCTTGCCTGATTGCCCTGGGCAGAACTTCCAATATTATGTTAAATAGGAGTGGTGAGAAAGGGCATCCTTGTCTTGTGCCAGTTTTCAAAGGGAATGCTTGTTGCTTTTGCTCATTCAGTATGATATTGGTTATGGGTTTTTCATAAATAGGTTTTATTATTTTGAGATATGTTCCATCAATACCTAGTTTATGGAGAGCTTTTAGCATGAAGAGATGTTCAATTTTATCAAAGGCCTTTTCTGCATCTATTGAGAAAATCACATGGTTTTTGTCATTGGTTCTGTTTATGTGATGGATTATGTTTATTTATTTGGGTATGTTAAACCAGCCTTGCATCCCAGGGATGAAGCTGACTTGATTGTGGTAGATAAGCTTTTTGATGTGCTGCTGTATTCAGTTTGCCAGTATTTTATTGAGGATTTAACTTCAATGTTCATCAGGGATATTGGCCTGAAATTTTCTTTTTTTGTTGTGTTTCTGCCAGGTTTTGGTGTCAGGAAAATGCTGGCCTCATAAAATGAGTTAAAGAGGAATCCCTATTTTTCTATTGTTTGGAATAGTTTCAGAAAGAATGGTACCAGGTCCTCTTTGTACCTTTGGTAGAATTTGGTGGGATTCCATCTGTTCCTGGGCTTTTTTTTTTTTTTGTTTGGTAGGCTATTAATTACTGCCTCAATTTCAGAACTTGTTATAGTATTCAGGGATTCCACTTCTTCCTGGTTTAGTCATGGGAGGGTGTATGTGTCCAGGAATTTATCCATTTCTTCTCAATTATCTAGTTTATTTGCATAGAGGTGTTTATAGTATTCTCTGATATTAGTTTGTATTTCTGTGGGTCACTGGTGATATCCCCTTTATCATTTTTTATTGTATCTTTGATTCTTCTCTCTTTTCTTCTTTATTAATCTAGCTAGCAGTCTGTCTATTTTGTTAATATTTTCAAAAAACCAGTGCCTGGATTCATTGATTTTTTTGAAGTGTTTTTCATGTCTTTATCTTCTTCAGTTCTGCTCTGATCTTAGTTATTTCTTATCTTCTGTTAGCATTTGAATTTGTTTGCTCTTGCTTCTCTAGTTCTTTTAATTGTGATGTTAGGGTGTCCATTTTAGATCTTTACAGCTTTCTCATGTGGGCATTTAGTATATAAATTTCCCTTTTAACACTGCTTTAGCTGTGTCCCAGAGATTCTGGTACATTGTCTCTTTGTTCTCATTGGTTTCAAAGAACTTTTTGATATCTGCCATAATTTTGTTATTTGCCCAGTGGTCCCTCAGGAGCAGGTGGTTCAATTTTTATGTAGTTGTGCAGTGTTGAGTGAGTTTCTTAATCCTGAGTTCTAATTTGATTGCACTGTGGTCTGAGAGACCCTTTGTTATGATTTCTGCTCTTTTGCATTTCCTGAGGAGTGTGTTACTTCCAATTATGTGATTGATTTTAGAATAAGTGCTGTGTGGCACTGAAAAGAATGTATATTCTGTTTATTTGGGGTGGAGAATTCTGTAGATGTCTATTAGTTCTGCTTAGTCTAGAGCTGAATTCAAGTCCTGAACATTCTTGTTAATTTTCTGTCTCATTGATCTGTCTAATATTGACAGTGGAGAGTTAATGTCTCCCACTATTATTGTGTGGGAGTCTAAGTTCCTTTGAAGGTCTCTAAGAACTAGTTTTATGAATCTGGATGCTACTGTATTGGGTGCATAGATATTTAGTATAGTTAGCTCTTCTTGTTGCATTGATCACTTTACCATTATTTAATGCCCTTCTTTGTCTTTTTTCATTTTTGTTGGTTTAAAGTCTGTTTTATCAGGAACTAGGATTGCAACCCCTGCTTTTTTTTTCCATTTTCTTTGTAAATATTCTGCCATCCCTTTATTTTGAGCCTATGCTTCTCATTGCATGTGAGATGGGTCTCCTGAATACAGCACACCAATGGGTCTTGACTCTTTATCCAATTTGCCAGTCTGTGTCTTTTCACTGGGGCATTTAGCCCATTTACATATAAGATTAATATTGTTATGTGTGAATTTGATTCTGTTATCATGATCCTACTTGGTTATTTTGCTCACTAGTTGATGTGGTTTTTGCATAGTGTCATTGGTCTTTATATTTTGGTGTATTTTTGCAGTGGCTGCTACCAGATTTTCCTTTCCATATTTATTGCTTCCTTCAAAAGATCTTGTAAGGCAGGCCTGGTGGTGACAAATTACCTCAGCATTTACTTGTCTGGAAAGGATTTTATTTCTCCTGTGCTTATGAAGTTTAGTAGGGCTGGATATGAAATTCTGGGTTGAGTATTCTTTTCTTTAAAAATGTTGAATATTGACCCCACTCTTTTCTGGCTGGTAGGGTTTCTGCAGAGATATCTGCCGTTAGTCTGATGGGTTTCCCTTTGTGGGTAACCCAACCTTTCTCTTTGGCTGCCCTTAACATTTTTTTCTCCATTTCAACCTTGTTGAATCTGCCGATTATGTGTCTTGGTGTTGCTCTTCTCGAGGAGTATCTTTTTTTTTTTTATATTTAACTTTAAGTTCTGGGGTACATGTGTAGAACATGCAGTTTTGTAACATAGGTATACACATGTCATGGTAGTTTGCTGCACACATCAACGCATCACCTACATTAGGTATTTCTCCTAATGCTATCCCTCCCCTGACCCCCACCCCTGACAGGCCCTGGTGTGTGATGTTCCTTCCCTGTGTCCATGTGTTCTCATCATTCAACTCCCACTTACGAATGAGAACATGTGGTGTTTGGTTTTCTGTTTTTGTGTTAGTTTGCTGAGAATTATGGTTTTCAGCTTCATCCATGTCCCCACAAAGGACATGAAGTCATTCTTTTTTATGGCTGCATAGTATACCATGGTGTATATGTGCCACATTTTCTTTATCCAGACTATCATTCATCGACATTTGGGTTGGTTCCAAATCTTTGCTATTATGAATAGTGCCGCAGTAAACATACATGTCCATGTGTCTTTATAGTAGAATGATTTATAATCCTTTGGGTATATACCCTGTAGTGAGATTGCTGGGTCAAATGGTATATCTGGTTCTAGATCCTTGAGGAATCGCCACACTGTCTTCCACAATGGTTGAACTAATTTACACTCCCACCAATGGTGTAAAAGCATTCCTATTTCTCCACATCCTCTCCAGTATCTGTTGTTTTCTGACTTTTTAGTGATTGCCATTCTAAATGGTATGAGATGGTATCTCATTGTGGTTTTAATTTGCATTTCTCTAATGACCAGTGATGATGAGCTTTTTTTCATGTTTGCTGGCTGCATAAATGTCTTCTTTTGAGAAGTGTCTGTTCATATCCTTGTCCCACTGTTTGATGGGGTTGTTTTTTTCTTGTAAATATGTTGAAGTTCTTTGTAGATTCTGCATATTAGCCGATTGTCAGACAGACAGATTGCAAAAATTTTCTGTCATTTTGTAGGTTGCCTGTTAATTCTGATGATAGTTTCTCTTGCTGTGCAGAAGCTCTTTAGTTTAATTAGATCTGATTTGTCAATTTTGGCTTTTGTTGCCATTGCTTTTGGTGTTTTAGACATAAAGTTTTTGCTTATGCCTATGTGCTGAATGGTATTGCCTAGGTTTTCTTCTAGAATTTTTATTCTTTTAGGCCTTATGTTTAAGTCTTTAATCCATCTTTAGTTAATTTTTATGTAAGGTGTAAGGAAGGAGTCCATTTTCAGTTTTCTACATATGGCTAGCCAGTTTTCTTAACACCACTTAATAAATAGGGAATCCTTTCCCCATAGCTTGTTTTTGTCATGTTTGTCAAAGATCAGATGGTTGTAGATGTGTGGTTTTATGTCTGAAGCCTCTGTTCTCTTCCATTCATCTATATATCTCTTTTGGTACCAGTGTCAAGCTGTTTTGGTTACTGTAGCCTTGTAGTTTAGTTTGAAGTCAGGTAGCTTGATGCCTCCAGCTTTGTTCTTTTTGCTTAGGATTGTCTTGGCTATACAGGCTCTCTTTTGGTTCCATATGAAGTTTAAAGAAGTTTTTTCCAATTCTGTGAATAAAGTCAATGCTAGCTTGATGGGGAAAGCATTGACTCTATGAATTACTTTGGATAGTATGGCCATTTTCTGGATATTGATTCTTCCTATCCATGAATATGGAATGTCTTTCCATTTATTTGTGTCCTCTCTTATTTCCTTGAGCAGTGCTTTGTAGTTCTCCTTGAAGATGTCCTTCACATCCCATGTAAGTTGTATTCCTAGGTATTTTATTCTCTCTGTAGCAATTGTGAATGGGGGTTCACTCATGATTTGGCTCTCTGTTTGTCTATTATTGGTATATAGGAATGCTTGTGATTTTTCCAGATCGATTTTGTATTCTGAGATTTGCTGAAGTTGCTTATCAGCTTAAGGAGATTTGGGGCTGAGACGGTGGGGCTTTCTAAATATACAGTCATGTCATCTGCAAAGAGAGACAATTTAACTTCCTGTCTTCCTATTTGTATACCATTTATTTCTTTCTCTTCCCTGATTGTCCAGAGAACTTCCAGTACTCTGTTGAATAGGAATGGTGAGAGAGGGCATCCTTGTCTTGTGCCAGTTTTCATAGAGAATGATTTCAGGTTTGCCCATTCAGTATGATATTGGCTGTGGGTTTGTCATAAATAACTCTTATTATTTTGAGAAACATTCCATCAATACCTAGTTTATTGAGAGTTTTTAGCATGTAGGGCTGTTGAATTTCATCTAAGGCCTTTTCTGCATCTATTGAGATAATCATGTGGTTTTTTTCATTGGTTTTGTTTATGTGATGGATTATTTTGTTGATTTATGTATGTTGAACCAGCCTTTCATCCCAGATATGAAGCCAACTTTATGGTGGATAAGCTTTTTGATTTTCTGTTGGATTCAGTTTCCCAGTATTCTATTGAGGATTTTCACATCAATGTTCATCAGGGATATTGGCCTGAAATTTTTCTTTTTAGTTGTGTCTCTGCCAGGTTTTGGTATCAGGATGATGCTGGCCTCATAAAATGAGTTAGGGAGGATTCCCTGTTTTTCTATTGTTTGAAATAGTTTGAGAAGGAATGGTACAAGCTCCTCTTTGTAGCTCTGGTAGAATTTGGCTGTGAATCTGTCTGGTTCTGGACTTTTTTTGGTTGGTAGGCTATTAATTACTACCTCAATTTCAGAACTTGTTATTGGTCTATTCAGGGATTTGACTTCTTTCTGGTTTAGACTTGGGAGGGTGTCCAAGGAATTTATCCATTTCTTCTAGATTTTCTAGTTTATTTGCATAGAGGTGTTTATAGTATTCTCTCGTGGTAGTTTGTATTTCTGTGGGATCTGTGGTGATATCCCCTTTATCATTTTTTAATCATCTATTTGATTCTTTTCTCTTTTCTTCTTTATTAGTCTGGCTAGTGGTCTATCTATTTTGTTGAGCATTTCAAAAAATCAGCGCCTGGATTCATTGACTTTTTGAACAGTTTTTCATGTCTCTATCTCTCTCAGTTCTGTTCTGATCTTAGTTATTTCTTGTCTTCTGCTGGCTCTTGAATTTATTTGCTCTTACTTCTCTAGTTCACTTAATTGTGATATTAAGATGTTGGTTTTAGAGCTTTCCTGATTTCTCTTGTGGGCATTTAGTGTTATAAATTTCTGTCTAAACACTGCTTAAATGTCTCCCAGAGATTCTGGTACGTTGTTTCTTTGTTCTCGTTGGTTTCAGAGAACGTCTTTATTTCTGCCTTCATTTCATTATTTACCCAGTAATCATTCAAGAGCAGGTTGTTCAGTTTCCATGTAGTTGTGTGGTTTTTAGTGAGTTTCTTCATCCTGAGTTTTAATTTGATTGCCCTGTGGTCTGAGAGACTGTTTGTTATGATTTCCGTTCTTCTGCATTTGCTGAGTAGTGTTTTACTTCCATTTATGTTGTCAATTTTAGAATAAGTGCCATGATGTTTTGAGAATGATGTATATTCTGTTGATTTGGGGTGGAGATTTTTTAGATGTCTATTAGGTCCGCTTAGTCCAGAGGTGAGTTCAAGTCCTGAATATTCTTGTTAATTTTGTCTTGTTGATCTGTCTAATATTGAGAATGGGGTGTTAAAGTCTCCCACTATTATTGTGTGAGAGTCTGAGTCTCTTTGTAGTTCTCTAAGAACTTGCTTTATGAATCTGGGTGTTCCTGTATTGGGTGAATATATATTTAGGATAGTTAGTTCTTCTTGATGCACTGATCCCTTTACTATTGTGTAATGCCCTTCTTTGCCTCTTTTGATTTTTGTTGGTTTAAAGTCTGTTTTATCAGATACTAGGATTTCAACCCCTGCTTTTTTTTTTTCTTTTTTTTTTCTTCTTTTTTTTTCTTTTCATTTGCTTGGTAAATATTCCTCCATCCCTTTATTTTGAGTCTATGTGTGTCTTTGCACATGAGATGGGTCTCCTCAATACAGCACACTGATTGGTCTTGACTCTTTATCCAATGTGCCAGTCTGTGTCTTTTAATTGGGGCATTTAGCCCATTTACATTTAAGGTTAATGTTCCTATTCGGCCATCTTGCCAGCAATCCTTGAGGAGTATATTAGTGGTGTTCTCTCTATTTCCTGAATTCGAATTTTGGCCTGTATTGCTATGTTGGGGAAATTCTCCTGGATAATATCCTGAAGAGTGTTTTCCAACTTGGTTCCATTCTCACCATCACTTTCAGGTATATCAATCAAACGTAGGTTTGGTCTTTTCACATAGTCCCATATTTCTTGGAGATTTTGTTTGTTCCTTTTCATTCTTTATTCTCTAATCTTGTCTTCATGCCTCATTTCAGTAAGTTGATGTTCAATCTCTGATATATTTTCTTCTGCCTGATCAATTTGGCTATTGATACTTGTGTATGCTTCACAAAGTTCTTGTGCTGTGTTTTTTAGCTCCATCAGGTCATTTATGTTCCTCTCTAAACTGTTTATTGTAGTTAGCAGTTCCTGTAACCTTTATCAAGCTTCTTAGCTTCCTTGCATTGGGTTAGATGCTCCTTTAGCTCAGAGGAGTTTGTTATTACCCACCTTCTGAAGCCTACTTCTGTCAATTCATCAATCTCATTCTTTGTCAAGTTTTTTGCCCTTGCTGGAGAGGAGTTGCTATCATTTGGAGGAGAAGAGGCATGGTTTTCAGAATTTTCAGTGTTTTTGTCCTGGTTTTTCCTCATCTTCATGGATTTATCTACCTTTGATCTTTGAGGCTGATGACCTTTGGATGGGGTTTTTCTGTGGGGGTCCTTTATATTCACGTTGATGTTTTTGCTTTCTGTTCGTTAGGTTTTCTTCTAACAGTCAGGCCCCTCTTCTGTAAGTCTGCTGCAGTTTGCTGGAGGTCCACTCCAGACCCTGCCCACCTGGGTATTACCAGTGGAGACTGTAGAACAGCAGAGATTGCTGTCTGCTCATTCCTCTGGGAGCTTCATCCCAGAGGGGCACCAGACTGATGTCAGCCAGAGCTCTCCTGTATGAGGTGTTTCTTGACCCCTGTTGGGAGGTGCACCCAGTCAGGAGGCATGAGAACCCACTTGAGGAGGTAGTCTGTCCCTTAGCAGAGCTTGTGCACTGTCCTGGAAGAATCCTTCTTGTCAGAATCAGCTGCTCTCTTCAGATCTGGCAGGCAGGAATGAATAAATCCACCGAACTGCACCCACAGCCACCCCTTCACCCAGGTGCTCTGTCCCAGGGAGATGGGAGTTTATCTGTAAGCCCCTGACTGGGGCTGTTACCTTTCCTTCAGGGATGCCCTTCCCCATGAGGAAGAATCTAGAGATGCAGACTGGCCACAGTCGCTTTGCCACTCTCTGGTGAATTCGCCCAGTCCACACCTCCCAGCCTCCTTAGTACTGTCAGGGGAAAACCGCCTACTCAATCCTCAGTAATGGCAGACGCACCTCCCCCCACCAAACTTGATCTTCCCAGGTTGGCTTCAGACTGCTATGCTGGCAGCGAAAATTTCAAGCCAGTGTTTCTTAGCTTGCTGGACTCCATAGTAGTGAGACCCACTGAACGAGACCACTTGGCTCTCTGGCTTCAGTCCCCTTTTCAGGGGAGTGAACAGTTCCGTCTTGCTGGGGTTCCAGGTGCCAATGGGGTACCAAAAAAATACTCCTGCAGCTAACTTGGTGTCTGCCCAAACAGCTGCCCAGTTTTGTGCTTGAAACCCAGGGCCCTGGTGGTGTAGGTACATGAGGGAGTCTCCTGATCTGCAGATTGCAAAAACCATGGGAAAAGCATAGTAACCCAGCTGGGTAGCACAGTTCCTCATGGCTTCCCTTGCCTGGGGGAGGGTGATCTCCCAGCTTCTTGCAATTTTGGGGTGAAGCTACACCCTACCCTGCTTCTGCTCGCCCACTGTGGGTTGGAACTGCTACCTAACCAGTCCCAATGAGATAAATTTGGTACCTCAGTTGGAAATGCAGAAATCACCTGCCTTCTGTGTTGGTCTCACTGGGAACTGCAGAGCAGAGCTGTTCCTATTTGGTCATCTTGGCCCCTCACCTCTACCTTCTTTTTGCCTGTAGGATTTCTGATAAGAATTCTGCTGTAATTCTCATGTTCTGTAGGTAATGACATTTCTTGTCTGTCTGCTTTCATAATTTTCCTTTGTTTGAATTTCACTAGTTTGAATTTGATACGTTTTGGTGGATTTTTTGCTTGTTTGCTTGACATCTGCCCTGCTTGTCCTCTGTGCTTCTTCAATCTGTGATTTTGTGCCTGACACAGTTTTTATTTTGTCATTATTTTTTCAAATGTTTTTTCTGTCATGTTTTCTTTTTTTGTTTTTTTCTGGGATTACAATTACACATGTTATGCCCATTCAGTATTATCCAACAGCTTTTGGATGTAGTGTTCTGTTTCTTACAGTCTAGTTTTTCCATGTCTGTGTCAGTTTTTGTCATTTCTGTTTACCTGTTCTCAAGTTACCTGATTCTTTCCCTTAACTGTTTCAAGTCTCCCGGTATCTAGCAAAGTCTTCTTTATTTTTGTTATTGCATTTTTGCCTTCTTGAATTTTCATTTGATTCTTTATTATATTTTGGATTTCCCTGTTAGAATTACCTGATTTTGCATGTCCTCTATCTTTTCCATTAGAGTCTTCAGCATATTATGACTATTTTATGTATAATAAATTTTATTCAGCAAATTTACTAAACCTCTTATTAATGATAATAATATATGTGTAGATTTATTGAATTTTTTCTGTTTATTTTTTCTGTCTTTATTGAAGTATACTTGAATATGTGAAGTATACATCACATTCTTATTTTTTGTGCTATGAATACTTAAGATCAACTCTTTTAGCAAATTCCAAATCTATAATACAGTATTTTATAGTTATTATATAGTATTATAGTCGCCATGTTGTACATTAAATCCCTAGAACTTATTTATCCCACATGACTAAACTTTTGTACCCTTTTACTTACAGCTCTCCATTTTTTTACATTGCATTTCTTGGCAAACAGTGTTCTAATCGCTACTTACATGAGTTAAACTTGTTTGTTTATTTATATATTTTTTAAATTTCAGAGATGGGGAGTGCAGTGGCATGATCATAACTCACTGCAACCTTTAACTCCTGGCTCAAGCAATCCTCCTGCCTCACCCTCCCAAGCAGCTCGGACTACAGGGTGTGTGCAACCATGCCCAGCAATTTTTTTTTTTTTAATGGAGACTAGGTCTTGCTATGTTGTCTAGGCTGATCTCCTACTTTTTTCCTTAAGCAATCCTTCCATCTTGGCCTCCCAACACTCTGGGATTACATGTATGAGTCACCACACCTAGCCAACTCAAGTTTTTTAGAATCCACATATAAGGGAGACATTGCAATATTTATCTTTTGGTGTCTGGCTTATTTCACTTCACGTAATATCCTCCTAGTTTATCTACATTGTCACAAATGACAGAATTTTCTTCTTTTTAAGGCTAGATAATATTCCGTGTGTGTGTGTGTGTGTGTGTTGTGTGTGTGTGTGTATGTATACTTTAGAAATCCATTTATTTGACAAACACTTAGGTTGTTTCTATATTTTGGCTATTGTGAATAATGTTGCAATGGACCAGGGGGTGCTGATATCACTTCAAGATACTGATTTTATTTCCCTTGTATATATATCCAGAAATGGAAATGATGGATAGTATGGTAGTTCTCTTTTTAAGTTTTTGAGGAATCTCTATATTGTTTTCCATAATGACTGTACCAATTTATACTCCTGTCAACAGTATACTAGGGTTCCTCTTTCCCCACATTTTCACCAACACATTTATTTATTTATTTTCTGAGATGAAGTTTCACTCTGTCACCCAGGCTGGAGTGCAGTGGTGTTAGCTCACTACAACCTCTGCCTCCTGGGTTCCAGTGATTCTCCTGCCTCAGCCTCCCAAGTAGCTGGGATTACAGGCTTGTACCACCATGCCTGGCTAATTTTTGTATTTTTAGTAGAGATGAGGTTTCACTGTGTTGGCCAGGCTGGTCTTGAACTTCTGGCCTCAAGTGATCCACCTGCCCAGGCTTCCCAAAGTGCTACTATTACAGGTGTGAGCCACCAAGCCCAGCCTCTTTTGTCTTTTTGATAATAGCCATTCTAACAGATTTGATATTGTCATTATTGTTTTGATTTACATTTCCCTGGTGATTAGTGATATTGAGCACATTTTCATATACCTGTTAGCCATTTGTATGTCTTCTTTTAAAAAATGTCTATTCAAGTCCTATTGTAGTTCACTGAGCTTTCTTGAAACAATTGTTTTGATTTCTTTGTTAGTCAATTTGTAAATCTTCCTTTATTTGAGATTGATTTCTAAAATTTTACTAATTTCTTCTTGTAGTGTCTTATTCACCTGATTCTTTGGTGATCTATGCAGTCTCTGCACTTGAAGGAGCAAATACCTCTCCGTGTCTTTGCAGACTGGTTTTAGCAAGTACAGACATTTTCTCACTGGTCCCAGATTGATGGGACTGACTCCAGAATGGCAGCTGAGTGAGGGTGGAGTCAGATCAATTGGCTGCTACTGGTCCACATTTGGGTCTAAGCAGGACTGTTGTGGGAATATAGGTGTGTGTTATTCCTGTTGGATCCTGAGGCAAATAGGACTATTTCTGGAACCATGGTTAAGCAGAGCTGGAGCCAAGTCACAGGGCTGCTTTTTTGTTCCACTCAAGTGGGCAGATGGCAGGCCTTCTACTTGGGGCAGAAATGGGTCTCACTGGGTCCCTGAATGGTCTCCTGCTGGGTCCCTGAGTGGGTCTCAGGGTTGGCAGTACTGCTTCCAGACCACAGCAGAGTGGGGGCTGGAGCCAGGTCACTGGTCTGCCTCAGTGACTGCAGCTGGGTCTGAAATTAGTGGGCTTATTATTAGGGACATGATCAGGCATGTGTTCCACAGGTTTCCTTTGTGGGCAAAACTGACACCAGGCTATGGGATAGTGGGCCTGGAGCCACATTTATAGGGAAATGCGGCTGCTTTTAGTCTGCAGCTGGGACCACATTAGTGACCCTGACTCTTGGGTGTGGGTTTTCATCTCAAAGTGGCTCTCAGGCTTGGGCTTCACCAGTGTTTTCCAATCTTCTACCCGGATCTGAAAGATTCCATAAGGCAGTTTTGTCCATAGATGGCTGCCAGATCATTATTTGTGTGGGACCACATGACCTGGAGACCTCCTATTCTGCCATCTTCCTCCTATTTTTAATCATAATTATTTTAAATTTGCCTTCCAATAGTTCTAACATCTGTGTCATATCTGAATCTCATTCTGATCTTTACTTTGTCTCTTCAGACTGTCTTTCTTGCCTTTGGTGTACCTCATAACTTTTTAGTGAAAACTGGAGATTTGTAGTGGTCACTAGATATTGTAATAAGTATGTTTTATGCTTGGAGAATACATTTCCTTCTGCTATGCTTTTAGTATGGCACATTTTGTTAATTAATTAGAAATTAGTCTGCATTTAAAGTTTGTCGTTGCTATTTACCAGAGTTGAAGTGTGTTATTGCTATGGTAACAGGAGACTTCAAATTTTTCTAGTGATACCATTTTTTTTCTCCCTTCTAGTGATAACTTATTTTTCCCTTTGGATTTTTCTTTTGTGCTGTACTGCAGAAAAATTCTGTGTTTTGTAGTTCTCCCGGCTGTGCTTCCCTGTTAGTTTGGCTCAGGGCATTTTAGTGTGGTGTTTGGGGTGGAGGGAAGGGGGCATTCTTCATTGTTGTGAATAAGCCTAAGTCTTTGCAAAGCACTATAGACCTGAATCACAGTGTTGGCCTTCATAAATATTTCTGTTCTCTTCCATAGGTAGAACTTTGTTCTCCAGTTCCCTTCCCTCAGTTTCAGTGTATATCCACCAGTGTCCATAGGCCATGGTTTTGGGAACCTTCTTCCTTAAGATTAAAAATTTTGTTTCTTTAGTGAGATAGGAAAGAAAAATCTGGGTAGAGTTTTATGATAGCCTCTGTTCTCTTTCCTCAGCTGCAATGGGAATTCATTAGTAAGCTCAAGGTAAAAATTTTTATTAATTTTAAAGATTTTTTTATTTGCCTTTAGTATTTTAACATTTTACTTGGTTGTGTCTAGGTGTGGGTATTATGTATTTATCCTGCTTGAATTGTGTAGGGATTCTTTAATCTGTGGCTTTTTATCTTCTTTTAATTTTGACAATTCTTAACCATTGTTTTCTCCAAATCTGCTTCTCTCCTCTTCTTTTTCTTCTATCTTTTTGGATATACATTATACATAGACTTTTCCTGCTCTGTCCACTATGTATCTTGCTGCTCTTTTTGATACATTATTTTTTTTTTCAATTTGAAAGCATTCACTGTTTATTAACTGACTGGATTACAGAAACTATCGTGGTGGACACCTTAGTTCATCCATCTGATAGGCCTGTTGCTCTGCTCTTTCCTGTTGGTCATCTCCACTTTCTACAAAATGGATGGTCTTTTTCTTCATTCCACCTCATAGAGAGAATAATTTGAAGGACCAAAAGAAGCAATTTGCTTCTTTGAAGCATTTTCTGAGAGTATAGATCTCATGAATCAGATTTGCTGTGCAGATGATGCTATATTTACCAAGAGACCGAGCAATCAAAGTGTTATTTGTCAAGGCAATTTGCTTCTTAGTGATTTTGCCATAACCACACTTGTAGATTAGTTTATTTACTGACTTCAGGTTTGGGTACCCCTATGCAATATATGGTTCTACAGTCTTCAGCATGTTAATTGAAGCCCTGTTGAACTTAACAAAGTTTCAATTGAAGATCCGACAAAGGTGAAGAAACTGCAACACCTTTTGGATCTTTGGGCTCACACCATTGACACCTCTGATCCTAATGACAAGTGTCAATTTGGGTTCTGCAGGTTGGTAGACATTGCCAGCTTTTCTTGCCATCCTAGCCATTCAAATCTCAGTTCTGTACATCTGCCTATATTACTTGTGATAGTGCTTAGCTTTTTCATATATAAGCTTCCTCCTTGCCTTTAGAAGCATCTTTTGGGAAACTTTTCTCAGGCGCTTGATCTTCAGTTCTGTGAAATTTCTTCCCTTTTCCTTAAAGCTTTCTGGCACAGCAGGAACCTTATTATTCTCTTCAACACCCTCCACAGTTCCAGCCAGAAAAGACTTCATCCCTTTGTCTCTCAGAGTTTTATTCTTGATATTTTTGTCTGCCTTACTCTGTGATTATTTCTATGATTTATTGTTTTTCTTCCTATTTGATCATGTCATCTTTTTCTTCAAATGCCTTATTTATTGAGTGCTGAACACTGTAGATGATAAGTTATAGAGATAACTTGAGGCCAAGCATAATGTTGTCTTCATTCAGAGAGGGTTTATATTTCTTTATATGTAATAGCTAGGGGCACTAGATAACGCTTAGAGATAAAATAGATTATATGTATTCAATCATAGTTTGAGAGAGTTCCCATCTGAGCTTAATTAAGTTCATGTGAGGAATAGGATATTTCCTGTTCATTCTTATTTCTACAATCATTTCAGATCCTAAAGTATTTACCAGCACTTTACTCACATTGGTAGTACCTAAACTCGAATTTTTTTTTGTACAGTCCCAATGAGTGTATAAAAATTTCTGCTCAGTTCCTTAGGCTGTTAGCAATCTCTTCTACCACAGTTTATTTATTTGTACACCTGTTGCTATACATTTGCTTTTCTTCCACTTGTGTTTTGCTATTATAAAAGAAGATATATGCACTTATTCTTAAAAATTGTATATTATAGAAAATATTAATCACATACTGTGTTAGCCAATTTGCATTGCTTTAGTGGAATACCTGAGACTTGGTAATTTATACAGAAAAGAGATTTAATTGGCCATGGTTTTGCAGGCTGTACAGGAAGCATGGTTCTGGCATCTGCATAGCTTCTTGTGAGGCCTCAGGGAGGTTTTACTCATGGCAGAAGGTGAAGCAGGATGTATTAGTCTGTTCTTATATTGTTATAAAGAAATACCTGAAACTGGGTAATTTATTAAGAAAAGAGGTTTAACATGCTCATGGTTCTACAGGCTGTACGGGATGCATAAGGCTTCTGCTTTTGGGGAGGCCTCAGGAAGCTTCCAATCATGGTGCAAGGCAAAGGAGGTGCAAGGCAAAGGAGGAGCAAGGTGGCAGGAAGAGGAATAAAGGAGAGAGCTGGGGGGAGGTGCTACACACTTTCAAACAACCAGGTTATGTGAGAACTCACTATCATGAGAATAGCACCAAGGGTATGGAGCTAAACCATTCATAAAAAATCTACCCCCATAATACAGTCACCTCCCACCAGGCCCCACCTCTAACACTGGGGATTACAATTGAACATGAGATTTGGGTGGGGAGAGAGATGCAAACCATATCATGGAAGTAACATGTCACATAGCAAGAGCAGGAGCAAGATAGAGGGGGGAGGTGCCATACTATTTTAAACAATCAGTTGTCACATGAACTCAGAGTGAGAATACACTCATTATTGTGAGGATAGGATCAAGGCATTCATGAGGGATCCACCCTTATGACAAAAACACCTCCCACCACGGCTCACTTCCAACATTAGAGATTACATTTCAACATGAGATTTGGAGAGGAAAAATATCCAAACCATATCATTCGACCCCTAGCCCCCAGATCTCATGTTCTTCTCACATTGCAAAATATAATGACTTTCACTCACGTCTGTGCGAAGAGACCATCAAACAGGCTTTGTGTGAGCAACAAGGCTGTTTATTTCACCTGGCTGCAGGCAGGCTGAGTCTGAAAAGAGAGTCAGTGGAGGGAGATAGGGGTGGGGCCATTTTATAAGATTTGAGTAGGTAAAGAAAAATTACAGTCAAAGGGGGTTGTTCTCTGGTGGGCAGGGGTGGGGGTCACAAGGTGCTCAGTGGGGGAGCTGTTGAGCCAGGATGAGCCAGGCGAAGGAATTTCACAAGGTAACATCATCAGTTAAGGCAGGAACAGGCCATTTTCACTTCTTTTGTGATTCTTCAGTTACTTCAGGCCATCTGGATGTATATGTGCAGGTCACAGGGGATATGATGGCTTAGCTTGGGCTCAGAGGCCTGACATTCCTGTCTTCTTAGATTAATAAGAAAAATAAAATGAAATAGTGGTAAAGTGTTGGGGCAGTGAAAATTTTTGGGGGTGGTATGGAGAGATAATGGGTGATGTTTCTCAGGGCTGCTTTGAGCGGGATTAGGGGCAGGGTGGGAACCTAGAGTGGGAGAGATTAAGCTGAAGGAAGATTTTGTGGTAAGGGGTGATATTGTGCGGTTGTTAGAAGAAACATTTGTCATATAGAATTATTGGTGATGGCATGGATATGGTTTTGTATGAATTGAAAAACTAAACAGAATAAAAGAAGGAGAAAAACAGGTATTAAAGGACTAAGAATTGGGAGGACCCAGGACATCCAATTAGAGAGTGCCTAAGGAGGTTCAGCATAGCCCTGCCAACAAAGATTATTTATTTACTTTAAGAGTTAAGAGTGGCAGTTTGGGGATAGCACCAGGAGATATCAACTGTGATGGCTTGGAGAAACAGTGTAAACTGGCAGTGTAAGCAAGAGCAGGGCATTTATGAGTATTTGAGAATGGTGAAAGGAGTATGGCTAGACAGAAGATAGTAGGGATGACAAGTTTTTTGGGGCACAGTCCAAGTTGGTCTGGTGTCTGGAATGAGACTTGGGCCTAATAAAAAGGAGCATCCATACAGGAGCTCAAATGGGCTATACCCTGCAGCATTCCAAGGACAGGCGCAAATTCTGAGAAGGGAAAGTGGTAAAAGTATTGTCCAGTCCTTTTTAAGTTCATGGCTGATCTTGGTGAGGTGTGTTTTTAAAAGACCATTAGTTCACTGAATACCAAGAGCCTGAGAAACTGCTTGGGTGATTTGACTAATAAAGGCTGGTCCATTATCAGACTGTATAGAGGTGGGAAGGCCAAATCAAGGAATTATGTCTGACAGAAGGGAAGAAATGACTGTGGTGGCCTTCTCAGACCCTGTGGAAAAGGCCTCTACCCATCCAGTGAAAATGTCTACCTAGACCAAGAGGTATTTTAGTTTCCTGACACAGGCATGTGAGTAAAGTCAATTTGCCAGTCCTAGGCAGGGGCAAATCCCGGAGCTTGATGTGTAGGGAAGGGAGGGGGCCTGAGAAATTCCTGAGGAGTGGTAGAATAGCAGATGGAACACTGAGAAGTGATTTCCTTGAGGACAGATTTCCATGATGGAAAGGAAATGAGAGATACTAAGAGGCAGGCTAGTGGCTTGTAACCTACATGGAAGAGGTTATGAAATGACAACAGAATAGAATGGACCTGTGAGGCTGGAAGGAGGTATTTTCCTTGATCCAAGAACCATTTCCCTTCTGTGGGAAGAGATTGATAGGTGGAAGTTTCAGTGGGGGAATAGGTGGGAGTGGCCAGATGAGAAGGAGAAAAACTGCCGTAAGGGATAAAAGTTGGAAGGCTAGCTGCTTTTTTAGCTACCTTATCAGCATAAGCATTGCCCTGAGTGATGGGATCTGATGCCTTTTGATGGCTGCTTTTTTAGCTACCTTATCAGCATAAGCATTGTCCTGAGCGATGGGATCTGATGCCTTTTGATGGCCTTTACAGTGAATGATTCCATCTTCCTTTGGAAGTAAAGCAGTTTTGAGAAGCGTTTTTATTAAAGAGGCATTAATGATGGAGGACCCTTGCATAGTGAGGAAACCTCTTTCAGCCCATATAACAGCATGGTGGTGCAGGATATGGAAGGCATATTTAGAGTCAGTGTAAATATTGATGCGTAGTCCCTTTGCAAGAGTGAGGGCTCCAGTTAAGGCAATGAGTTTGGCTTGTTGAGAGGTAGTGGAGGGGGGCAGAGTGGTGCCTCAATGATAGGTGTGGAAGATACTGTAGCATCACCTGCCTTTGCTGGTGAGTGGCGATTAGGCCTGGTGGAACTGCCATCAATAAACCAAGTGTGTTCAGGGTGAGGAACAGGAAAGAAGTAAATATGGGGAAATGGAGTGAATGTTGGGTGGATCAGAGAGATACAGTCATGGGGGTCAGGTGTGGTATCAGGAATAATGTGGGAGGCCAGATTGAAGTCCGGGCCAGGAACAATGGTAATTGTGGGAGACTCAACAAAGAGTGAGTATAGCTGAAGGAGCCAGGGAGCAGAAAGTATATGCGTCAGGTGGGAGGAAGAAAATAGATTTTGGAAGTTATGAGAACTGTAGAGAGTGAGTTGAGCATAGTTTGTGATTTTGAGGGCCTCTAAAAGTATTAAGGCAGTGGCAGCCACTCCACACCAACATGAGGGCTAGGCTAAAACAATAAGGTCAAGTTGTTTGGACAGAAAGGCTACAGGGCACAGTCCCAGCTCTTGTGTAAGAATTCTGACCATATTAACCATGCCTAGGAAGGAAAGGAGTTGTTGTTTTGTAGAAGGGATTGGGGTTTGGGAGATTAGTTGGACATGATCAGCAGGGAGAGCACGTGTGTTTTTATGAAGAATTATGTCAAGATAGGTAATGGATGAGGAATAAATTTGGGCTTGACTGAAGTAATGGGGGCTGTCTGTGAAGCCTTGAGGCAGTACAGCCCAGGTAATTTGCTGAGCCTGATGGGTGTCAGGGTCAGTCTAAGTGAAAGTGAAGGGAGGCTGGGATGAAGGGTGCAAAGGAATAGTAAAGAAAGCATGTTTGAGATCCAGAACAGAATAATGGGTTGTGGAGGGAGGTATTGAGGATAGGAGAGTATATGGGTTTGGCACTATGGAGTGGATAGGCAAGACAATTTGGTTGATAAGGGGCAGATCCTGAACTAACCTGTAAGGCTTGTCTGGTTTTTGGACAGGTAAAATGGGGGAATTGTAAAGAGAGTTTATAGGCCTTAAAAGGCCATGCTGTAACAGGCAAGTGATAACAGGCTTTAATCCTTTTAAAACATGCTTTGGGATGGGATATTGGCATTGAGCGGGTTAAGGGTGATTAGGTTTTAATGGGATAGTAATGGGTGTGTGATTGGTTGCCAGGGAGGGAGTAGAGGTGTCCCATATTTGTGGGTTAAGGTGGGGAGATACAAGGGGAGGATGTGAAGGAGGCTTTGAACTGGGGAAAAGGGCAGCAATGAGGTGTGGCTGTAGCCTAGGAATAGTCAGGGAAGCAGATAATTTAGTTAAAATGTTTCAGCCTAATAAGGGAACTAGGCAGGTGGTGATAACTAAAAAGGAGTGCATAAAAGAACACTGTCCAAGTTGTCTCTAGAGTTGGGGAGTTTTAAGAGGTTTAGAAGCCTGGCTGTCAATACCCACAACAGTTATGGAGGCAAGGGAAACAGGCCCTTGAAAAGAAGGTAACGTGGAGTGGGTAGCCTCCATAATGATTAAGATTAAGAAGGGGATGGACTTACCCTCCACTGTGAGAGTTACCCGAAGCTTGGCATCTGTGATGGTCTAAGGGGCTTCCAAGGCGATTGGGAAGCATCAGTCTTCAGCCACTAAGCCAAGAAGACCTGGGAAGGAGTCAGTCAGAGAGCCTTGGGCCAGAGTTCCAGGGGCTCTGGGAGTGGCTGCCAGGTGAGTTGAACAGTCTGATTTTCAGTGGGGTCCTGCACAGATGGGATGTGGCTTAGCAGGAATCCTGGGCTGCAGGCATTCCTTCGCCCAGTGGCCAGATTTCTGGCACTTGTAGCAAGCTCCTGGGGGAGGATGTCCTGGAGGAACTCCTGGCAGCTGCGGTTCAGGCGTTTGGAGTTCTTGTGTGCTGGAGATATGGCTGGGGTTTGTCTCACAATGGAGGCAAGGAATTGCAACTCAGAAACACATTGCTACTTGGCTGCCTCTACTCTATTATTGTACACCTTTAAGGTGAGGTTAATTAAGTCCTGTTGTGGAGCTTGAGGGCTGGAATTTAATTTTTGGAGCTTTATTCTAATTTCAGGAGCTGACTGGGTGATAAAATGCATATTTAGAATGAGACAGCCTTCTGACCCTTCAGGGTCTAGGGCTGTAAAGGGTCTAAGGGTTGCTGCCAAATGGGCCATGAACTGGGCTAGGTTTTTCATATTTGATGAAAAAGAGCCTAAACGCTAACTGATTTCAGAGAGGTTGGATAAAGAAAAAGGAGCATTAACCTTGACTATGCCTTTAGCTCCAGGCAACTTTTTAAGAGGAAATTGCTGGGCAGGTGGGGGAGGGCTAGTTGCGGAACGAAACTGTAAGGCAGACCGGGTGTGAGGAGGGGAGGTGATAAAAGGATTATAGGGTGGGGGAGCGGAGGCTGAGGAAGAATTGGGACCTAGCTTGGCCTGGCGAGGAGCAGCTTAGGGAGGAGGGGAGAGGTCAGATGGGTCCATAAAAAAGGAAGATTGGAAAGACTCAGCGATGCTTGGGGTTGGGACTGAGGGGACAAGCAGGAGGGAAAGAATGAAGATTTGGGATGAGTTGCATTGGGAACAGAGACTAGGGAGGGACCGATGTGTAAAAGAATGCCTGGACATCAGGCACCTCAGACCGTTTGCCCATTTTACGACAAGAATTATTTAGGTCTTGTAGGATGGAGAAATCGAAAGTGCCGTTTTCTGGCCATTTAGAGCCATTATCGAGTTTGTATTGGGGTTAAGCGGCATTGCAGAAGAAAATAAGGCATTTAGGTTTTAGGTCAGTGTGAGTTAAAGAGGTTTTAAGTTCTTGAGAATACAGGCTAAGGGAGAAGAAGGAGGAATGGAGGGTGGTTGCCTATAATGAAGGAGACAAGTCCAGAGAAAAGAGAGGGTAGCATGGAGAGAAGGGGTGGGGGGTGCTTGCCCCCCTGGAAAGTGGAGAGAAAAGAGAGGGTAGAGACACAGAGAGAAGGGGTGGGGGGGGTGCTTCCCCCCAGGAAAGTGGACAAGGGGTGGGGAAATGGAGAGAAGGAGTGGGGGGTGCTTGCCCCCCAGGAAAGTGGAGAAGGGATGGGAGGTGCTTGCCCACCAGGAAAGTGGAAAATGGGTAGAGACATCTAGAGAAGGGGTTGGGGGGGGTGCTTGCCCCCCAGAAAAGCAGTGATTGCTGCTAAGGGTGAAGGACCAAGGCAGGCATCCCTGCATGGTCAGACAGCTCTGAAACGTGGGTGAATAATCAAGCAGGCATCCCCATATGATTAAACACCAAGGGAAGACTGTCTTCCTGAGTCCGTGATTGGTGCCAGAGTTTTGGGTTCATGGATAAAATGCATCTCCTGTCTCTACCAGAAAAGGAAAGGAACTGAAATTAAGAGAAGGGAGAGACTGAAGTGTGGCACCAAGATTGAAAGGAGAAAGAGGTTGAGGGATAGTGAGAGAGGTTGGAGAAGAGAGTAAAAAGAGGCTGCTTACCCAATTTAAAATTGGTGAGATGTTCCTTGGGCTGGTTGGTCTGAGGACCCGTGGTCGTAGGTGGATCTTTCTCACGGAGCAAAGAGCAGGAGGACAGGGGATTGATCTCCCAAGGGAAGTCCCCCAGTCTGAGTCATGGCACCAAATTTCACTTGCATCCCTGTGAAGAGACCACCAAACAGGCTTTGTGTGAGCAACAAGGCTGTTTATTTCACCTGGGTGCAGGCGGGCCGAGTCCAAAAAGAGAGTCAGGGAAGGGAGATGGGGTGGGGCCGTTTTATAAGATTTGGGTAGGTAAAGGAAAACTACAGTCAAGGCTGGGCGCGGTGGCTCATGCCTGTAATCCCAGCACTTTGGGAGGCCGAGGTGGGCAGATCAAGAGATCAGGAGTTTGAGACCAGCCTGACTAACATAGTGAAACCCTGTCTCTACTAAAAATGCACACATACACACAAATTAGCCAGGCATGGTGGCAGGCACCTATAGTCCCAGCTGCTTGGGCGGCTGAGGCAGGAGAATGGCATGAATCCAGGAGGCGGAGGTTGCAGTGAGCCAAGTCGCGCCACTGCACTCCAGCCTGGGTGACAGAGCCAGACTCCATCTCAAAAAAAAAAAAAAAAGAAAAAGAAAATTACAGTCAAAGGAGGTTGTTCTCTGGCAGGCAGGGATGGGGGTCACAAGGTGCTCAGTGGGAGAGCTTTTGAGCCAGGATGAGCCAGGAGAAGGAATTTTACAAGGTAATGTCATCAGTTAAGGTGGGAACAGGCCATTTTCACTTCTTTTGTGATTCTTCAGTTACTTCAGGCCATCCGGATGTATATGTGCAGGTCACAGGGGATATGATGGCTTAGCTTGGGCTCAAAGGCCTGACAATGATCCCTTCTCAGTTGTCCCCCCAAGTCTTAACTTGTTTCAGCCCCAACTCAAAAGTTCCCAAGTCCAATTTCCAAAGCCTCATCTGAGACTCAAGTTCCTTCCATCTATGAACCTGTAGAATCAAAATCAAGTTATTTACTCCCAAGATATAATGGTGGTACTGGCATTGGGTAAACATCCAATTCCAAAAGAGAGAATTCAGCCAAGAGAAAGGGCTAATAGGCCTCACACAAGTCTTAAACCCAACAGGATACTCATTAACTCTTAAAGCTCCAAAATAATCTCATTTGACTTGATGTCCTGCATCCAGGGCACACTGGTGTGAGGAGAGGACTTCTAAAGCCATGGGTAGCTCTGCTTCTATGGAATTGCTGAATCCAGCTGACATGGCTGCCCTGATGGGTTGGAGTCCAGTGCTTATGACTTTTTCAGGCTGAGGGTGCAAGCTGCCCTTACCTCCGTTATTCTTGGGTCTAGAGGATGGCAGCCCCCTCTCACAGCTCCATTAGGCAGTGACCTGGTGGAGAGTCTGTATTGGAACTGCAATGTCACATTTCCCCTCAGCACTGCCCTAGTAGAGACACTCTGTTGTAGCTCCATTTCTGTGGCAAGTTTCTGCCTGGGTACCCATGCTTTCTCATACAACCTTTGAAATTTTAGGTGGAAGTTGCCAAGCCTCCTTTACTCTTGCATTCTTTGTGTCCACAGGCTTAACACCACATGGAAGCTGCTGGTTTACAGCTTGTGCCCTCTGAAGCAGTGTCCTGGACCCCTTTGAGCCAAGGCTGGAGCCAGAGCAGCCAGGATATGAAGAGCAGTGTCCTGAGGCTGTGTAGTATAGCACAGCCCAGGGCTTGGCCCTGAAACCATTATTTCCTGGTAGACCTCTGGGCTGTCCCAAAGACTTCTGAAATGCCTCCTAGTCTTTTTTTTCCCTCATTGTCTTGGATATTAGCACTTGGCTCCCTTTTAGTAATGCTAATCTCTCTAGCAAGTGATTGCTCTACAGTCTGCTTGGATTCTTTCTTTACCACAGGGCTAAGATGCACATTTTCTGAACTTATGCTCTACTTTCCTTTTAAATATAAGTACCAACTTCGTCATTTATTTGCTCCTATATCTGATAATATGCTGTTATAAGCAACCAGGCTACATCTTGAATGCTTTCCTGCTTAGAAATTTCTTGTACCAGGGCTGCATTGCAGCCGCCACGGCGTCGCTTGGCTCCTCACTCCCAACAATGGCAGCTCCGAGACTGAGCGGCGGCTGCGGCTCCGGGGGCAGCAGCGGCAGCCTCACCCCGGGACCTGTAGGATCCCTGAAGCCAGGCCACCCAGCCATCAGCAGCATGCAGGGTAAACGCAAAGCACTGAAGTTGAATTTTGCAAATCCACCTTTCAAATCTACAGCAAGGTTTACTCTGAATCCCAATCCTACAGGAGTTCAAAACCCACACATAGAGAGACTGAGATCACACAGCATTGAGTCATCAGGAAAACTGAAGATCTCCCCTGAACAACACTGGGATTTCACTGCAGAGGACTTGAAAGACCTTGGAGAAATTGGATGAGGAGTTTATGGTTCTGCCAACAAAATGGTCCACAAACCAAGTGGGCAAATAATGGCAGTTAAAAGAATTCGGTCAACAGTGAATGAAAAAGAACAAAAACAACCTCTTACGGATTTGGATGAAGTAATGCAGAGTAGTGATTGCCCTTACATTGTTCAGTTTTATGATGCACTCTACAGACAGGGTGACTGTTGGACCTGTATGGAACTCATGTCTATCTCGTTTGATAAGTTTTACAAATATGTGTATAGTGTATTAGATGATGTTATTCCAGAAGAAATTTTAGGCAGAATCACTTTAGCATCTGTGAAAGCATTAAATCACTTAAAAGAAAACTTGAAAATTATTCACAGAGATATCAAACCTTCCAATATTCTTCTGGACAGAAGTGAAAATATTAAACTCTGTGACTTTGGCATCAGTGGGCAGCTTGTGGACTCTATTGCCAAGACAGAAGATGCTGGCTGTAGGCCATACATGGCACCTGAAAGAATAGACCCAAGTGCATCATGACAAGCATATGATGTCTGCTCTGATGTCTGGAGTTTGGGGATCACATTGTGTGAGTTGGCCACGGGCTGATTTCCTTATCCAAAGTGGAATAGTGTATTTGATCAACTAACACAAGTCGTGAAAGGAGATCCTCCGCAGCTGAGTAATTCTGAGGAAAACGAATTCTCCCCAAGTTTCATCAACTTTGTCAACTTGTGCCTTACGAAGGATGAATCCAAAAGACCACAGCATAAAGAGCTTCTGAAACATCTTTTTATTTTGATTTATGAAGAACGTACCATTGAAGTCGCATGCTATGTTTTGTCAAATCCTGGATCAAATGCCAGCTACTCCCAGCTTTCCCATGTATGTTGTTTGATATCGCTGCTACATCAGACTAAAAAAAAGGGCTGAGAGGAAGCAAAAGGTAAAGAATTTTCATCCCTATCACAGTGTTTTTATTGCTCACCCAGACACCATGTGCAATGACATTGGTGTTCATTTCCATCATGTCTACATATTCCTGTCACCTAGAACGTGCATCCTGGTAATACCTGATTGATCACACAGTGTTAGTGCTGGTCAGAGAGACCTCATCCTGCTCTTTTGTGATGAACATATTCATGAAATGTAGAAGTCAGTATGATCAAGTTGTTGACTGTGATTAGATCACATCTTATATTCATTTATAGACTCCAAACCTGGAGATGCAGCTACTGGAATGGTGTTTTATCAGACTTCCAAATCCTGGAAGGACACGGTGATGGATGTACTATGTCTGAACATAGAGACTCAGGCTTGAGTGAGAAGAGCTTGCACAGCCAACGAGACACATTGCCTTCTGGAGCTAGGAGACAAAGGAGGAATTTACTTTCTTCACCAAGTGCAATAGATTTACTGATGTGATATTCTGTTGCTTTACAGTTACAGTTGATGTTTGGGGATTGATGTGCTCAGCCAAATTTCCTGTTTGACATATCATGTTAAATTAGAATGAATTTATCTTTACCAAAAACCATGTTGCGTTCAAAGAGGTGAACATTAAAATATTGAGACAGGACCAGATGTGTTCTTTTCTCCTTTACCAGTCCTACTTTGCATTGGGAAGACTCAGGAGTCTGCCACTTGTCAAAGAAGGAGCTGATCCTAATAATTTTTCATTCTCAGAATTCGGTGTGCTGCCAACTTGATGTTCCACCTGCCACAAACCACCAGGACTGAAAGAAGAAAACAGTACAGAAGGCAAAGTTTACAGATGTTTTTAATTCTACTATTTTATCTGGAACAACTTGTAGCAGTTATATATTTCCCTTTGGTCTTAAGCCTGATACTTTAGCCATCCTAACTCACTAACAGGGAGAAGTAGCTAGTAGCAATGTGCCTTGATTGATTAGATAAAGATTTCTGGTAGGCAGCAAAAGACCAAATCTCAGTTGTTTCCTTCTTGCCATCACTGGTCCAGGTCTTCAGTTTCCGAATCTCTTTCCCTTCCCCTGTGGTCTGTTGTCGCTATGTGACTTTTGCTTAATCCAATATTTTGCCTTTTTTTATATCAAAAAACCTTTATAATTACCAGGGATGTTTCTTACCAAGGATTTTTAGCCCCAAATCTCTCATATGCGCTAGTGTTTAAAAGGCTAAGAATAGTGGGGCCCAGCCGATGTGGTAAGTGATAAAGAGGCATCTTTTCTAGAGACACATTGGACCAGATGAGGATCTGAAATGGCAGCCTTTATGTTCATCACCAGCTAGAACCTCCTGTAGTACAACACCATTTCTTGGCATTGGAAGCCTACTGGAAAAAATATAAAAAGCAAAACAAAACCCTCAGCACTGTTACAAGAGACCATTTAAGTATCTTGCGCTTCTTAACTTACTCATTAGCCAGGTTCTCATTAGATTTTGCTCGGGCCTCCCTGGCACTGAACCTTAAGGCTTTGTATGACAGTGAAGCAGCACCGTGAATGGTTCAAGCACACTGGAATATAAAACAGCCATGGTCTGATATGCAGGTGATGCCATTACAGAACCAAATCATGGCAGGTATTGCTGTGTCTCCTCTTAGAGTGACAGTCATAAATACTATCAAACAATAAAGGAAGAATGGTGCTGTTTAAAATCACATCCCTGTAAATTGCAGAATTCAAAAGTGATTATCTCTTTGATCTACTTGCCTTATTTCCTTATCTTCTCCCCCATGGCATCCTAAACTTTAGACTTCCCACTGTTCTGAAAGGAGACATTGCTTTATGTCTCCCTTTGACCACAGCAAGCTGTCATCCTCCATTGTTCCCGGGGACTCAAGAGGAATCTGTTTCTCTGCTGTCAGCTTCCCATCTGGCTCAGCATAGGGTCACTTTGCCATTATGCAAATGGAGATAAAAGCAATTCTGACTGTCCAGGAGCGAATCTGACCATTCTATTGTGTGGATGACCACATAAAAAGGAAATTTTCATGTATTAATCATAGATTATTATAAACTATAAACTTAAGGGCAAGGAGTTTATTGCAATATATCTTTATTAAAACAAAAGTGTGAATAGTGTTCACAAACTGTGAAAATAGTGTAAGAACTGTACATTGTTAGCTCTGGTTATTTTTCTCTTGTACCAGAGAAAAATGTATAAAAATTATCAAAAAGATAATGTGCAGGGATATTGCCTTATTTGTCTGTAAAAAATGGAGCTCAGTAACATAACTGCTTCTTGGAGCTTTGGAATATTTTATCCTGTATTCTTGTTTGAATTCCTCCTCTATTTAAGTTGTATACATGGAATCAAAGTGTTTATGTAGTAGTTCTGTCCTTTTGCCTGCAGGTCAGTTGTAATAAATCTAGGATGTGATGATGAAAAAAGAAAGAAAGAAAGAAATTTCTTGCACCAGGTACCCTAGGTCGACAATCTTAAGTTCAAACTTCCACAGTTCCCCAGGGCATGAACACAATGCATTGAGTTCTTTGCTAACATGTAACAAGGGTTACTTTTACTCTAGTTTCCAATAACTTTCTCATTTCCATCTGAGACCTCTTTAGCCTGTACTTTACTGTCCATATCTCTAAGGGCATTTTGGTCACAGCTATTTAACCAGTCTCTAAGAAATTCCAAACTTTACTTCATTTTCCTGTCTTCTTCCGAACCCTCCAAACTCTTCCAACCTCTGCCCATTACCCAGTTCCAAAGTCTTTTCCACATTTTCAGGCATCTTTATAGTAAAACCCCACTCCTGGTAACAATTTTGTGTGTTAATGTGTTTCTTTTGCTCTGAAGGAATTCCTGAGACTGGGTAATTGATAAAGAAAAGAGATTTAATTGGCTCATGGTTGCACAGAGCTGTACAGGAAGTGTGGTGCCAGCATCCTTTTGGCTTTGGGTGAGGCCTCAGGGAGCCTTTACTTATGGTGGGAAGTAAAGTAGAAACAGCATGTCACATAGTGAGAGTGGGAGCAAGAGACAGATGTAGGAGGTGCCACACACTTTTAAACAGTCGTATCTCACATGAACTCACAGCAAGAACTCACTCATTTTTGTGAGAACAGCACCCAAACATTCATAAGGGATCTGCCCCCATGACCATAACACCTCCCACCAGGCCCCACTTCTAACACTGGAGATTACATTTCAACATGAGAAATTGCGGGGACAAATATCCAAACCATCTCACATTTAAAAAAATAGACAGAATTGTATGATAAATCACAGTGTATTCATTATCAAGTTCAAGAATCACTCAGCAAAAACAACATAATCAATATTTACTTTTATCAGTACACCCATTCACTTTTCTTTTTCTTATATTTATTTTGAAGAAAATTCTACACATCACATTTCATTCATAAGTATTCAATACATTAAAAAATATAGCTCCCAATGGTATTATTTTAACAAACCACAATACCACAATCATACCCAACATACTAATTATATTCTCTACATCCAGTGTTCAAATTTCCAATTAGCTCATAAATGACAGAAATAATTTTTTCCATTTTACTGGACTTTGGATACAAATGAAGATCACCACTAAGTTTCCTTGATACATTTTTAGTGTTTTTATTCAAATTACAATATTTCTTATTAAATAAATGATAAACATTTGTTGGTAGTTTATTCATTTTTTCTCTTTACATATGGTAAACATACTTTTTGTTATATAATTCTATGAGTGTTGACAAATGCAAACAGGTGTAATCACAACCACAATCAAAATAT
This sequence comes from Homo sapiens, assembly GCF_000001405.40. Lineage (NCBI taxonomy): Eukaryota > Metazoa > Chordata > Mammalia > Primates > Hominidae > Homo > Homo sapiens. The sequence continues at coordinate 73,521,124 of NC_000023.11, read as the reverse complement.
GAAATAATTCCATCATCCACCAAAAGTTCATTGTGCTGTATCCTTGTAGTCCAACCCTTCCTGAACCCTCATCCACTGGCATCCACTTAAAATTTTTCCTTTTCCATAATGGCATTTCTATCATTTGAATGTTTGTGTCCCCACCAAAATTTATGTTGAAACATAATCTCCAATGAAACAGTATTAAGAGGTGATGCCTGTAGGAAGTGATTAGGCCACGATGGCTCTGCTTTTGTGGGTTGGATTAGTGCCTTATGAAAAGGCTGTGGGCAACTAAGTAGGCCTTTTATTCCCCTTCTTCTATGTGAGTACATGACATTCATCCCTTCTGGGGGATTCAACAACGAGATGTCATCTTGGACATAGAGAGTAGCCTTCACCAGGCACTGAATCTGCTGGTGCCTTGATCTTGGATACCCAGCCTCCAGATTTGTAAGAAATACACTTCTATTATTAATAAATTAGTCTGTGGTATTTTATTATAGCAGCCTGAACTGACTGAGCCAGAAATGGGTACTAATGACTCATGTATTTCTGTAACAAATATCTGAATATGTGGAAGTGGCTTTAGAACTGGTTAATGGTTAGAGGCTGGAGGAATTTAAAGGTAATGCTAGAAAAAGCCTGGATTGATGTCAATGGAGGATTAAGGGTGATTCTGTTGAAGGCTCAAAATAGGATAGCTGTAGACAGAGCCTGAATCTTCTTAGAGATTATCTAAGTGGTTGTGATAAGAATGTTGGCAGAAATATGGAAAGTAAAGGTCTTGGACAGAAAATAGGAATATCTTATTGGAAAATATTGAAAATTTTATTGGAAAAAGACCACCTTTATGACAAAGTGGCAAATAACTTGTCTGAATTATTTCCATATCTTAGCACTTTGTGGAAAGCAGAATTTAAGAGTGATAAACTAGGATATTTGGTGGAAGAAATCTCCAAGCAAATTGTTTGAGGTGTGGCATGGCTTCTTTTGACTGCTTATAGTAGAATGTGAGAAAAGAGAAATTAAAAATGAAATTGGCTGACCAAGATGTCTTATGCTTGTAATCCCAGTGTTTTTTGAGACCAAGCCAGAAGAAACACTTGAGGCCAGAAGTTCAAGACCAGCCTGGGCAACATGGTGAGACCCCATCTCTACAAAGTTTTTAAAGTTAGCCAGTCATGGTGGTATGTGCCTGTAGTCCTAGCCATGCAGGAGCATTAGGCAGAAGGATCATTTTAGTCTAGGAGTTCAAAGCTGCAGCAAGCTATAATCATGCCACTGAATTCCACCCTGGGTGACAGAGTAAGACCCTGTCTTAATAAATGAATGGGGCCAGGCAAGGTGGCTCATGCCTATAATCCCAGCACCTTGGGAGGCCAAGTTGGGTGGATCACCTGAGGTCAGGAGTTTAAGACCAGCCTGGCCAATATGGTGAAATCCTGTCTCTACTAAAAATACAAAAATTAACTGTGTGTGGTGGCATGCGCCTGTAGTCCCAGCTACTCAGGGGAGCTGAGGCAGGAGAATCGCTTGAACCAGGGAGGTGGAGGTTTCAGTGAGCTGAGATCATGTCACTGCACTCCAGCCTGGGTGACAGAGTGAGACTTTATCTCAAAACAAACAAACAAACAAAATAAATGAATGAATAGATAAATAAAAATAAATTTATAATCAAAAGGGAAGTAGAACTTAAAGATTTTATAAAATTTTCAGCCTAGCCATTTAAAGAATAAAAAGCATATTTGGGAGAGAATACCTAGGGTGTGACCAAGCAAATATTTGATAAGGAGGTTAGTATGGACATAAGGAAGTTGGATGCTATTTATCAAGAATGAAAGAATGACACTGACAACATTTTAGAGATCTTCAAGGCTACCATGCCCATCACAGGCCCCGAGTGCCAAGGCCTTGAGGATATAACAGGTTCAAAGAAAGGACCCAAATGACTTGTAGAACCATGGGGCTCATTACCCAGTGCCATCTCAAGTTTCTGCTCCTTGCATTTGGGCACAGCACTCCTTGGCTACCCCAAATGTGGTTCAAGAGGACTCAGGTGTGGCTCTGGCCACCCCTTCAAAAGGTACAAGTAGTAAATCTTGGCAATGTCTATGTGGCATCATCTTTGCAGGCATGCAGTGTGCAAGAGCTGTGGAGGCATGGCTACCTTCACCTAGATTTCAAAGGATTCTTAGGAGAAAACCTCAGGGCCCAGGCAGAGAAGTGCCACAGGGGTGAGGCCACCTCAGAGAGCCTCCATTAGGGCAATGCCTTGTCTACCATGTGGGTGGGACCATTGCAGAGAGTCTCCACTTAGAGGAATGCCAAGAGGTGTGGAATTGAGGCTAATGAAGAGATCCCCCACTAGGGCAATTCCAAGCAGAGCTGTGAGGGTAAGGCTGCCTCCAAGACCCCAGAAATAGAGAGCCTCCAGCATGAAATATCAACCTAGGAGAGCTGAAAGTACCTGACTCCAAACCTTGAGAGCTGCTTTGTGGGTTATCCACAGCAAAGTCATGGGGTCAGGGTTGTCTGGAGCCTTAGAGGCCCAAACCCTACCCTAGTGTATCTGGAATGCAGAATATAGAGTCAGAAAAGGTTATTCTCAAGCCTCAAGATTTAATGTTATGTGCCTTGTTGGGTTTTGGACTTACTTGGGACATGTTACCCTTTTCTTCTTGCCTATTTCTCCCTTTTGGAATGGGAATGTCTATCCTATGCTGGTCCTACCATTGTAGTTCAGAACACACAACTTGTTTGATTTCACAGCTGGAGGGGTAATTTTCCTCAGGATGAATGATACCTTGAATCTCACCCATATTTAATCTAGATGAGACTCTTGACTTAGACTTTAAAGATGATACTGGAATGAATTAAGATGTTTTGGGCTATTAAGATACAATGAATGTATTTTACATGTGAGAAGGACATGAATTTGGGGTGGCCAGGAGCAGAATGCTATAGTTTGGATGTTTGTATCCTCCCCAAAATTCATGTTGATACTTGATCCCCCAGTGTAACAGTATTAAGAGGTGAGGCCTTAGGGGGTTATTTGGCCATAAGGACTCTGCTCTCATGGTTATAATTAGTGCCGTATAAAAGCACTGGAAGGAACTAGCTCAGTCTTTTTATTCCCCTTCTGTTCCTTTTGTCATATGAGGATATAGTATCATTCCTCTCTGAAGAATGCAGCATAGTACCATCTTGCAAGCAGAGCTCAAGCTCTCAACAGAGACCAAACCTGCCAACACCTTCATCTTGAACTTCTAGCCTCTAGAATTATGAGAAATAATTTTAAGTTCTATATAAATTACCTGGTTTCAGATATTTTGTTATAACAGCAGGAATAAACTAAGACAGGCATATAATATGCCATCAAATAGTATGTAGCTTTTTGAGTCTTACCTTTTTCTTCTAATATTCATCATGTTGCATGTATCAATTCACTTTTATTACTGAGTAGCATTACACATTGTATAAATGTTCCGTAGTTTGTTTATTCATTCAACAGCTGATAGACATTGAGTTGCTTCCAGCTTTTGGCAATTAGGAATACAGCTGCTGTAAACATTTTAAACAGGTTTTTTTTTTGTACTTACATAGTTTTTAGTTATCTGGGCAATAATCTAAGAATGTGATTGCTGTATTATATTGTAAGTGGATGTTTAATCTTATATGAAACTAAAACTCTTTTTCCAAGATTGTTATACCATTTTGTATAACCAACAATAATCCCAGTTATGCCACATTCTCAACAGCACCACGTTTGTCAGTTCTTTTAATGTTAAAATTTTTTAATTTAGTTACAAAATTTAAGTTTCAATTTTGAGTTTTAATATGTGTTTAGTAGTATCTCATCATCATTTTAATTTGCACTTTACTGATGACTAATATATTGAGCATATTTTTATGTGCCTCTTTGCTACCTGTATAATTTTTGGTTAACTATTCAAGACTTTTGCCTGCTTTCAAAAGGAGTTTGTTTCCTTATAACTGAATTTCAAGAGTTGTTTATGTATGCTGAATAAAAGGCTTTTTTGACACGTGTGATTTTCTTTTTTTTTTTAATTTATTTATTGTTAGTATACTTTTAAGTTTTAGGGTACATGTGCACAATGTGCAGGTTAGTTACATATGTATACATGTGCCATGCTGGTGCGCTGCACCCACTAACTCATCATCTAGCATTAGGTATATCTCCCAATGCTATCCCTCCCCCCTCCCCCCACCCCACAACAGTCCCCAGAGTGTGATGTTCCTCTTCCTGTGTCCATGTGTTCTCATTGTTCAGTTCCCACCTATGAGTGAGAATATGCGGTGTTTGGTTTTTTGTTCTTGTGATAGTTTACTGAGAATGCTGATTTCCAATTTCATCCATGTCCCTACAAAGGACATGAACTCATCATTTTTTATGGCTGCATAGTATTCCACGGTGTATATGTGCCACATTTTCTTAATCCAGTCTATCATTGTTGGACATTTGGGTTGGTTCCAAGTCTTTGCTATTGTGAATAATGCTGCAATAAACATACGTGTGCATGTGTCTTTATAGCAGCATGATTTATAGTCGTTTGGGTATATACCCAGTAATGGGATGGCTGGGTCAAATGGTATTTCTAGTTCTAGATCCCTGAGGAATCGCCACACTGACTTCCACAATGGTTGAACTAGTTTACAGTCCCACCAACAGTGTAAAAGTGTTCCTATTTCTCCACATCCTCTCCAGCACCTGTTGTTTCCTGACTTTTTAATGATTGCCATTCTAACTTGTGTGAGATGGTATCTCATTGTGGTTTTGATTTGCATTTCTCTGATGGCCAGTGATGGTGAGCATTTTTTCATGTGTTTTTTGGCTGCATAAATGTCTTCTTTTGAGAAGTGTCTGTTCATGTCCTTCGCCCACTTTTTGATGGGGTTGTTTGTTTTTTTCTTGTAAGTTTGTTTGAGTTCATTGTAGATTCTGGATATTAGCCCTTTGTCAGATGAGTAGGTTGCGAAAATTTTCTCCCAATTTGTAGGTTGCCTGTTCACTCTGATGTTAGTTTCTTTTGCTGTGCAGAAGCTCTTTAGTTTAACTAGATCCCATTTGTCAATTTTGGCTTTTGTTGCCATTGCTTTTGGTGTTTCAGACATGAAGTCCTTGCCCATGCCTATGTCCTGAATGGTAATGCCTAGGTTTTCTTCTAGGGTTTTTATGGTTTTAGGTCTAACGTTTAAGTCTTTAATCCATCTTGAATTGATTTTTGTACAAGGTGTAAGGAAGGGATCCAGTTTGAGCTTTCTACATCTGGCTAGCCAGTTTTCCCAGCACCATTTATTAAATAGGGAATCCTTTCCCCATTGCTTGTTTTTCTCAGGTTTGTTAAAGATCAGATAGTTGTAGATATGTGGCATTATTTCTGAGGGCTCTGTTCTGTTCCATTGATCTGTATCTCTGTTTTGGTACCAGTACCACGCTGTTTTGGTTGCTGTAGCCTTGGAGTATAGTTTGAAGTCAGGTAGTGTGATGCCTCCAGCTTTGTTCTTTTGGCTCAGGATTGACTTGGTGATGCGGGTTCTTTTTTGGTTCCATATGAACTTTAAAGTAGTTTTTTCCAATTCTGTGAAGAAAGTCATTGGTAGCTTGATGGGGATGGCATTGAATCTGTAAATTACCTTGGGCGATTTGGCCATTTTCATGTTATTGATTCTTCCTACCCATGAGCATGGAATGTTCTTCCATTTGTTTGTATCCTCTTTTATTTCCTTGAGCAGTGGTTTGTAGTTCTCCTTGAACAGGTCCTTCACATCCCATGTAAGTTGGATTCCTAGGTATTTTATTCCTTTTGAAGCAATTGTGAATGGGAGTTCACTCATGATTTGGCTCTCTGTTTGTCTGTTGTTGGTGTATAAGAATGCTTGTGATTTTTGTACATTGATTTGTATCCTGAGACTTTGCTGAAGTTGCTTATCAGCTTAAGGAGATTTTGGGCTGAGACAATGGGGTTCTCTAGATATACAATCATGTCGTCTGCAAACAGGGACAATTTGACTTCCTCTTTTCCTAGTTGAATACCCTTTATTTCCCTCTCCTGCCTAATTGCCCTGGCCAGAACTTCCAATACTATGTTGAATAGGAGTGGTGAGAGAGGGCGTCCCTGTCTTGTGCCAGTTTTCAAAGGGAATGCTTCCAGTTTTTGCCCACTCAGTATGATATTGGCTGTGGGTTTGTCATAGATAGCTCTTATTATTTTGAGATATGTCCCATCAATAACTAATTTATTGAGAGTTTTTAGCGTGAAGGGTTGTTGAATTTTGTTGAAGGCTTTTTCTGCATCTATTGAGATAATCATGTGGTTTTTGTCTTTGGTTGTGTTTATATGCTGGATCACATTTATTGATTTGCGTATATTGAACCAGCCTTGCATCCCAGGGATGAAGCCCACTTGATCATGGTGGATAAGCTTTTTGATGTGCTGCTGGATTCGTTTTGCCAGTATTTTATTGAGGATTTTTGCATCAATGTTCATCAAGGATATTGGTCTAAAATTCTCTTTTTTGGTTGTGTCTCTGCCTGGCTTTGGTATCAGGATGATGCTGGCCTCATAAAATGAGTTAGGGAGGATTCCCTCTTTTTCTGTTGATTGGAATAGTTTCAGAAGGAATGGTACCAGTTCCTCCTTGGACCTCTGGTAGAATTTGGCTGTGAATGCATCTGGTCCTGGACTCTTTTTCGTTGGTAAGCTATTGATTATTGCCACAATTTCAGAGCCTCTTATTGGTCTATTCAGGGATTCAACTTCTTCTTGGTTTAGTCTTGGGAGAGTGTATGTGTCGAGGAATTTATCCATTTCTTCTAGATTTTCTAGTTTATTTGCGTAGAGGTGTTTGTAGTATTCTCTGATGGTAGTTTGTGTTTCTGTGGGATCGGTGGTGATATCCCCTTTATCATTTTTTATTGTGTCTATTTGATTCTTCTCTCTTTTTTTCTTTATTAGTCTTGCTAGCGGTCTATCAATTTTGTTGATCCTTTCAAAAACCCAGCTCCTGGATTCGTTAATTTTTTGAAGGATTTTTTGTGTCTCTATTTCCTTCAGTTCTGTTCTGATTTTAGTTATTTCTTGCCTTCTGCTAGCTTTTGAATGTGTTTGCTCTTGCTTTTCTAGTTCTTTTAATTGTGATGTTAGGGTGTCAATTTTGGATCTTTCCTGCTTTCTCTTGTGGGCATTTAGTGCTATAAATTTCCCTCTACACACTGCTTTGAATGTGTCCCAGAGATTCCGGTATGTTGTGTCTTTGTTCTCATTGGTTTCAAAGAACATCTTTATTTCTGCCTTCATTTCATTATGTACCCAGTAGTCATTCAGGAGCCGGTTTTTCAGTTTCCACGTAGTTGAGTGGTTTTGAGTGAGTTTCTTAATCCTGAGTTCTAGTTTGACTGCTGTGTGATCTGAGAGATAATTTGTTAAAATTTTTGTTCTTTTACATTTGCTGAGGAGAGCTTTACTTCCAAGTATGTGGTCAATTTTGGAATAGGTGTGGTGTGGTGCTGAAAAAAATGTATATTCTGTTGATTTGGGGTGGAGAGTTCTGTAGATGTCTATTAGGTCTGCTTGGTGAAGAGCTGAGTTCAATTCCTGGGTATCTTTGTTGACTTTCTGTCTCGTTGATCTGTCTAATGTTGACAGTGGGGTGTTAAAATCTCCCTTTATTAATGTGTTGGAGTCTAAGTCTCTTTGTAGGTCACTCAGGACTTGCTTTATGAATCTGGGTGCTCCTGTATTGGGTGCATATATATTTAGGATAGTTAGCTCTTGTTGAATTGATCCCTTTACCATTAAGTAATGGCCTTCTTTGTCTCTTTTGATCTTTTTTGGTTTAAAGTCTGTTTTATTCAGAGACTAGGATTGCAACCCCTGACTTTTTTTGTTTTCCATTTGCTTGGTAGATCTTCCTCCATCCTTTTATTTTGAGCCTATGTGTGTCTCTGCCCATGAGTTGGGTTTCCTGAACACAACACACTGATGGGTCTTGACTCTTTATCCAATTTGCCAGTCTGTGTCTTTTAATTGGAGCATTGAGTCCATTTACATTTAAAGTTAATATTGTTATGTGTGAATTTGATCCTGTCATTATGATATTAGCTGGTTATTTTGCTCGTTAGTTGATGCAGTTTCTTCCTAGTCTTGATGGTGTTTACATTTTGGCATGATTTTGCAGCAGCTGGTACCGGTTGTTCCTTTCCATGTTTAGCGCTTCCTTCAGGAGCTCTTTTAGGGCAGGCCTGGTGGTGACAAAATCTCTCAGCATTTGCTTGTCTGTAAAGGATTTTATTTCTCCTTCACTTATGAAGCTTAGTTTGGCTGGATATGAAATTCTGGGTTGAAAATTCTTTTCTTTAAGAATGTTGAATATTGGCCCCCACTCTCTTCTGGCTTGTAGAGTTTCTGCTGAGAGATCTGCTGTTAGTCTGATGGGCTTCCCTTTGAGGGTAACCCGACCTTTCTCTCTGGCTGCCCTTAACATTTTTTCCTTCATTTCAACTTTGGTGAATCTGACTATTATTTGTCTTGGAATTGCTCTTCTCCAGGAGTAACTTTGTGGCGTTTTCTGTATTTCCTGAATCTGAATGTTGGCCTGCCTTGCTAGATTGGGGAAGTTCTCCTGGATAATATCCTGCAGAGTGTTTTCCAACTTGGTTCCATTCTCCCTGTCACTTTCAGATACACCAATCAGACGTAGATTTGGTCTTTTCACATAGTCCCATATTTCTTGGAGGCTTTGCTCATTTTTTTATTCTTTTTTCTCTAAACTTCCCTTCTCGCTTCATTTCATTCATTTCATCTTCCATCGCTGATACCCTTTCTTCCAGTTGATCGCATCAGCTCCTGAGGCTTCTGCATTCTTCACGTAGTTCTCGAGCCTTGGTTTTCAGCTCCATCAGCTCCTTTAAGCACTTCTCTGTATTGGTTATTCTAGTTATACATTCTTCTAAATTTTTTTCAAAGTTTTCAACTTCTTTGCCTTTGGTTTGAATGTCCTCCCGTAGCTCGAAGTAATTTGATCGTCTGAAGCCTTCTTCTCTCAGCTCGTCAAAGTCATTCTCTATCTACCTTTGTTCCGTTGCTGGTGAGGAACTGCGTTCCTTTGGAGGAGGAGAGGCGCTCTGCTTTTTAGAGTTTCTAGTTTTTCTGCTCTGTTTTTTCCCCATCTTTGTGGTTTTATCTACTTTTGGTCTTTGATGACGGTGATGTACAGATGGGTTTTTGGTGTGGATGTCCTTTCTGTTTGTTAGTTTTCCTTCTAACAGACAGGACCCTCAGCTGCAGGTCTGTTGGAGTACCCGGCCGTGTGAGGTGTCAGTCTGTCCCTGCTGGGGGGTGCCTCCCAATTAGGCTGCTCAGGGGTCGGGGGTCAGGGATCCAACTTGAGGAGGCAGTCTGCCCATTCTCAGATCTCCAGCTGCGTGCTGGGAGAACCACTGCTCTTTTCAAAGCTGTCAGACAGGGACATTTAAGTCTGCAGAGGTTACTGCTGTCTTTTTGTTTGTCTGTGCCCTGCCCCCAGAGGTGGAGCCTACAGAGGCAGGCAGGCCTCCTTGAGCTGTGGTGGGCTCCACCCAGTTCGAGCTTCCCGGCTGCTTTGTTTACCTAAGCAAGCCTGGGCAATGGCAGGCACCCCTCCCCCAGCCTCGCTGCCGCCTTGCAGTTTGATCTCAGACTGCTGTGCTAGCAATCAGCGAGACTCCGTGGGCATAGGACACTCCAAGCCAGGTTGGGATATAATATCCTGGTGCGCCGTTTTTTAAGCCCATCAGAAAAGCGCAGTATTCGGGTGGGAGTGACCCGATTTTCCAGGTGCCATCTGTCACCACTTTCTTTGACTAGGAAAGGGAACTCCCTGTGCCCTTGTGTTTCCCGAGTGAGGCAATGCCTCGCCCTGGTTCAGCTCGTGCACAGTGTGCGCAGTTGTGGTTCAGCTCGCGCACAGTGCGCGCACCCACTGACCTGCGCCCACTGTCTGGCACTCCCTAGTGAGATGAACCTGGTGCCTCAGTTGGAAATGCAGAAATCACCCGTCTTCTGCTTCGCTCATGCTGGGAGCTGTAGACTGGAGCTGTTCCTATTTGGCCATCTTGGCTCCTCCCCCGTATTTTTCAGATGTGTGATTTTCAATGATTTCACTGAAGTCTATGGCTTAGCTTCTTATTCTATTAACCATGTATTTCACAGAGAAGAAATATATTGTTTTTCTTTTGAAAAGTTTGATAAAGTCTAATTTATCATTTTTTCTTATGGGTCATTCTTTTGGTGTCATTTCTAAGGAATATTTGCTTAATGCAAGGCCAAAAGTTTTTTCTCTCATATATACTTTTAGAAGTTTTGTACTTTCCAGTGTTACATTTAGATTTATAATATACTTTGAGTTAATTAGTTATGAAGTGTAAATTATGAGAGGACTTTCATTTATCTGTTTGCATACAGATGTCCAGTAGTTTCAGTGATCTTTATTGAAAATACAATCCTTTCTTCATTAAGTTGCATTGAGTTGCCTTTGCAACTTAATAAAAATCAATTGACTAATCCAAAATATACAGATAAAATAGAAAATTACTCATCATACCAGGAATATAGGAGGTCAAAACTTAAAATCACAAAATGAATTAAAAAAGACATTCACCAGATGCCAAAACTGACATGACACAGGAATTGAAATGATCTGCAATGATTTTAAAACAGGTATCACAAAGATGCTTTTATCAGAAATTTCAAATTCTCTTGAAATAAATGAAAAAATAAAAGAAGTAAAAAATTAAAATGTGATAAAAAGAATTAAATGTAAATTATAGACTGAAAATTAAAGTTACAAAAATAGAAAATTTGCTGCCTAAATTCAATGCCAGAGTGGATATAACAGTGTAGAATCAGTGAACTAGAGGATAGTTCAAGAGGGTTTACCTAGCTGAAACAACAAAGAAAAAGTAGGCTGAAAAGAATAAGTGAGAGTCTCAAAAACCTGGGAGACAATGATAAATTTGACATTTATATCATTGGAGTTTTAGAAAGATGGGAAAATAAGTGTGGGTTTAAAAGAGTACTTGAAATTTAACAAAAGACATGAACATATAGATTCAAGATGCTCAATGTAAACTAAACAAGATTAACCCAAAGAAATCCACACCAAGACACATCATAATCAGACTTTTTAAAACTAAAGAAAAAAATTGAATACAGAGAAAAATGATGCATAGAAGAATAACAATATAAAAAACTGAATCTCTCAACTGAAATCATATAGGCCAGAAGAAAGTGGCACAGCATTTTCAAGTACTGGAATTAAAGAACTGTTAACTCAAAATTTTATATTCAGCAAAATATCCTCCAAGAATGAATGGAAAATAGAGTTTCTCAGGTAAAAAGATTAAAATAATTTGTCATAAGTAAACCTACCCCTAAAGAATAGCTACAGAAAGTTACTTAACAGGAAAAAAAAAAACAATAGAAGCAGAAGCCTTGGAATCTCCAAAAGAAAATAAGAATATAGAATTGAGTAAAGATAGGGATAAAAATATAATAGGTCTTTTTTCATGTGGTTTCTGAATCATGTTTGACAGGTTGAAGCAAAAATTATAATACCATCTGATATGGTGGTCAACGTGTGTAGAAGAAATATGTCCAAGACAACTACATTTAAAAAGCGGGCAGGGTAAAGGGAGGTAAGTTGAAGTAGGGTTTCAATACTTAATTTGAAGCTGTTTAATGTTGGTAGTAGTTTGTAGAATCACAGTAGACTGTGATAAGTTGCATAAACACACACACTAACACATGAGGACTAAACTCTTATATTTTTATCTAATTTCTACCTAAGGGATTTGGGGAGCCATGCCCTACAAATAATAAATTCTAATCAGATGGGTTTTATTTAACCTTATATATCATGATTTACTTTCCAAACTGACTCTGGCATAACATTACAAGACAAAGAAGAAAATAAAAATATTTTATCTCCAAACATGTTTCTTTGCCACATTTTGAAATGGCCCTGCAAAGCTGTTCTTTGTAGGGGAAAATTTGCATCTGTAAAGCATCTCTATTAACATAGCTGGATCTTTTTCTTCCAGACCCTCCTAAACCTAAAGAGATTAACTAAGATCTGGATAGGAAAACTTTATTACCTATTGCCTCTAAGGGCAGCCACTATAAGATTTTAAAGAACTCTGGTCTCCACAATCTTTATCTTAACCTGAACATTCCCTTTCTATCTATCCCAGGTCTTTAGATAAATTCAACTAATTGTCAATCAGAAAATGTTTAAATTCACCTATAGCCTGGAAGCCCCCACTTTGAGTTGTTCCACCTTTTGGGACCAAACCAATATATTTCTTAAATGTATTTGATTGAGGTCTCATGCCTCTGTAAAATGTATAAAACCAAGCTGCACCCCAACCACATTGGGCACATGTTCTCAGGACCTCCTGAGGGCTGTGTCAGGGGCCATGGTCACTCATATTTGGCTCAGAATAAATCTCTTCAAATATTTTACAGAGTTCGACCCTTTTCCCCTTTTCTTTGACCCACATGTGTATGGAGATATATATATATATATATATATATATATATATGAATTAAAACTATAAAAAGAAGGATATTAAAGATAGTATAAGTAAATAAAAATGGAATTCTAAAAATATTCAAGAAATTATCAGAATGACAAGAAAAGGAAAACAGAAGAATGAGAAATAGAACAAACAACAAATAATAAAATGGTAGACTTAAGCCTTAACTAACAAAAATTACTTCAAGAGCAAATGGTCTAAATATGCCAATTAAAGGCAGAAGTTGACAGAATGGATTAAAAAATAAAACAAGCCCAATAATATGCTGTCTACAAATAACATTTCAAATGTAATGATTGAAAGTAAGCCAGCACACAACGTACACAAGTAACATACATGCACATGTACTCCCTGAATCTAACACTAAAAAAATACAAATACAAAAAAGAATGGTCATGAGAAAATATGCCATGTGAACACTAATAAAAATAAAATGGGCCAGTAGATAAAAAACAATTGAAATAATTTTGAGTACATTATCTGCTCACAGTAGAATCAAGCTAGAAATTAATAATAGATAATAGAAAAATCTCCAAACATTTATAAATTAAACAATGTACTTTTAAATAATTCATGTGTAAGTCTCAAAGAAATATTTTTTAAAAGTACAAAAACCTAAATTAAAATGAAAACATATCAAAATCCATGGAATGCAGCTATAGCAGGACTGAGAGAAATTTATAGCAATGAATACTTAAATTAGAAAAGGGAGGCCGGGTGCGGTGGCTCATGCCTGGAATCCCAGCACTTTGGGAGTCCAAGGCAGGTGGATCACGAGGTCAGGAGATCGAGATCATCCTGGCCAACTTGGTGAAACTCCGTCTCTACTAAAATACCAAAAAAAAAAAAAAAAAAAAATTAGCTGGGCGTGGTGGTGCACGCCTGTAGTCCCAGCCTCTCAGGAGGCTGAGGCAGGGGAATTGCTTGAACCCGGGAGGCGGAGGTTGCAGGTAGCTGAGTTCATGCCACTGCACTCCAGCCTGGTGGCAGAGTGACACTCCATCTCAAAAAAACAAAACAAAACAAAACAAAAACAAAAAGAAAGACAAAAAAAAAAAAGAAAAGGGAAATGCCTAAAATAAATAATCTAAACTCCCATGTCAATAAAATAGAAAAAGAACAAAATAAACCCAAAGCAAGCCGAAGAAATGACATAATAAAAACATATCAATAAAATTAAAAATAGAAAAACAGTAGAGAAAATCAACGAAATAAAAGATGGTCCTTTGAAAAGTTCAGTGAAGTGGATAAACCTATATTAAGGCTGACAAAAGTAAAAAGAGAGATGACACTAATTACCAATTTCAGGAACAGAGCAAGGAATATTACTACAGATTCAGTAGCCCTTCAATGGATAATAAGAAAATACTAACAAACCTGCACATGTACCCTTAAACCTAAAATAAAAGTTAAAAGAAAGAAAAAAAGAGAAAATACTACAAAGAACTTTAGAAACAATAACTAGACAACTTAATGAAATACAGCAATTACTTAAAAACCGCAAACTACCCAAAGCCAACCAATAGGATATAAATAATTAAAATAGTCCTAGAACTATTTAAAAATTAAATTAGAGTTAAAAAAATCCCCAAGCACAGATAATGCCACCAGAAAATTCTACCAAATATTTAAAGAAAAATTAACACCAATTTTACCCAATTTCTTACACAAAATAAAAAGTGAAGGATTACTGTACAATTCATTTTATGAGGCCAGTGTTTTTCTAGTACCATAACTGCACAAAGAAAGTATAAAAGAAGAAAATTACAGATAAATATCTCTCACAGACTTACACAAAAAACTACCAACAGTTATTACAAAACAGAATCTAGCTATGTCTATACATAATTTTACAACACGACCAAGTAGGTTTTTTTTTCAATATTAAAAAATCCATCAGTGTAATTTACAATGTCAGCAGGCTAAACAAGAGAAAAAACCATAATCATATTAATTGATGCAGAGATGCATTTGAAAAAAATCCAATAGTTGTTCATGAAGAAAAAAATTGTTCAACAAGCTAGGATTAGAGAGAAACTTCCTTACCTTGATAGAGCGTTTTTAAAAACTTACAGCTAACATTAAAATTAATGGTGAAAGACTTAATTCTTTTCCCCTAAGCTCTAGAATAAAACAAGATATCTTAATTAACCATCCCTATTCAAAATAGTGCTGAAAATTCTAGCCAATGAAGTAAGTCAAGGAAAAGAAATAAAAGGCATACATATTGGAAAGAAAAGAATAAAACTGTCACAACTTGCAAATGACATGGTTATTTACATAAATATCCTACAGAATATACCCAAAACTCTTAGAACTAGTAGGTGAGTGTATCAATGTCACAGGGTACAAGACCAACACACCAAAGCCAATCAAATTTTTATATTCTAGCAATTGATATATGGAAATGGAAATTTAAAATGTGACACAATTTACAGTCACTCTCAAAATGAATTAAGTATAATTCTAACAAAGCATATATAGGCTCTGTATGTTGAAAATTAGAAATTTCTGATAAAGAAAATAAAAGAAGATCCAAATAAATGCATATATATAAAATGTTCATGAATTGGAAGACAATAAAGTCAAGATGCCAAATCTCCTGAAGTTAATCTATAGATTTTACATAATTTCTATCAAAATCCCAGCAAAATTTTTGTTTGTAGATATATACAACTTTATTATAAAATTTATACAGAAAGACAAAGTGTCTACAATAGCTAAACAATTTCAAAAAGAAACAAAGTGGGAATAATCACTTTATCTAATATTGAGTTTGGTATGGTAATCAAGACTGTATATTATTGGTGGAGACATATACACATGAATCAAAGGAATGATTTTTCACAAGAGTACAAAACCAATTCAAATTAGGAAGCATAACTTTTTCAACAAACGATGCTGGAGCAATTAGACAACCACAGGCAAGAAAAATTGGCAAAGACCCAAATTTCCCTCATAAGTCAATTGACAGATAAAGGTAAACCCCTACAGGGGAGTACCACTCAGCAATAAAAAGAAACGTGCTGTTAATACATGCAGCAACTTGGATGGATCTAAACAACTTTATGCTCAGGGGAAAAAGCCATACGCCAAATGCTACAGTAATGTAACACATGTTATCAGTTAATCGATTGACTTTGTTGAGTTTTTAAAAACCCAGATTTCAGTTTTGTCAATTTTCTCCATTTTTAAAAAAATATTTTGTTGGTTGTTCTCTTATCTGCTTTATTATTTTCTTTCCTTTTGCTCACTTTAGGTTTTTTTTCTTTTTTTTTTTTTCCTCTAGTTTCTTAAGGTGGAGGCTGAGAAAATTGATTTCAGTCTTTTCTTGCTTTCTGAAATAGTCTATAAATTTTATCTAAATATTGATTTAGTGGCATCCCACACAGTTTGAGATGTATTTTAATTTTCATTCAGTAAGAAATACTTTCTAATTTTTCTTTTGATTTCTTCCTTGACCTGTGTGTTTTTAATTTACTCATTGATATTATGTTTAGTTGACAAATCGTAATTGTATACATGTATTGAGTACAATATGATGTTTTGATATGTGTATATAACATAGAATGATTAAATCTGGCTAGTTAACATTTCTATCACTCCCTTCATTTAATTTTTATGGTGAGGCATTTGAAATGTACTCTGCTAGTTATTTTGAAATATAATCATATATCACATAATGATTTTTTGGTTAACAATGAAGTGCATGTATGATGGTGGCTTCATAAAATTATATTATAGTATTTTAACTTAACCTTTTCTATGTTTAGATATATTTAGATACACAAATACTTATCATGATGTTACAACTGCCTACTAGTAATCAGTATAGTCACAATGTGTACAGCTTTATAGCCTAGGAGTAATAGGCTATTTTATATAGCCTAGGTGCATAGTAGGCTATACCAAGTAGATTTGTGTGAGTACACTCTATGATGTTCACATAATGACAAAATCACCTAATGACATATTTCTCAGAAAGTATCCCTGTAATTAAGTGATGCATGACTGTATACATTATTATTGATTATGATCATCCTGCTGTGTAATAGATCTCAAAACATATTCCTCCTGTCTATCTGCAACTTTGTACCCTTTGACCAAGAAGTCCTCATTCCCTCCATCACTCCCCTTCCAGACTCTGGTAAATATCATTTCACTCTCTACTTTTATGAGTTCAATTTTACAGAAATCACGTATAAATGAGATTATGTGGTATTTGTTTTTCTGTGCCTAGCTTATTTTACTTAGCTAGCCTCCAGGCTCATCCACACAATCACAAATGACAGAATTCCCTTAATTTTTAAAGGCCAAAAAGTATTACATTGTGTATATATACACCACATTTTCTTTATTCATTTTATCCACTGATGGACACTTAGGTTGCATCTATATATTGGCTATTATGAATAATACTGTAATACACATAGAAGTGCAGCAACACTTTCGAATTACACATTTCAATTCCTTTGGATATACACACAGAAGTGGGATTCCTGGACATATGGTAGTTCTATTTTTAGTTTTTTGAGAAAACTCCATACTGTTTTCCATAATCATTTTACTAATTTACATTCCTACCAACAATGTACAAGAATTTTCTTTCCTCTGTATCCTTGCCATGTTTATCTTTCATTTTTTTGTAGAAAGCCATTCTAACATGTGTGAGGATATATCTCATTATAATTTTAATTCGCATTTATCCTAGTGATTAGCGATGCTTGTCTCCAGCATCCGTTGTTTCCTGACTTTTTAAAGATGCCCATTCTAACTGGTGTGAGATGGTATCTCATTGTGGTTTTGATTTGCATTTCTCTGATGACCAGTGACGATGAGCATTTTTTCATGTGTCTGTTGGCTGCATAAATGTCTTCTTTTCAGAAGTGTCTGTTCAGATACTTTGCCCACTTTTTGATGAGGTTGTTTGTTTTTTCTTGTAAATTTGATTAAATTCTTTGTAGATTCTGGATATTAGCCCTTTGTCAGAGAAGAAAATTGCAAAAATTTTCTCCCATTCCATAGGTTGCCTGTTCACTCTGATGGTAGTTTCTTTTGCTGTGCAGAAGCTCTGTAGTTTATTTAGATCCCATTTGTCTATTTTGGCTTTTGTTGCTATTGCTTTTGGTGTTTTAGTCATGAATCCCTCGCCCATGCCTATGTCCTGAATGGTATTCCCTAGGTTTTCTCTTAGGGTTTTTATGGTTTTAGGTCTAACATGTAAGTCTTTAATCCATCTTGAATTAATTTTTGTATAAGGTGTAAGGAAAGGATCCAGTTTCAGCTTTCTACATCTGGCTAGCCAGTTTTCCCAGCACCATTTATTAAATAGGAAATCATTTCTCCATTTCTTGTTTCTGTCAGGTTTGTCAAAGATCAGATGGTTATAGATGTGTGGTGTTATTTCTGAGGCCTCTGTTCTGTTCCATTGGTCTATATCTCTGTATTGGTTCCAGTACCATGCTGTTTTGGTTACTGTAGCCTTGGAGTATAGTTTGAAGTCAGGTAGCGTGATGCCTCCAGCTTTGTTCTTTTGGCTTAGGATTGTCTTGGTAATGCAGGCTCTTTTTTGGTTCCTTATGAACTTTAAAGTAGTTTTTTCCAATTCTGTGAAGAAAGTCATTGATATCTTGATGGGGATGGCACTGAATCTATAAATTACCTTGGGCAGTAAGGCCATTTTCACGATATTGATTCTTCCTACCCATGAGCAAAGAATGTTATTCCATTTGTTTGTGTCCTCTTTTATTTCATTGAGTAGTGGTTTGTAGTTCTCCTTGAAGAGGCCCTTCACATCCCTTATAAGTTGGATTCCTAGGTATTTTATTCTCTTTGAAGCAATTGTGAATGGGAGTTCACTCATGATTTGGCTGTTTGTCTGTTTTTGGTGTATAGGAATGCTTGTGATTTTTGCACATTGATTTTGTATCCTGAGACTTTGCTGAAGTTGCTTATCAGCTTAAGGAGATTTTGGGCTGAGATGATAGGGTTTTCTGAATATACAATCATGTCATCTACAAACAGTCACAATTTGACTTCCTCCTTTCCTAATTGAATACCCTTTATTTCTTTCTCTTGCCTGTTTGCTCTGGCCAGAACTTCCAACACTATATTGAATAGGAGCGGTGAGAGAGAGCATCCCTCTCTTGTGCCAGTTTTCAAAGAAAATGCTTCCAGTTTTTGCCCATTCAGTATGATATTGGCTGTGGGTTTGTCATAAATAGCTCTTATTATTTTGAGATATGTTCCATCAATGCCTAGTTTACTGAGAGTTTTTAGCATGAAGGTCTGTTGAATTTTGTTGAAGGCCTTTTCTGCATCTATTGAGATAATCATGTGGTTTTTGTCGTTGGTTCTGTTTATGTGATGGATTACGTTTATTGATTTGTATATCTTGAACCAGTCTTGCATCCCAGGGATGACACCGACTTGATTATGGTGGATAAGCTTTTTGATGTGCTGCTAGATTCTGTTTGCCAGTATTTTATTGAGGATTTTTGCATCGATGTTCATCAAGGATATTGGTCTAAAATTCTCTTTTTTGTGTGTGTCTCTGCCAGGCTTTGTTATCAGGATGATGCTGGCCCTCATGAAATGAGTTAGGGAGGACTCCCTTTTTTTCTATTGATTGGAATAGTTTCAGAAGGAATAGTACCAGCTCCTCTTTGTACCTCTGGTAGAATTCGGCTGTGAATCAGTCTGGTCCTGGACTTTTTTTTTATTGGTAGGCAGTTAATTATTACCTCAATTTCAGAGCCTGTTATTGATCTATTCAGAGGTTCATCTTCTTCCTGGTTTAGTCTTGGGAGGGTGTATGTGTCCAGGAATTTATCAGTTTCTTCTAGATTTTCTAGTTTATTTGCATAGAGGTGTTTATAGTATTCTCTGATGGTAGTTTGTATTTCTGTGGGATCAATGGTAATATCCCCTTTATCAGTTTTTATTGCATCTATTTGATTCTTCTCTCTTTTCTTCTTTATTAGTCTTGCTAGCAGTCTATCTATTTTGTTGATCTTTTCAAAAAAGCTGCTCCTGGACTCATTGATTTTTTGAAGGTTTTTTTTTAATCTCCTTCAGTTCTGCTCTGATCCTAATTATTTCTTGCCTTCTGCTAGCTTTTGAATTTGTTTGCTCTTGTTTCTCTAGTTCTTTTAATTGTGATGTTAGGGTGTCGATTTTAGATCTTTCCTGCTTTCTCTTATGGGCACTTAGTGCTACAAATTTCCTTCTACACACTGCTTTAAATGTGTCCCAGAGATTCTGGTACATTGTGTCTTTGTTCTCGTTGGTTTCAAAGAACATTTTTATTTCTGCCTTCATTTTGTTATCTACCCAGTAGTCATTCAGGAGCAAGTTGTTCAGTTCCCATGTAGTTGTGCGGTTTTGAGTGAGTTTCTTAATCCTGAGTTCTAATTTGATTGCACTGTGGTCTGAAAGACAGTTTGTTGTGATTTCTCTTCTATTTGCTGAGGAGTGCTTTACTTCCAATTTTGTGGTTAATTTTAGAATAAATGTGATGTGCTGAAAAGAATGTATATTCTATTGCTTTGGGGTGGAGAGTTCTATAGATGTCTTTCAGGTCTGCTTGGTGCAGAGCTGAGTTCAGTTCGTGGATATCTTTGTTAACCTTCTGTCTCATTGATCTGTCTAATATTGACAGTGGGGTGTTAAAGTCTCCCATTATTATTGTATGGGAGTCTGAGTCTCTTTCTAGGTCTCTGAGGACTTGCTTTATGAATCTGGGAGCTCCTGTATTGGGTGCATATATATTTAGTAAAATTTCTCTGTTTTGTACTCTTTCCCTTTATTTCTCTGACTGGCTGACACTTAGGGAAAATAGAAAAGAACCTGCGTGAAATATCGGGGGCTGAATTTGCCCTGATAAATGCTGCTATGATACTAAAATCAGGCAGACAGTACAAATTTTAAAAAATAAAACTACATATCAATATGTGTCATGAATTTAGACAAAAAATTGTTAACAAAATATTAACAAATCAAAGCAAACAATGTATTTAAAAGATTATAAATCATAGCAAGTAAGATTTATTTCAAGTATAAAATTGTCATTCAGTATTTGAAAATTAACCAATGTAATCCACTATATCAATAAGCTAAAGAAGAAAAATATATATTCATATCAAGTAACACAAAAATAATTTGACAAAATGGAGGACTCACACATGATAAAATGCTCAGCAAACTAGGAATAACAGAAATATTCCATAACTTAATGAAGAGAATCTATAAAAGGTCTACAGCTAACCACATACTTTATGGTTAAAGAGTAAATATTTTCCCTTCAAGATTGGGAATAAGGAAAGGTGTCTGCTCTCACCACTCTTATAATTGATATTACTGGAAGTTCTAGCCAGTGCAATAAAGTATGAAATAATTTAAGGCATGCTTTTAGAAAAGAAAGAAATTAAACTGTCCCTATTTCAAATGTCATAATTGTCTATGTGGAAAATCCCAAGTATTCTACAAAACACTTACTATAACGAATAAGAATAAGTGAGATCAGTAAGATTGCAGGACACAGGATACTCATCAAAATAGAAATTACATTTCTAGGCCAGGTGTGGTGGCTCATGCCTGTAATCCCAGCACTTTGGGAGGCCAAGGCAGAAGGATCACTTAAGCCTAGGAGTTCAAGAACAGCCTGAGCAACATGGGAGACTGCATCTCTACAAAAAATAAAATAAAGTAAAATAAATTAGCCAGGCATAGTTGTACATGCCCATGGTCTCAGTTTTTCAGGAGGCTAAAGCTGCAGGTTGACTTGGCTCTGGGAGGCGGAGGCTGCAGTGAGTCATGTTTTTGCCACTGCACTCCAGCCTGGGGAACAGGGCAAGACTCTGTCTCAAAAACAAACAAACAAAAAAATACAATTATACATACTAATAATGAATGTGTAGAAGTAAATATTAGAAACACAATATCATTCATTAAGTGCATAAAAATAAGATACTTAGGTATAAACTTAACAATGAGTCATGCAGTGTATAGGATCTCTATGCAGAAAATTACAAAATGCTGATGAAATCAATAAAAGACCTAAATTAATGAAGAAAAAAATGTATTGCTGGATTAGAAGACCAAATATAGTAAAGAAGTCAGACTTCCCCTTATTGATGAACCTATTTAACACAATATTTATCAAAGCCCCACCAAGGGTTTTGTAGATATAGAAAAGTTTATTCTAATATTTGTATGCAAAGTCAAATGCCCCAGAACACCAAGCTGGACAAAAACTGAAAAAAACCCACATGAAGATATATCACAGTCAAACTGCAGAAAACCAAAAATGAAAGGAAAATCTTGTAAGAATCAAAAGAAGCAAACTCATGTATGGAAGAAAGAAGTTACAGCATACCTTTCATCAGAAACCATGCAGTTAAATCTTTAATATGGTGTAAGAAAAATCTACACACCTAGTATTCTACATCCAGAAAGAAAATTTTCCTTCAAAATTGAAGGAGAAATAAAAAAAATTTTGGACAGATACTGTGGTAATTTATTGCCAGAAGATATGTCCTACAAGAAATGTTAGAAGTTTATCATCAGAAAGTAAATTTGTTAGGCATATAAGAAACTTGGATCTACATACAAATTAAAATCATCGGAAAAAGAATTAATAAAAATAAAACAATTTTTAATTGTTTTTATTATTAATCTAAAATATAACTGCTTAAAGCAATAATAGCAGCAATGTATTGGTATTTATAGTATATGCATAAGTAAAATAAATAACAGCAATACCAAAAAAGACAGAAAAAAGGAATTAGGCATACTCTGATAAAATATATTTACACTATGCATGCAGTGTATAATGTTATGTGAAGGTAGAATCCAACTATTTAAAATGGATATTGTAAACCCCAAAGTAACTGCCAAAATGTTAAGAACAAAAAAGTATAAATGATACAGCAAAAGAAGAGATAATATATAATCTTAAATCATACTCAAGAGAGGCTGGCAAGATGGCTGAATTGGAACTGCTCCAGTGTGCAGCTCCCAGCAAGATCAATGCAGAAAGTGGGTGATTTCTGCATTTCCAACTGAGTTACCTGGAGCTTCTCAATGGGACTTGTTAGACAGTGGGTGTAGCCCACAGAGGGTGAGCTGAAGTAGGATGGGGCGTTGCCTCACCCAAGAAGTGCAAGGGGTTGGGGAACTCCCTCCCCTAGCCAAAGAAAGCGATGAGGGACTGTGCCATGAGAAATGGTGCACTCTCGCCCAGATACTATGCTTTTCCCATGGTCTTCGCAACCCACAGACCAGGAAATTCCCTCGGGTGCCTATGCCACCAGCACCCTGGGTTTCAAGCACAAAACTGGGTAGCCATTTGGGCAGACACTGAGCTAGCTGCAAGATATATATATATATATATATATATATATATATATATATATATATATACACACATCTATATATAGATACATACATATATATATATACATCTCCCAGTGGCACCTGGAATGTCAGTGAGACACAGCTGTTCACTTCCAGGAAAGAGAGGCTGAAGACAGGGATCCAAGTGGTCTAGTTCAAGAGATCCCATCCCCACAGTTCCCAGCAAGCTAATATCCACTGGCTTGAAATTCTCACTGCAGGCACAGCAGTCTGAAGTTGACCTGGGACACCCGAGCTTGGTGGGGGGAGAGGCATCCAACATTACTGAGGCTTGAGTAGGTGGTTGTCTCATTACAGTGTAAACAAACCTGTGGGGACGTTGCAACTGGGTGGAGCCCTCCACAGCTCAGCAAAGCCAATGTGGCCAGACTGCCTCTCCTGATTCCTCCTCTATGGGCAGGGCATCTCTGAAAAAAGGCAGCAGCCCCATTCAGGGGCTTATAGATAAAACCCCCATCTCCCTGGGACAGATCACCTGGGGGAAGAGGTGGCTGTGGGTGCAGCTTCAACAGACTTAAACATATCTGCCTGCCTGCTCTAAAGAGAGTAGCAGATCTCCCAGTACAGCGTTTGAGCTCTGCTAAGGGTCAGACTGCCTGCACAAGTGGGTCTCTGATCCGCATGTCTCCTGACTAGGAGACATCTCACAGCAGAAACTGACAGACACCTCATACAGGAGAGCTCTGGCTGGCATCTGGTAGGTGCCTCTCTGGGATGAAGCTTCCAGAGGAAAAAGAAGGCAGCAATCTTTGCTGTTCTGTGGACGCTGATGGTGATAACCAGGCAAAGAGATTCTGGAGTGAACCTCCAGCAAACTCCAGTAGACCTGCAGCTTAGGGGTCTGACTATTAGAAGGAAAACTAACAAACAGAAAGGAATAACATCAACATTAATGAAAAGGACCTCCAAAGAGAAACCCCATCTGAAGGTCACCAACATCAAAGACCAAAGGTAGATAAATCCACGAAGATGAGGAAAAAACAGTGCAAAAAGGCTGAAAATTCCAAAAACCAGACGGCCTCTTCTCCTCCAGAGGATCACAACTCCTTGCCAGCAAAGGAACAAAACTGGATGGAGAATGTTTGACGAATTGACAGAAGTAGGCTTCAGAAGGTGGGTAATAAGAAACACCTCCAAACTAAAGGAGCATGTTCTAGCCCAATGCAAGGAAGCTAAAAACCTTGAAAAAGGTTAGAGGAATTGCTAAGTAGAATAACCAGTTTAGAGAAGAACGTAAATGATCTGATGGAGCTGAAAAACACAGCACAAGAACTTTATGAAGCATACACAAGCATCAATAGCCAAATCGATAAAGCAGAAGAAAGCACATCAGAGACTGAATATCAACTTAATGAAATAAAGCCTGAAGACAAGATTAGAGAAAAAAGAATGAAAAGGAACGAACAAAGCCTCCAAGTTATGTGGGACTATGTGAAAAGACCAAACTTAAGTTTGATGGGTGTACCTGAAGGTTACAGGGAGAATGGAAGCAAGCTGGAAAACACTATTCAGGATATTATACAGGAGGACTTCCCCAACCTAGCAAGACAAGCCAACATTCAAATTCTGGAAATACAGAGAACACCACAAAGATACTCCTCGAGAAGAGCAAACCCAAGACACATAATTGCCAGATTCACGAAAGTTGAAATGCAGGAAAAAAATGTTAAGGGCAGCCAGAGAGAAAGGTTGGGTAACCCACAAAGGGAAGCCCATCAGACTAACAGCAAATCTCTATGTAGAAACCCTATAAGCCAGAAGAGAGTGGGGACCAATATTCAACATTCTTAAAAAAAAGAATTTTCAACTCAGAATTTCATATTCAGCCAAACTAAGCTTCATAAGTGAAGGAGAAGTAAAATTCTTTACAGACAAGCAAATGCTGAGAGATTTTGTCACCACCAGGTCTGCCTTACAAAAGCTCCTGAAGGAGGCAGTACATATGGAAAGGAAAAACTTGTACCAGCCACTGCAAAAACATATTGAATTGTAAAGACCATTGACACTATGAATTAACTGCATCAACTAACGGGCAAAATAACTAGCTAGCATCATAATGACAAAATCACATTTACACATAACAATAGTAACAGTAAATGTAAACTGAATAAATGCTCCAATTAAAAGACACAGACTGGCAAATTGGATGAAGAGTCAAGACCCATAGATTTGTTGTATTCAGAAGACCCATCTCATGTACAAAGACACACATAGGCTGAAAATTAAGGGATGGAGAATATTTACCAAGAAAATGGAAAGCAGAAGAAGCAGGGCTTGCAATCCTAGTCTCTTATAAAAGAGACTTTAAACCAACAAAGATCAAGAAAGACAAAGAAGGGCATTACATAATGGTAAAGGGATCAATGCAACAAGAAGAGCTAACTATCCTAAATATATATGCATTCTATACAGGAGCACCCAGATTCATAACGCAAGTCCTTGGAGACCTGCAAAGAGACTTAGACTCCCACACAATAAGAGTAGGAGACTTTAATGCCCCACTGTCAATATTTGACAGATCAATGAAACAGAAAATTAAGGATATTCAAGACGTGAACAGCTCTGAATTAAGTGGACCTAATAGACATCTACACAACTTTCCACCCCACATCAACGGAATATACATTATTTTCAGCACCACATCAAACTTATTTTAAGATTGACCACATAATTGGAAGTAAAACACTTCTCAGCAAATGCAGAACAATGGAAATCATAACAGTCTTTGAGGCCACAGTGCAATAAATTTAGAACTCAGGATTAACAAACTCACTCAAAACCGCATAACTACATGGAAATGGAACAATCTGCTCCTGAATGAGTACTGGGTAAATAACAAAATTAAGGCAAGTGTAAATAAGTTTTTTGAAACCAATGAGAACAAAGACACAATGTACCAGAGTCACTGGGGCACAGCTAGAGCAGTGTTTAGAGGGAAATTTATGGCACTAAATGTGCACAAGAGAAAGCAGGAAAGATGTAAAATTGACACCCTAACATTACAATTAAAAGAACTAGAGAAGCAAGAGCAAACAAATTTAAAGGCTAGCAGAAGACAAAAAATAATTAAGATCAGAGCAGAACTGAAGGAGGTAGAGACATGAAAAACCCTTCAAAAAATCAATGAATCCAGGAGTTGTTTTACTGAAAAAATTAACACAGTAGATAGACTGCTATCCAGACTAATAAAGAAGAAAAGAATGAAGAATCAAATAGACACAATAAAAATGATGAAGGGGATATCACCACTGATCACAGAGAAATAAAAACTACCATCAGAGCATACTATAAACACCTCTTTTCAAATAAACTAGAAAATCTAGAAGAAATGGATACACTCCTGGACACATACACCCTCCCAAGATTAAACCAGGAGGAAAACGATTCCCTGAAAAGATCAATAACAAGTCCTGAAATTGAGGCAGTATTTAATAGCCTACCAACCAAAAGAAGCCTAGGACCAGACAGATTCACAGCTGAATTTGACCAGAGGTACAAAGAGGAGCTGGTCACATTTTTCCTGAAACTATTCCAAACAATAGAAAAAGAGTGACTCCTCTCTAACTCATTTTATGAGGCCAGAATCATCCTAACACCAAAACCTGGCAGAGACACAACAAAAAAAGAAAATTTCAGGCCAATATCCCCAATAAACATTAATGCAAAAATCCTCAATAAAATACTGGCAAACTGAATCCAGCAGCACATCAAAAAGCTTATCCACCATGATCAAATTTGTTTCATCCCTGGGATGCAAAGCTGGTTCAACATACACAAATTAATAAACATAATCTATCACATAAACAGAACCAATGCCAAAAACCACATGATTATCTCAATAGATGCAGAAAAATCCTTCAATAAAATTCAACACCTTCATGCTAAAAACTCTCAATAAACTAGATATTGATGGAACGTATCTTAAAATAATAAGAGCTATTTATGACAAACTGACAGCCAATATCAAACTGAATATGGCAAAAGCTGGAAGCATTTCCTTTGAAAGCCAGCACAAGACAAGGATGCTCTCTGTCACCACTCCTAATTCAACGTAGTATCAGAAGTTCTGGCAAGGGCAATCAAGCAAGAGAAAGAAATAAAGGTATTCAAATATAAAGAGAGACAGTCAAACTGTCTCTGTTTGCAGATGACATGATTATATATTTAGAGAACACCATCATCTCAGCCCAAAATTTCCTTGAACTGATAAGCAACTTCAGCAAACTCTCAGGATACAAAATCAATGTGCAAAAATCACAAGCATTCCTATACACCAATAATAGACAAACAGAGAGCCAAATCATGAGTGAGCTCCATTTCACAATTGCTACAAAGAAAATAAAATACCTAGGAATACAACTTACAAGGGATGTGAAGGACCTCTTCAAGGAGAACTACAAACCACTGCTCAACGAAATAAGAGAGGACACAAACAAATGGTAGAACATTCCATGCTCATGGATTGAAGGAATCAGTATCATGAAAATGGCCATACTGCCTAAAGTAATTCAAAGATTCAATACTATTCCCACCAAGCTACCATTGACTTTCTTCATAGAATTAAGAAAAACTACTTTATATTTCATATGGAACCAAAAAAAAAAAAAAAAAGCCTGTATAGCCAAGACAATCCTAAGGGAACAGAACAAAGCTGGAGGCCTCATGCTACCTGATTACAAACCATACTATGAGACTACAGTAAACAAACATGCATGGTACTGGTACCAAAACAGACATGTAGACCAATGGAGAAGAACAGAGACCTCAGAAATAATACCACAAATCTACAGCCATCTGATCTTTGACAAACCTGACAAAAATGAGCAATGGGAAAAGGATCTCGTATTCAGTAAATGGTGCTGGGAAAACATGCTAGCCATATGCAGAAAACTGAAACTGGACCCCTTCCTTACACCTTATACAAAAATTAACTCAAGATGAATTAAAGACTTAAAAGTAAAACCCAAAACCATGAAAACTCTAGAAGAAAACCTAGGCAATATCATTCAGGACATAGGCATGGGCAAAGACTTCATGACTAAAACACCAAAAACAATGGCAACAGAAGCCAAAATTGACAAATGGGATCTAATTAAACTAAAGTGCTTCTGCACAGCAAAAGAAGCTATCATCAGAGTGGACAGGCAACCTACAGAGTGAGAGAAAATGTTTGCAATCTATCCACCTGACAAAGGTCTAATATCCAGAATCTACAAGGAGATTAAAGAAATTTAGAAGCAAAAAACAAACAACCCCATCAAAATGTGGGGGAAGGGTATGAATAGACACTTCTCAAAAGAAGACATGTATGTGGGCAGCAAACATTTAAAAAAACTTATCACCACTGGTCGTTAGAGAAATGCAAATCAAAACCACAATGAGATACCATCTCACTCCAGTTAGAATGGGCATCTTTAAAAAGTCAGGAAACAACAGATGCTGGCAAGGCTGTGGAGAAATAGGAATGCTTTTACACTGTTGGTGGGAATGTAAATTAGTTCAACCATTGTGGAAGACAGTGGGGTGATTCCTTAAGAATTTAGAACCAGAAATACCATTTGACCCAGCAATCCCATTACTGGGTATATACCCAAAGGATTATAAATCATTCTACTATAAAGACACACGCACACGTATGTTTATTGCAGCACTCTTCACAATAGCAAAGACTTGGAACCAACCCAAATGCCCATCAAAGATAGATTGGATAAAGAAAATGTGGCACATATACACCATGGAATACTATGCAGCCATAAAAAAGGATAAGTTCATGTCCTTTGCAAGGATGTGGATGAAGATGGAAACCGTCATTCTCAGCAAACTAACACAGGAACAGAAAACCAAAGACCATATGTTCTCACTCATAAGTGGGAGTTGAACAATGAGAACACACGGAACCAGGGAGGGGAGCATCACACACTGGGGCCTGTCAGGGGGTGGGGGGTTAGGGGAGGGAAAGCATTAGGAGAAATACCTAATTTAGATGATGGGTTGATGGGTGATGCAAACCACCGTGGCACATGTATACCTATTTAACAACCCTGCACATTCTGCACACATATCCCAGAATTTGAAGTATAATAATAAAAGAATAAGCAAAGTAGGAGCTAGTACATGCTAATTTTAATATTGGGAAAAAAATTCACTCAAAACCACACAACTACATGGAACTTGAATAACCTATTCATGAATGACTTTTGGGTAAATAATGAAATTAAGGCAGGCATCGAGAAGTTTTTTGAAGCTAATGAGATCAAGGAGATAATATACCAGTATCTCTGGGATGCAGCTAAAGCGGTGTTAAGAGAGAAATGTATAGTACTAAATGTCCACATCAAAAAGCTAGAAAGATGTCAAGTTAAAACCTAACATCTCAACTAAACACTAGAGAACCAAGAGAAAACAAACCCCAAAGCTAGCAGAAGACAAGAAATAACCAAGATTAGAGCCAAACTGAAGGAGATAGAGTCACACACACAGAAAAAACCCTTCAAAAAAATCGACAAATTCAGGAGCTGGTTTTTTGAAAAAAATAAATAAATAAAATGAGAGACTTCTAGCTAGACTAATGAATAAAAGAGACAAGAATAAAATAAACATAGTTAGAAATAAGGGGGATATCACCACTGACCCCACAGAAATACAAACAACCATTAGGGAATACTACAAACACATCTATGAACCTAAACTAGCAAATCTAGAAGAAATTAATAAATTCCTGGACACATACATCCTCCCAACACTGAACCAGGAAGAAGTTAAATGCCTGAAGAGACCAATAAACATAGTATTGGATGTTCTGGTGAGGGCAACTAGGTAAGAGAAATAAATAAAGGGCATTGAAATAGAAAGAGTGGGAGTCCAATTATTTTTGTCTTCAGATGACATGATCTTATATCTCAAAAACCCCATTATCTCATCCCCAAAGCTGAAATTTAGGCAGTAATAAATATCCTACCCACCAAAAAATCTCAGGACCATCAGATGGACTCACAGCTCAATTCTACCAAGGTACAAAGAAGAGTTGGTGCGATTTCTACTGAAACTATTCCAAAAAATTGAAAAGGAGGGACTCCTCCTCAATTCATTCTATGAGGCCAGAATCATCTGGATATTCAAACTTGGCAGAGATACAACAACAACAACAACAACAACAACAAAAACCTCAGGCCAAGATCCTTGATGAAAATCAGTGCAAAAATTCTGAATAAAATATTGGCAAACCAAATCCAGCAGCACATGGCTTATCACGATCAAGTTGGCTTCATCCCCAGGACGCAAGGTTTGTTTAACTTATGCAAATCAATGAATGTGATTCATCCCATAAACAGAACTAAAACATAAAACATGTGATTATCTCAATAGATGCAGAAAAGGCTTTTGATAGAATTC
Organism: Homo sapiens; assembly: GCF_000001405.40. Classification (NCBI taxonomy): domain Eukaryota; kingdom Metazoa; phylum Chordata; class Mammalia; order Primates; family Hominidae; genus Homo; species Homo sapiens. The sequence goes on along the minus strand of NC_000023.11, from coordinate 73,490,739 downwards.
AACATCCCTTCAGGTTAAAAACTCTCAGTAAACAAGGCATTCACGGAACATACCTCAAAATAATAAAAACCATACATGAAAAACCCACAGCCAGTATCATACTGAATGGGCAAAAGCTGGAAGCATTCCCCTTAAAAGTGGACACAAGACAAGCATGCCCTCTCTCACCACTCCTGTTAAACATAATATTGGAAGTTCTGGCCAGGGCAATCAGGCAAGAGAAAGAAATAGAGAGTACTGAAATAGGAAGAGATGAAGTCAAATTATTTTTGTTTGCAGATGACATGATCCTATATCTCAAAACACCATCATCTCATCCCAATAGCTTTCTAAGCTGATAAGCAACTTTAGCAAAGTCTCAGGATACAAAATCAATGTGCAGAAGTCACAAACATTCCTATACAACAACAGACAAGCAGAGAGACAAATCATTAATAAATTTCCATTCATAATTGCTACAAAAAGAGTAAAATACCTAAGAATACAGCTAACAAGGGAAGTGAAGGACCTCTTCAAGGAGAGCTACAAACCACTGCTCAAATAAATCAGGGAGGATACAAATAAAGAAACATTCCATGCTCATGGATGAAAATATTAATCCGAAAATGGCTATACTGCCCAAAGTAATTGGTAGAGTCAATGCTATTCCCATTAAAGTACCATTGAAATTCTTCACAGAACTAGAAAAAAAAACTATTTTAAAATTCCTATGGAACCAAAAAAGAGCTCGAATCACCAAGACAATCCTAAGCAAAAAGAACAAGGCAAGAGGCATCACTCTACCTGACTTCAAAATATACTACAGGGCTACAGTATCAAAACAGCATGGTACTGGTACAAGAACAGACATACAGACCAATGGAACAGAATAGAGATCTCAGAAATAAGACTACACACCTACAACCATCTGATCTTTGACAAACCTGACAAAAATAGGCAAGAGGGAAAGGATTTTATATTTAATAAATGCTGCTGGAAGAACTGGCTAGCCATGTGCAGAAAATTGAAACTGTATCCCTTCCTTACATGATATACAAAACTCAACTCAAGATGGATTAAAAACTTAAATATAAAACCCCAAACTGTAAAAACCCTAGAAGAATATCTAGGCAATACCATTAAGGACATAGGCACTTGCAAAGATTTCATGATGAAAACACCAAAGGCAATTGCAACAAAAGCAAAAATTGACAATTAGGATCTAATTAAAGCAAAGAGCTTCAGCACATCAAAAGAAACAATCATCAGCTTGAACAGACAACTTACAGAATGGGAGAAAAGTTTTGCAATCTATTCATCTGATGATGGTCTAATATCCAGAGTCTACAAGAAACTTAAATTCACAACAACAAAATAAACAAACAACCCAATTAAAAAGTGGGCAAAGAACATAAATAGACACTTCTCAAAAGAAGACATATGTGGCCAACAAACATGAAAAAAAGCTCAACATCACTGATCATTAGAGGAATCCAAATCAAAACCACAATGAGATACCATATTATGCCAGTTAGAATAGCTGTTATTAAAAAGGCAAAAAGCAACAGATGCTGGCAAGGTTGTGGAAAAAAAGGAAAGCTTTTACTCTGTCGGTGAGAACATAAATTAGTTCAACCATTGTGGGAGACAGTGTGGCAATTCCTCAAACACCTAGGTGTGGAAACTCCATTTCACCCAGCAATCCCATTACTGGGTATATACCCAAAGGAATATAAATCATTCTATTATAAAGATACATACACACATATGTTCATTGCAGCACTATTCACAAAAGCAAAGACATGGAATCAACCCAAATGCCCATTAATGATAGACTGAATAAAGAAAATGTGGTACATATACACCATAAAATACTATGCAGCCATAAAATGGAACAAGATCATGTCCTTTGCAGGGACATGAATGGAGTTGGAAGCCATTATTTTCAGCAAACTAATGCAAGAACGGAAAACCAAATACTGCATGTTTTCACTTATAAGTGGGATCTGAATGATGAGAACACATGGACGCATGGAAGGGAACAACATACACTGAGACCTGTCAGAGGAGTTGGAGTGAGAAGAGGGAGAGCATTGGAAAGAACAGCTAATGGATGCTAGGCTGGATCCTGGGGGATGGGATCATCTATGCAGCAGTCCATAATGGCATACATTTACCTATGTAAGAAACCTTCATATTCTGCACATGTACCCCTGAACTTAAAAGTTGAAGAAAAAACAAGAAAGAAATGCTTCTAAGTTTTGTATGCTAAGTTTGCATCCTGTAACTTTACTGGGTTTGTTTATTAGTTCTAATGTCTATTTTTTGGTGGAATCTTTAGTATTTTTTACATATAAGATTATGTCCTCTGTGAACAGGGATGGTTTGACTTCCTCCTTTTCAATTTGAATGCCTGTTATTTCTCTCTCATGCCTAAGTGCTCTGGCTAATGCTTCCAGTGCTGTCTTGAATAGAAATAGCGAAAATGGGCATTCTTGTTTTGTTGCTAATTTCTAGAGAAAATATTTTCAGTTGCTCCCCATTCAGTATTAAGTTCACTGTGAGTTTGTCATCTATGGCCTTTATTGTGTTTATGTACAATCCTTCTACATGAAATTTTTTGAGTTCTTATCATGAAGGGATGATGATTTTGTAAAATGCATTTTTGTGTCTACTGAAATAATCATATAATTTTTGTTTGTCTGTTAATGTGTTGTATCACATTTATTTATTTGCATGTCATAAACTATCCTTATATCTCTGGGAAAAATTTGAACTGATCATAGTAAATTATCATTTGAACTATTGATACTATTTGCTAATATCTTGATGATAATTTTTGCAACTATTTTCATCAGAAATACTGGCCTGGAATATTTATTTTTGTTGTTTCCTTGAATGGTTGTGGAATCAGGGTAATGCCGGACTTGTAACATGGGTTAGGAAGGAATCAATCATCAATCTTCTTCAATTTTTTGTAAAAGTTTGTGGAAAATTTGTATTAGTACCTTTTAAAATATTTGCTGGAATTCAACAGTGAAACTGTCAGGTCCTGGGCTCTTCCTTGATGTAAAACATTTTAAAAAATATAATTTCAACTTTTCTTTTACATATGAGGGTATATGTGATGATTAGTAACATGGGTATATTGTGTGATGCTAAAGATTGAAGCATGGGTCCTGTAATCCAGGGAGTGAGCATAGTACCGAATAGGTAGTTTTTCTTTTTTTTCTCTCTCTTTTTTTATTCTTAAAAAAAATGAGATATATATGCAGAATGTGCAGGTTTGTTTCATAGGTATACATGTGCCATGGTGGTTTGCTGCACCTATTGACCCATCCTCTAAATTCCCTCCCCTCACCCCTCACCCCCAACTGTCCCTGGTGTGTTATTACCCTCCCTGTGCCCATGTGTTCTCAATGTTCAACTCCCACTTATGAGTGAGAACATGGGGTGTTTGGTTTTCTGTTCCTGTGTTAGTTTGCTGAAGATGATGGCTTTCAGCTTCATCCATGTCCCTGCAAAGGACATGATCCAATTTTTTTTATGGCTGCATAGTGGTCCATGGTATATGTGTACTACATTTTCTTCATTCTATTATTGATAAGCATTTCGGTTGGTTTCATGTCTTTTCTATTGTAAATAGTGCTGCAATAAACATACGTGTGCATGTGTCTTCATAGTAGAATGATTTATATTCTCTTGAGTATATACCCAGTAATGGGATTGCTGGGTCAAATGGTATTTCTGGTTCCAGATCCTTGAGGAATCGCCACACTGTCTTCCACAATGGTTGAACTAATTTACATTCCCACCAACAGTGTAAAAGCATTCTTCTTTCTCTGCAGCCTCCCCAGCATCTATTGTTTCCTGACTTTTTAATAGTTGCCATTCTCACGGGCATGAGGTGGTATCTCATTGTTGTTTTGATTTTCATTTCTCTGATGATCAGTGATGTTGAGCTTTGTTTGTTTGTTTTTTCTTGGAAATTTGTTGAAGTTCGTTGTAGATTCTGGATATTAGACCTTTGTCAGATGGATAGATTGCAAACATTTTCTTCCATTCTGCAGGTTGCCTGTTCACTCTGATAATACTTTCTTTTGCTGTGCAGAAGCTCTTTAGTTTAAGTAGATCCCATTTGTCAATTTTGGCTTTTGATGCCATTGTTTTTGGTGTTTTAGTCATGAAGACTTTGCCCATGCCTATGTCCTGAATGGTAGTGCCTAGGTTTTCTTCTAGGGTTTTTACGGTTTTGGGTTTTACTTTTAAGTCTTTAATCCATCTTGAGTTAAGTTTTGTATAAGGTGTGAGGAAGAGGTCCAGTTTTAGTTTTCTGCATATGGCTAGAATGTTTTCCCAGCACCATTTATGGGATAGGAGATCCTTTTCCCATTGCTTGTTTTTGTCAGATTTGTCAAAGATCATATGGCTGTAGATTTGTGGTGTGATTTCTGAGGTCTCTGTTCTGCTCCACTGGTCTACATGTCTGTTTTGTTACCAGTACCATGCTGGAGTTTGTTTTTTTTTTTAACTGTAGTCTTGTAGTATATTCTGGAGTCAGGTAGCATGATGCTTCCAGCTTTGTTCTTTTTGCTTAGGATTGTCTTGGCTATACAGGGTCTTCTTCGATTCTATATGAAACTTAAAATAGTTTTTTTCTAATTCTGTGAAGAGTGTCAATAGTAGTTTGATGGAAATAGCATTGAATCCATAAATTACTTTGGGCAGTACGTCCATTTTCATGATATTGATTCTTGCTATCCATGAAGATGGAATGTTTTTCCATTTTTTGTGTCCTCTCTTATGTCCTTGAACAGTGGTTTGTAGTTCTCCTTCAAAAGGTCATTCCCATTCCTTGTGAGCTGTATTTCTAGGTATTTTATTCTATTTGTAGCAATTGTGAATGGGAGTTCATTCATGGAGTTCATTCTCTGCTTGCCTATTGTTGGTGTATAGGAATGCTTGTGATTTTTGCACATTGATTTTGTATCCTGAGACTTTGCTGGAGTTGCTTATCAGTTCAAAAAGTTTTAGGGGCTGGGCATGTTGGTTCATGCCTGAAACTGCAGCACTTTGAAAGGCAAAGGTAGGCAGATCACCTGAGGTCAGGAGTTCAAAACTAGCCTGACCAACATGGTGAAACTCCGTCTCCACTAAAAGAAATACAAAAAAATTAGCCAGGTGTGGTTGTGCACATCTGTAGTCCCAGCCACTCAGGAGGCTGAGGCAAGGGAATCACTTGAACCTGGGAGATGGAGGCTGCAGTTAGCCTCCATGTGATCTCAGTTAGCTGAGATCACACCACTGCACTGCAGCCTGGGTGACAGAAGGAGTCTGTCTCAAAAAAAAAAAAAAAAAAAAAAAAAAGAAAAGTTTTTGGGCCGAGATGATGGGGTTTTCTAAATATAAAATTATGTCATCTGCAAACAGAGACTGTTTGACTTCCCCTCTTCCTATTTGAAGGCCTTTTATTTTTTTCTCTTGTCTGATTGCCCTGGCCAGAACTTCCAATACTATGTTGAATAGAAGTGGTGAGAGAGGACATACTTGTCTTGTACCGGTTTTCAAAGGGAATGCTTCCAGCTTTTGCCCATTCAGTATATTGGCTGTGAGTTTTTCATAAATAGCTCTTATTATTTTGAGATATGTTCCATCAATACCTAGTTTGTTGAGAGTTTTTGACATGAAGGGATGTTGCATTTTATCAAAGGCCTTTTCTGCATCTATTGAGACAATCATGTGGTTTTTGTCTATGTTTCTGTTCATGTGATGGATTACATTTATTGATTTGCATATGTTGAACAAGCCTTCCATCCCAGGGATGAAGACAACTTGATCGTGATGGATCAATTTTTTTGATGAGCTACTTAATTCGGTTTCCCAGTATTTTATTGAGGATTTTTGCGTCGATCTTCATTGGGGATATTGGCCTGAAGTTTTCTTTTTTTTGTTGTTGTGTCTCTGACATGTTTTGTTATCAGGATGATGCTGCCTTCATAAAATGAGTTAGGAAGGAGTCCCTCTTTTTAAGTTGTTTGGAATAGCTTTAGAAGGAATGATACCAGCTCCTTTTGTACCTCTGCTAGAATTTGGGTGTGAATCCATCTGGTTCTGGTCTTTTTTGGGTTGGTAGGCTATTAATTACTGCCTCAATTTCAGAACTTGTTATTGGTATATTCAGGGATTCAATTTCTTTCCAGTTTAGTCCTGGTAGGGTGAATGCATCCAGGAATTTTTCCATTTTTTCTAGATTTTCTAGTTTATTTGTGTAGAGGTGTTTATAGTATTCTCTGATGTTAGTTTGTATTTCTGTGGGGTCAATGGTGATATCCCCTGTATCATTTTTTTATTGTGTCTATTTGGTTCTTCTCTCTTTTTAATTTCGTTATTTTTAATTAGTCTGACTAGCGGTCTATCTATTTTGTAAATCTTTTCAAAAAACAGCTCCTGGATTCAAGTTTTTTGGAGAGTTTTTCATGTCTATATCTCATTCAGTTCTTCTCTGATGTTGGTTATTTCTTGTCTTCTGCTAGCTTTTGGATTTGTTTGCTCTTGCTTCTCTAGCTCTTTTAATTGTGATGTTAGGGAGTTGATTTGAGATATTTCTAACTTACTGATGTGGACATTTAGTGCTATAAATTTCTGTCTTAACACTGCTTTAGCTGTATACCAGAGATTTTGGTATGTTGTCTCTTTGTTCTCATTGGTTTCAAAAAACTACTTGGTTTCTGCCTTAATTTCATTATTTACCCAGGAGTTATTCAGGAGCAGGTTGTTCAATTTCCATGAAATTGTGTGGTTTTGAGTGAGTTTCTTAACCTGAGTTCTAATTTGATTGCACTGTGGTCTGAGAAACTGTTATGATTTCAGTTCTTTTGCATTTGCTGAGAAGTGTTTTACTTTCATTTATGTGGCCAATTTTAGAATAAGTGCCATGTGACACTGAGAAGAATGTATATGCTGTTGGTTTGGAGTAAAGAGTTCTGTAGATGTCTACTAGGTCTGCTTGATCCAGAGCTGAGTTCAGGTCCTGAATATCCTTGTTAATTTTCTGTCTCACTGATTGGTCTAATACTGACAGTGGAGTGTAAAAATCTCTTACTATTATTGTGTGGGAGTCTATGTCTTTTTGTAGGTCTCTAAGAACTTGTTTTCTGAATCTGGGTGCTCCTGTATTGGGTGCATATATATTCAGAATAGTTCATTCTTCTTGTTGAATTGTTCCCTTACCATTATGTAATGCCCTACTTTGTCTTCTTTGATCTTTGTTGGTTTAAAGTCTGTTTTGTCAGAGACTAGGATTGCAATCCCTGCTTTTTTTTCCTTTGCATTTGCTTGGTAAATTTTCCTCCTTTTATTTTGAGCCTGTGTGTGTGTCTTTGCATGTAAGATGGGTCTCCTGAATACAGCACACCACTGGGTCTTGACTCCTTATCCAATTTGCCAGTCTGTGTCTTTTACCTGAGACATTTAAGGTTAGTACTGTTATATGTAAATTTGATCCTGTCTTCATGATGTCATTTGGTTATTTTGTGCACTAGTTGATGCAGTTTTTATGTAGTGTCATTAATCTTTATAATTTGGTGTGTTTTTGTAGTGTCTGGTACCAGTTTCTCCTTTCCATAGTCAGTGCTTGTTTCAGGAGTTCTAGCAGGGAAAGCCTGGTGGTAGCAAAATTTCTCAGAATTTGCTTGTCTGGAAAGGATTTTATTTCTCCTTCACTTAGGAAACTTACTTTGGCTGGATATGAAATTCTGGGTTGAAAATTCTTTTCTTTAAGAATGTTGAATATTGGCCTCCAATCTCTTCTGGCTTGTAGAGTTTCTGCTGAGAAGTTCACTGTTAGTCTGATGGGCTTCCCTTTGTAGGTGACCTGGCCCTTCTCTGTGGCTCCCCTTAACATTTTTTCCTTCATTTTGACCTTGGAGAATCTGATGATTATGTGTCCTGGGTTTGATCTTCTCATGGAGTATCTTAAGGGTGTTCTCTGTATTTCCTGAATTTACATGTTGGTCTGTCTTACTAGGTTGGGGAAGTTCTCCTGGATAATATCCCTAAGGGTGTTTTCCAGCTTGTTTCCATTCTCCCCATCTCCTTCTGGCACTCCAATCAATTGTAGGTTCGAGTGGAGGGGCCAAGATGACCGAATAGGAGCAGCTCCAGTCTGCAGTTCCCAGTGAGACCTATGCAGAAGGTGGGTGATTTCTGCATTTCCAACTGAGGTATCCAGTTCATCTTACTGGGGCTGGTTAGGCAGTGGCTCCAACCTGTGAAGGGTGAGCAGAAGAAGGGTGGGGGTCACTTCACCCAGGAAGTACAAGGGGCTGAGGATCTCCCTCCCACCAGCCAAGGGAAGCCATGAGGAACTGTGCTTATTTTTTATTTTTTGTACCCCAGAAGTGCCTGGAACCACAGTGAGACAGAACTGTCCACTCCCCTGGAAAGGGGTCTGAAACCAGGGAGCCAAGTGATCTCACTCGGTGGGTCCCACTCCCACAGAGCCCAGTAAGCAAAGAAACACTGGCTTGAAATTCTCGCTGCCAACCCAGCAGTCTGAAGTCAACCTGGGAGAGTCCAGCGTGGTGTGGGGAAGGGTGTCCGCCATTACTGAGGCTTTAGTAGGCGGTTTTCCCCTGACAGTGCTAAGGAGGCTGGGAGGTCTGGGCTGGGTGTGACAAAGCAACTGTGGCCAGACTACTTCTCTAGATTTCTCTTGACTGGGCAGGGCATCTCTGAAGGAAAGATAACAGTCCCAGTCAGCAGCTTACAGACAAAACCCCCATTTCCCTGGGACATGGCACATGGGGTAAGGGGCAGCTGTGGGTGCAGCTTCAGTGGATTTAATCATTCCTGCTTGCCAGCTCTGAAGAGAGCAGCTGATTCTGACAAAAGACATTCTCCCAGCAAACTGCACCAGCTCTGCTAAGGGAAAGACTGCCTCCTCAGGTGAGTGCCTGACTCCTGAGCCTCCTGACTGGGAGAAACCTCTCAACAGGGCTGACAGATACCTCATACAGGAGAGCTCCGGCTGGCATAAGGCCAGTGCCCCTCTGGGGTGAAGCTTCCAGAGGAAGGAGCAGGCAGCAATCTTTATTGTTCTGCAGCCTCCACCGGTAATACCCATGTGAACAGGATCTGGAGTGGACCTCCAGCAAACCACAGCAGACCTGCAGAAGAGGGGCCTGACTGTTAGAAAAAAAACTAACAAACAGAAAGCAACAACATCAACATCAACATAAAAGACGCCCCCCGCCACCCCACAAACCCCATTCAAAGGTCATCAGCCTCAAAGGACAAAGGTAGATAAATCCACGAAGATGAGAAAAAATGAGTGGGAAAAGGCTGAAAATTCCAAAAACCAGAATGCCTCATCTCCTCCAAATGATTGCAACTCCTCTCCAGCAAACGCACAAAACTGGATGGAGAATGAGATTGACGAGTTGGCAGAAGTAGGCTTCAGCAGTTTGTAATAACAAACTCCTCTGAGCTAAAGGAGTGTGTTCTAACCGAATGCAAGGAAACTAAAAACCTTAATAAAAGGTTACAGGAAATGCTAACTAGAATAACCAGTTTAGAGAGGAACATAAATGACCTGATGGAGATGAAAAACACAGCATGAGAACTTCGTGAAGCATATACAAGTATCAATAGCCAAATCAATCAAGCAGAAGAAAGGATATCAGAGATTGAAGATCAACTTACTGAAATAAGTCATGAAGACAAGATTAGAGAAAAAAGAATGAAAAGGAGCAAACAAAGCCTCCAAGAAATATGGGACTGTGTGAAAAAGCCAAACCTATGATTGATTGGTGTACCTGAAAGTCACAGGAAGAATGGAATCAAGTTGGAAAACACACTTCAGGATATTATCCAGGAGAAATTCCCCAACCTACCAAGACAGGCCAACATTCAAATTCAGGAAATACAGAGAACACCATAAAGATACTCCACAAGAAGAGCATCCCCAAGAAACATAATTGCCAGATTCTCCAGGGTTGAAATGAAGGAAAGAATGTTAAGGGCAGCAAGAGAGAAAGGTCAAGTTACCTACAAAGGGAAGCCCATCAGACAAACAGCGGATCTCTCAGTAGAAACTCTACAAGCCAGAAGAGAGTGGGGGCCAATATTAAACATTCTTAAAGAAAATAATTTTAAACCCAGAATTTCATGTCTGGCCAAACTAAGCTTCATAAGTGAAGGATAAACAAAATCCTTTCCAGAGAAGCAAATGCTGAGTGATATTGTCAACACCAGGCCTGCCTTACAAGATCTCCTGAAGGAAGCACTAAATATGGATAGAAAAACTGGTACCAGCCAAAACACACAAAAACACACAAAAATATAAACAGCAATGACACCATGAAGATACTGTATCAACTAATGTGAAAAATAACCAGCTAGCATCATAATGACAGGATAAAATTCACACATAAGAGTATTAACCTTAAATGTAAATGGGCTATAGGCCCCAATTCAAAGACACAGACAGGCAAATTGGTTGAAGAGTCAAGATCCATCCGTATGTTATGTATTCAGGAGACCCATCTCACGTGCAAAGATACACATGGGCTCAAAATAAAGGGATAGAGGAATATTTAGCAAGCAAATGGAAAGTAAAAAACAGAAAAAAAAGCAGGGGTTGCAAACCTAGACTTGGATCAAACAAACTTTAAGCCAACAAAGATCAGAAAAGACAAAGAAGGGCATTATATAATGGTAAAGAGATCAATGCCACAAAAAGAGCTAACTATCCTAAATATATATTCACCCAATACAACAGCACCCAGATTCATAAAACAAGTTGTTAGAGACCTACATAGAGAATCAGACTCCCAAACAATAATAGTGGAAGACTTTAACACCTCACTGCAATATTAGACAGATAAATGAGACAGAAAATTAAGAATATTCAGGACTTGAACTCAGCTTTATACCAAGCAGACCTAAAAGAAGTCTACAAAACTCTCCACCCCAAATCAACAGAATATACATTCTTTTCAGAGTGACATAGCACTTGTTCTAAAATTGACCACAAAATTGGAAGTAAAACACTCCTCAGCAAACGCAAAAGACCTGAAATCATAATAGTCTCTCAGACCACAGTGCAATCAAATTAGAACTCAGGATTAAGAAACTCACTCAAAACTGCACGACTACATGGAACTTGAAAAACCTGCTCCTGAATGAGTACTGGGTAAATAACGAAATTAAAGCAGAAATCAAGAAGTTCTTTGGAACCAATGAGAACAAAGAGACAACGTACCAGAATCTCTGGGACACAGCTAAAGCAGTATTTAGAGGAAAATTTATAGCACTAAATGCCCACAACAGAAAGCTGGAAAGATCTAAAATAGACACTGTAACATCACAATTAAAAAACTAGAGAAACAAGAGCAAACAAATTCAAAAGCTAGCAGAACACAAGAAATAACTAAGAGTAGAGCAGAACTGAAGGTGATAGAGACACAAAAAACCCTTCAAAAAATTAATAAACCCAGGAGCTGGTAGTTTGAAAAGACTAACAAAATAGATGGACCACTAGCTAGACTAATGAAGAATAAAGGAGAGAAGAATCAAGTAAACACAATAAAAAATGATAAAGGGGATATCATCTTTGATCCCACAGAAATATAAACTATCATCAGAGAATACTACCAACACCTCTATGCAAATAAACTAGAAAATCTAGAAAAAAATGGATTAATTCCGGTACACATACACCCTCCCAAGACTAAACCAGGAAGAACTCGAATCCCTGAATAGACCGATAACGAGTTCTGAAATCAAGGCAGTAATTAATAGCCTACCAACAAAAAAAGCCCAGGACCAGATGGAATCACATCCAAATTCTACCAGAGGTACAAAGAGGAGCTGGTACCATTCCTTCTGAAACTCTTCCAAACAATAGAAAATAAGAGACTCCTTCCTAATTCATTTTATGAGGCCAGCATCATCCTGATACCAAAATCTGGCAGAGACACAACACCACCAAAAATTTCAGGCCAATATTCCTGATGAACACCAATGCAAAAATCCTCAATAAAATACTGGCAAACCAAATCCAGCAGCACATCAAAAAGCTTATTCACCATGATCAAGTCGGCTTCATCCCTGCGATGCAAGGCTGGTTCAACATATACAAATCAATAAACATAATCCATCACATAAACAGAACCAATGACAAAAACCACATGATTATCTCAATAGATACAGAAAAGAACTTCAATAAAATTCAGCATCCCTTCATGTTAAAAAAATCTCAATATACTATGTATTGATGGAACGTATCTCAAAATAATAAGAGCCATTTATGGCAAACCCATAGCCAATATCATATTGAATGGTGAAAAGCTGGAAGCATTTCCTTTGAAAACTGGCACAAGACAAGGATGCCCTCTCTCACCACTCCTATTCAACATATTGTTGGAAGTTCTGGCCAGGGCAATCAGGCAAGAAAAAGAAATAAAGGACCTTCAAATAGAAAAAGAGAAAGTCAAATTGTCTCTGTTTGCCGATGACATGATTCCATATTTAGAATACCCCACCGTCTCAGCCCCACAACTCCTTAAGCTGATAAGCAACTTCAGAAGAGTCTTAGGATGCAAAATCAGTGTGTGAAAATAGCAAGCATTCCTATACACTAATAATAGACATGCAGAGAGCCAAATCATGAGTGAACGCCCATTCACAATTGCTACAAAAAGAATAAAATACCTAGGAATACAACTTACAAGGGACATGAGGGACCTCGTCAAGAACTACAAACCACTGCTCAAGGATATAAGAGAGGACACAAAGAAATGGAAAAAAAATCCCATGTTCATGGATAGAGAGAATCACTATCTTGAAAATGACCATACTGCCAAAGTCATTTATAGATTCAATGCTATTCCCATCAAGCTAGCACTGACTTTCTTCACAGAATTAGAAAAAAACACTATAAATTTTGCATGGAAACCAAAAAGAGCCCGTATAGCTAGACAATCCTAAAGAAAAAGAACAAAGCTGGAGGCATCGGGCTACCTGACTTCAAACTATACTACAAGGCTGCAGTAACCAAAACAGTATCTGCTTGGTACCAGTACCAAAACAGTATCTGCTTGGTACCGGTACCAAAACAGTATCTGTTTGGTACCGGTACCAAAACAGATATATAGACTAATGGAACAGATCAGAGACCTCAGAAATAACACCATATAGCTACAACCATCTGATCTTTGGCAAACCTGACAAAAACAAGCAATGGGGAAAGGCTTCCTTATTTAATAAATGGTGCTGGGAAAACTGGCTAGCCATATACAGAAAACAGAAACTGGCCCCTCTTTTACACCTTATACAAAAATTAAGTCAAGATGGATTAGGGACTTAAATGTCAAATCCAAAACCATAAAAACCCTAGAAGAAAACCTAAGCAATAGCATTCAGGACACATGCATGGGCAAAGACTTCATAACTAAAAACCAAAAGCAATTGCAACAAAAGCCAAAATAGACAAATGGGATCTAATTGAACTAAAGTGCTTCTGCACAGCAAAAGAAACTATCATCAGAGTGAATAGGAAACCCACAGAATGGGAGAAAATTTTTGCAATCTACCCATCTGACAAAGGTCTAAATTCAGAATTTATAAGGAACTTAAACAAATTTATAAGAATAAAACAAACAACTCCATCAAAAAGTAGGCAAAGAATATGAACAGACACTTCTCAAAAGAAGACATTTATGCAGCCAACAAATATATGAAAAAAAGCTCATCATCACTAGTCATTAGAGAAATGCAAATTAAAACCACAATGAGATACCATCTCATGACTGTCAGAATGGCAATTATGAAAAAGTCAGGAAACAATAGATGCTGGCAAGGCTGTGGAGAAATAGGAATGCTTTTACACCATTGGTGGGAATGTAAATTAGTTCAACCATTGTGGAAGACAGTGTGGCAATTCCTCAAGCATCTAGTACCAGAAATACCATTTGACCAAGCAATCCCATTACTGGGTATATACCCAAAGGATTACAAATTATTCTACTATAAAAACACATGCACACATATGTTTACTGCAGCACTGTTTACAATAGCAAAGACTTGGAAGCAACCCTAATGCCCATCAATGCTAGACTGGATAAAGAAAATGTGGCACATATACACCATGAAATACTATGCAGCCACAAAAAGGTTGAGTTCATTTGGTTTGCAGGGACATGGATGAAGCTGGAAGCCATCATTCTCAGCAAACTAACACAGGAACAGAAAACCAAACACTGCATGTTCTCACTCATAATTGGGAGTTGAACAATGAGAACATATGGACACAGGGAGAGGAAAAACACACACCGGGGCCTGTCAGGGGGTGAGTCAAGGGAAGGGAAAGAATAGGACAAATACCTAACCCGGGGGGTGAGGTCAAGGGAAGGGAGCATTAGGACAAATACCTAATGTATGCGGGGCTTGAAACCTAAATGACGTGTTGATAGGTGCAGGAAACCACCATGGCACATGTATATCTATGTAACAAACCTGCATGTTTTACACATGTGTCCCAGAACTTAAAGTAAAATTAAAGAAAAAAAAAAAAGACCTGGAACCAGAAGCCGACTTTAAACACTAGAGAAGTTTAATTACTTCTAAATTCCCCAGATAAAGAGTTTTGCCTCTGGATGGCCTTTTTGATGGTCACCAAGGGATCTTTGCTCCCTTCATTATACTTCCACATTTCTCAGATAAGGCGATTTGTCTATGGGGCTTGCTTGATAGTCACCAGGTGATTTTTGTTCTTAGTTACCTTGAAGATTACAATTAATATCCTAAATTTCTAACAATTGAATTTGAATTATTATCAACCTAGCTTCAATGACATATAAAAACTCTGCTCCTGTAAATCTCTGCCCCCTCCTTATGTTATTGTCACAGATTATGTATTTAAACATTTTGTGCCCATTAATATAGGTCTATAGTTGTTTTATATACCTTTAAATTATGTAGGTAATAAGAAGAAAAGTTACAATTCAAAGGTACAGTACTGCCTTTTATATTTACTTGTGTTGTTACTTTTATCAGTTTTTTTCTTTAAAATATGGTTTTAACTTATCGTTTAATGTCCTTTTATTTGAGCTTCAGGAACTCATTTTAATTTTTTTTTTGTATGGCAGTCCTACTAGTGATGAACTTTCTCACATTTTGTTTATCTGGGAAAGTCTTAATTTCTTTTTTTTTTTAAGATAATTTTGTTGAATATTTTCTTTTCTTGACAGTTTTTTCTTTTCCTTTTTGAAATTTAAAGAAAAAGTTTATTGACAATCTGAAAGACAATTTCTAAAAGATTTACTTTTCCAGAAGCTGTAGCTATACAATGCAGTGTTTATTATGTTAAAATGTGCATGAGACACAAATACAAAAACCATAAAACAAGCCACAATTCTTCAAAAATCTGACCAAAGATAAAAAGCCTAAGGAACAACATGGATGACTTGAAAAAGATGAGCTCTTTACTTTAGGCTCCATATAAAAAGAAGTACAAATGAATGAGTGTGTTAGTTATTAAACTGAATTGAATCTTTGAATCTAAGACTTAGATCATTGTGTCATATAACATTAGCATGGTATAAAAGCGCATAATATTAAAGTTATAGAATCACTGACACTCAAAAGGAGCTTTGTCAACTAAGCAATTAAACACTTTACAGCATGCCGCTCAATTGTCCATTATTTAATACACAGGTAGCAACTTTATAACAAAAATGGTAAGAAAACACAACAGGAGTTATACGCTTTTTTATTTTCTCTGTTTAAAATCAAAGAGAAAACAATAATCAATTCTGCCATACCCTATCTTCAAGGTATGTCATTCAAAAAAGAGAAGAACTGAAAACAAAAATATCTTTACAGATATCCAACTATATAGAGAGTGTTATCACCTCTCACACAGGTTTTGATGATACTCAGGAGCAGTCACTTCATAATACAGGAGTCACTGTAAGCAAAATTGCAGAATATTTTTCTGGGTTTTTTAGGAATTATCATAAAGATTCAGTAAGTAATTAAGCAAGATTTTTCTCATCCAGGGTGTATAACCCAAAATTCCTCCCATTTATACAAATGATCTCTCTAGCTGTGGTGCTCCATACACCTGGGACATGGGGGTACCAGGGTGATCTCCTAGGATTTCAGCATACTGTGGTCTCTCAAATTTGTAGAGTAGCGGATTGACAAACATTGCATTGAGGTACATGAATACCTTGTTTTATTGCACTTTGCATTACTGCATTTCTCAGATATTGCATTTTTTTATAAATGGACAGTTTCTGGTAACTGCATTGAGCAAATCTGGTATCATTTGCCAACACCGTGTCCTCACTTTGTGTCTGTGTTATATTTTGGTAATTCTTGCAATATTTCAAACTTTTTAATCATTATTATATGTGTTCTAGTGATCTGTGATTAATGATCTTTGATATTACCATTGTAATTGTTTGGAGGCACACAAACTGCACCCATAAATGATGGAAAACTTAATCAATAATGTTGTGTGTATTCTGACTGCTCCACTAATGGGCTGTTTCTCCATCACTCTCACTCTCCTCAGGTCTCCTTATTCTGTGAGACACAATGTTGAAATCAGGCCAATTAACAACCCTGTAATGGCCTCTAAGTGTTCAAGTGAACAGAAGAGTCACATTTCTCTCATTTTAAATCAAAACCTAGAAATGATTAAGTTTAGTGAAGAGACATGTAGAAATCCAAGAGAGGATGAAAGCTAGGCCTCTTGCACCCAAAAGCCAAATTGTAAATGCAAAAAAAGTGTTTTTGAAGGAAATTAAAAGTGTGATTCCAGTGAATTTATAAGTGACAAGAAAGTTGAACATCCTTATTAGTGATATCTAGAGAGTTTTAGTAGTCATAATAGAATAGTAAACCAGCCATGACATACCCTCTAGCCAAGGCCTAATCCAGAGCAAGGCCCTAACTGTATTCAATTCTATGAAGGCTGAGAGAGATGAGAAAGTTGCAGAAAAAAGTTTACAGCTAGAAAAAGTTGGTTCATGAGGTTTAAGGAAAAAAGTGGTCTTCATAATATAAAACTACATGGTGAAGCAAGAAGTGCTGATGTAGAAGCTGCAGCAAGTTATCTGGAAGATTTAGTTTAAAAAGCTGATGAAGGTAGCTATACTACAAAGATTTTCAATATAGATAAAACAGCCTTATATTAGAAGAATATAATATATGGAACTTTCATAACTAGAGTGGAGAGGTCAATGCCTGGCTTTAAAATTTCCAATGACAGGCTGACTATTAGGGGCTAATGCAGCTGGTGAATTTAAGTTGAAGCCAATGCTCATTTGAAATTTTAAAAAGTCCTAGGGACCTTAAGAATTTGCTAAATCTACTCTGCTTGTGCCCTAGAACAACCAACCCCAGATGACAGCACATCTGTTTACAGCATGCTTAACTGAATATTTTAAGCTCACTGTCAAGACCTACAGCTCATAAAAAAATTTATTTCAATATATTATTGTTCAGTGACAATGCACCTGGTTACCCAAGAGCTCTAATGGAGATGAACAAGGAGAGTAATGTTGTTTTCATGTCTGCTAACACAATATCCATTCTGCAGCCCATGGATTAAGGAGTTATTTTGACTTTAAATGTAAATCTTGTTATTTAAGAAATACATTTCATAAGGCTATAGCTGCCACAGATTGTAATTCCTTTGATCAATCTGTACAAAGTACTTTGAAAACCATCTGGAAGGATTCATAATTCCAGATGTGACTAAACATTTGTGATTCATGGGAGGAGATTAAAATATTAACATTAAGCTTGGAAAAAGTTGATTCCAATCCTCCTAGATAATTTTGAGGGGTTCAAGTCTTCAGTGGAGAAAGTAACTGCAAATGTGATGAAAATAGCAAGATAGGATTAGAAGAGGTACCTGAAGATGTGACTGAATTTCTGCAACAATATGATAAAACTTGTATGGATGAGAGATTGCTTTCTATGTATGAGCAAAGTAAGTCATTTATTGAGATGGAATCTACTCCTGGTGAAGATACTGTAAATTATTGACATGAAAACAAAGGATTTTAATTATTAGATAAATTTAGTTAATAAAGTAGTGGTGGGATTTGAGAAGATTGACTCCAGTTTTGAAAGAAGTTCTAATGGGTAAAATGCTATCCAACAACATTACATACTGCAGAGAAATCTTTTATAAAAGAAAGAATCAATGTGGCAAACCTCATTATTGTCTTATTTTAAGAAACTACCACGGCCACTCCAACCTTCAGCAACCACCTCCCTGATCAGTCAGCTGCCATCAACATGAAAACAAGACCCTCCACCAGTAAAATATTGTGACTTGTTGGAGGCTTAGATTACCATTAGCATTTTAACAATAAATTAATTTTAAATTAAGGTATGCAGTTTTTTGGATATAATGCCATAGCACACTTAATAAACAACAGTAGAGTGTAAACATAATATCTCTTATATGTACTAAAGAATCAAAAAAATTGCATGACTAATTTGTTTTGCAATATTAACCTTATCGCAGTAGTCTGTATGTGAACTCAGAATGTCTTTCAGGTATGCCTGTATTATTTCCTGCCACAATTTATTAACAACATACTCATTGCTAAACATGGAATTGAAAGAATGATATCTGCTACCAAAAAACACACTTGTAGCACACAGGCACTGTGAAGCAACTATGCAATTAGGTCTACATAATAACTAGCTAACAACATAATGACAAAATCAAAATCACACATATCAATAATAACCTTAAATGTAAGTGGGCTAAACACACCATTCAAAAGACACAAAGTGGCAAGCTGGATCAAAGGCAACACTCAACAATTTTCTGTCTTCAACTGACCCATCTCACATGTAATGACACCCACAGTCTCAAAGTAAAGAATGGAGAAAGATCTACTGTGCAAATGGAAAACAAAAAAATGTAGGAGTTACTATTCTTATGTCAGATAAAACAGACTTTAAGCCAACAACAATCAAGAAGGACAATAAAAGCCATCACATAATGATAGGGTGTACAATCCAACAACAACACTTAACAATCCTAAATATGTACACCCTACATTGAAGCATCCAGATTCAAAAAACAAGTTCTTCTTAGCATATGAAAAGACTTAACAACACAACAATAGTGGGAGACTTCAACACCATACTGACAGCATTAGACAGATAATTGAGGCAGAAAACTAACAAAGTTACTTTGGACTTAAGCTCAACACTTGACAAATTGGACCTATAGACAATTATAGAACACTCTACCAAACAACCACAAAGTATACATTTTTCTCTTCTGCACATAGAACACACTCTAAGATTGGCCACATGCTTGGTCATAAAGCAAGTCTCAATAAACTCAAACAAAGTTGAAATTATAACAAGCACACTCGTGAACGATAGTGCAATAAACATGAAAATCAATATCAAGAAGATCTCTCAAAATTATAGAAATACATGGAAATTAAACAACCTGGTCCTGAATAACTCGTGGGCAAGCATAAAAATTAAGACAGAGTCAAAGAATTCTTTGAAATTAATAAAAATAGGGAAACAATTGACAAAAATCTCTAGGATGCAGCTAAATGAAAATTAAGTGTGTTAAGTGTTAAGAGGAAAGTTTATACCCCTAAATGCCTTCATCAAGTAGTTAGAAGGATCTGAAATTAACAACCTAATGTTGCACCTAAAGGAACTAGAAGAGAAAGAACAAAGCAACCTCAAGGCTAGCAGAAGAAAAGAAATAACTCAAATTAGATAAGAACTTAATAAAATTGAAATGCAAAAATTCACAAAAAGAATCAATGAAAGCAAGACTTACTTTTTCAAATAAACAAGATTGACATACCACTAGCAAGACTGATAAGGAAAAAAAAAAGATCCAAATATGTATAATCAGAGATGACACAGATGACATTACAACTGACCCTACAATAATACAAAAATCCTCAGAGAATACTATGGACAACCCTATGCACAGAAATTAGAAAATCCAAACAAAACAGAGAAATTATTGGAATCACACAATCTCTCAACATTGAATCAAAAGAGATTGAAACCCTGAATATACCAATTTTGAGCTCTGAATTGAATCAGTAATAAAAAAAAATAACAAACAAAAAAAGCCCTGGACTAGGTGGATTCATAGCTGAATTCTGCCAGAGGTATAAAAAAGAACTGGTACAATCCTACTAAAACTATTCTAAAAAATTGAGGAGGAGGGACTCTTCCTTAACTCACTCTATGAAGCCAGCATAATCCTACCATCAAAATCTGGCAGAGACAAGATTAAGAAAGAAAACTTCAAGCCACTACCTCTGATTAACATAGATGCAAAAATTTCCAACAAAATACCGGTAAGCTGAATTCACAAGAACATCAAAAAGTTAATTCATCATGATCAAGTATGCTTTATTCCAAAGATGCAAGACTTGTTCAACATACACAAAATAACAATTGTGATTCACCACATAGACAGAATTAAAAGCAAAATGATATCATCATCCTAATACATGAAGAAAAAGCTTTCAATGAAATCCAACATCCTTTTATGATTTAAAAAAAAACCCTCAACATACTAGGCATTGAAAGAACATAGCTCAAAATAATAACAGCCTTCGATGACAGCCCCACAGCAAACATCATACTAAATTGATAAAACTGGAACCATTTCCCTTGAGAACAGAAACAGGTCAAGGATGCCCACTCTCACCACTCTTATTCAAAATATTACTGGAAGTCCTAGCCAGAGCAATCAGGCAAGAGAAAGAAATAAAAGGCAGCTGAATAGAAAAAGAAGAAATCAAAATATCTCTCTTCACTGACAATATGATTCTATACTTAGAAAACCCTAAGAACTTCGTCAAAAGTCTAGTAGAACTGATAAAATGATTTAAGAAAGGTTTCAGGATACTAAACAATGTACAAAAATTAGTAGCATTTCTATACACCAATAACATCCAGGCTGAGAGTCTAATCAAACACACAATCCAATTTACATTAACCCCAAAGAAAATGAAATACCTAGAAATACAGCTAACCAAAGAGATGAAAGATCTCTACAAAGAGAACTCAAAACACTCCTGAAAGAAATCAGAGGCAACACAAATAAAGGAAGAAACATTCTATGCTCAGGAGTTAAAAGAATAAGTATCATTAAAATGGTCACATGTTCCAAGGCAATTTGCAGATTCAACACTATTTCTATCAAACTACCATTGTCATTCTACACAGAGTTAGATAAACTATTCTAAAATTCATACAAAACCAAAAGAGAGTCAAAATAGCCAAATCAATCCTAAGGAAAAAAAAAAAAAGCTTGAGGCATCACACTACCCAAGTTCAAACTATAATATAAGGCTACAGTAAGCAACAGTGGAACACAACACAGAACAGAATTCTGCTGGTGACCATGGCGGAAACATTTAAATTATCTCTGGCCAGAGGGGAATCCTCTACTTTAGTGGTATAAACCTGAGTTCTGTCTAGCTCCACCACTGGCTAACTAAAATGCTCTGAGGTCCTGAAAAATTTGGAAAAGCAGTCAGGCCACAAGAACTTCAAGCATTGTCAGCTCTGGATGCTGAACTGGGCTCAAAGCCAGCAAACTTGGGATACATGTGACTCAGAGTGACAACAGCTATCGTGGCCAAAGGAGTGCTCATGTCACCTCTATCCCAAATCCAGGCAGTGTAACTCAGGGAGAGACTCCTTCCACTTTTGGAAAGGAGAGGAAAGAGTAATGATAATTTTGTAACTTGGGTACCTGCTCAGCCACTGTAAAATAAAGCACTAAGCAGAATCTTGAATCCCCTGATTCTAGCCCCTTCCTCCTGAATGACATTTCTAGATTGACCCTGGGTCAGAAAGAAACCTGCTGTGCTGGAGAGAAGTACCCAGTCCTGGCAGGATTCACTATCTACTGATTAAAGTGACCTAGGGCCCTGAAATAAACGTCAGTGGTAGCCAAGCAATACTAACCACAGGCCTTGGGTGAAACTCAATAGTGTGCTGGCTTAAGGTGTATCTCAACATAATCCCAACTGTGGTGCCCATGAGAGTGCTTGCATTACTGCTCTCCCAACTACAGGCAGCCTAGCATGGAGACAGAGACTCCTTCTATTTGAGGAAATGTGGAAAAAGGGAATGAGAGAATCTGCCTGGTGGTAAGAGTCTGCAAGAGTAGCATCATTACTGGGCTTGGGGCTTCCCCTAGTGCAGAATGGCTACACTGACCAAAAACTTAGATCAAAACACCTAATTTCTTTATAACACTTGGAAAGCCTTCTCAAAAAGAATGGGTACAAACAAGCCCAGACTGTGAAGATTAAAATAAATATCTAACTCTTCAATGCCCAGTCATTGGCAAACATCAAGGAAAACATGACATCACCATATGAACTAAATAAGGCACTGTAACCAATCCTGGAGTGACAGAGATATGTGACTTTTCAGATGGAGAATTCAAAAACAGCTGTTTTGAGGAAGCTTAAGAAACTTCAAGAAAACACGGAGAATGAATTCAGAATCCTATTTGAGAAGTTTAACAGATTGAAATAATTAAAAATTAAGCAGAAATATTGGACTTCAAAGATTGAATTGACAAACTGAAAAATTCAACAGAGCATTTCAATGACAATTGATCAAGCAGAAAAAATAATTAGTGAGTTTGAAGCAGGCTATATGAAGATACGCAGAAGAGAAAAATGAATAAAAAAGGAATAAAGCATGCCTATGAGAAAATATCCTCAAAAGGGAAAATCTAAGAGTTATTGACCTTAAAGAAAAGATAGGGAGAGAAAGATTGGGGTAGAAAATTCACTCAAAAAATATTAACAGAGAACTTTTCTAACAGACAGAATGATATCAATATTTCATGTACAAGAAGCTTAGAGAATAGCAAGAAGATTTAACTCAAATAAGACTACCTTAAGGCATTTAATAATCAAATTTCCATAGGTCAAGGATAAAGAAAGGATCCTAAAAGCAGCAAGAGAAAAAACAAAAAACATATAACATATAAAAAAGTTCCAATACATCTGGCAGTATACTTTTCAGGGGTAATCCTATAGGCCAGGAGAGAGTAGCATGATATACTCAAAGTGCTGAAGAAAAAAAACCTCCCAACCTAGAATATTATAATCAGTGAAAATATTCTGCAAACATGATGGAGAAATAAAAACTTCCCCAGACAAATTAAAGCTGAGGAATTTTATCAACACAAGACCTGCCCTACAAGAAATGCTAAAGGGAGTCCCGCAATCTGAAAGAAAAGGATGTTAATAAGCAATGAGAAATCATCTGAAGGTACAAAACTCACTGGTAACAGTAAATGCACAAACGTGGAATACTGTAACACTAACACTGTAATTGTAGTGTGTAAATCACTCATATCTTTAGTAGGAAGACAAAAAGAAGAACTTATCAAAAATAATAACTACACCAACCTTTTCAGAGATAGTATGAAACAATATAAATTAATACAATACAAAGTTCTAATATGGGGAGGTAATGGAGTTAAAGTGTAAAGTATTTATTAGTTTTCTCTTTACTTATTTGGCTGATTTTTGTAACAGAGTTCAGTCATCATCAGTTCAAAATAATTGGTTATAAGAGGTTATTTGCAAGCCTTATGGTTACATCAAATGAAAAAACCTACAACAGATACACAAAAAATAAAAAGCAAGAAATGAAAACATATTACCAGGGAAAAATCACTTTTTTTTTTTTTTGAGACACAGTCTCGATCTGTAGCCCAGGCTGGAGTGCAGTGGCACAATCTTGGCTCACTGCAAGCTCTGCCTCCCGGGTTCAAGCCATTCTCCTGCCTCAGCCTCCAGAGTAGCTGGGACTACAGGCGCCAGCCACCACACCCAGCTAATTTTTTGTATTTTTAGTAGAGACGGGGTTTCACCCTGTTAGCCAGGATGGTCTTGATCTCCTGACCTCGTGATCCTCCCGCCTCGGCCTCCCAAAGTGCTGGGATTACAGGCATGAGCCACCGCGCCTGGCTGGAAAAATCACTTTTACACAAAAGAAGATAAGAAGGAAGACAGAGAGGACCACAGAACACCAGAAAACAAGTAACAAAATGGCAGTGCTATGTCCTAACTTATCAATAATTACATTAAATTACACTTTAACTTCATCCCTTCCCCATTTTTGAACTTTTTATTGCTCCTATTTATATCTTTTTATACTACCTGACTCTTAAAAAGTTGGCGTAGCTATTATTTTTGATAGGTTTTTCTTTCTGTCTTCCTACTAAAGATATGAGTGATGGACACACTAAAAGAACAGTTTTAGAGTATTCTCCATTTTTCTGTTTAATTACTGTTACCAGTAAATTTAAGTAAACTAAAATCTCCAGTCAAAAGACCGAGAGTGGCTGAATGAATAAAAAAACAAGATCCAAGTATATGATGCCTACAAGAAATTCACTTCACCTATAAAGACATACACAGGCTGAAAATAAAAGGATAAAAAAAGACATTCCACGCAAATGGAAACCAAAAAAGAGCAAGACTAATTACTTATATCCGATAAAATAGATTTTAGGACAAAAACTATAAACAGTGACAAAGATGGGCATTATAAAATACAAAAGTCAATGCAGCAAAAGGATAAAACAATAATAAATATATGTGCTCAACACTGGAGTACCCAGATACATAAAGCAAATATTATTAGAACGAAAGAGAGAGAGACAGACCTCAACACAGTACCCGGAGATCACAATTTTTCACACTCACCATTGGACAGATCATGCAGACAGAAAACCAACAAAAAATTGGACTCAGTCTGCACTACAAATCTAATAGACCTAATACATATTTTCAGAACATTTCATCTAATATCTGCAAAATATACATTCTTCTCCTAAGCACATGGATCATTTTCAAGGATAGACCTTATGTTAGGACACAAAACAAGTTTTATAAAATTCAAAAACATGTAAATCATATCAAGTATATTATCATATTATCTGACCACAATGGAATAAAACTAAAAATTAATAACAGGAAGAACTTTGGAAACTATCCAAACACATGAAAATTAAACAATATGCTCCTGAATGACCAGTGGATCAATGAAGGAATTAAAAAGGAAACTTAAAAATTTCTTGAAACAAGTGAAAATGGAAACAAAATATACCAAAACCTGTGGGATACAGTGAAAATTGTACTAAGAGGAAAACTAGTGACAATAAGCAACTACGTCAAAAAAGTAGAAAATCTTCAAATGAAAAGCCTAATTATGCATCTCAAAGAATTAGAAGAGCAAACCAAACCCAAAATTAATAGAAGAAAAATAAAGATCAGAAGAAAAATAAATAAAATTTAAAAAAATACAGTCAACAAAATAAAAAGTTTTTTTGAAGAGATAAAATTGACAGACCCTTAGCCAGACTAAGAAAAAAGAGAAGACCCAAATAAATTAAATCAGAGATGAAAAAGGAAACTTTACAACTGATACCACAGAAATTCCAAGGATCATTGGAGACTACTATGATCAGCTACATGGCA
Source organism: Homo sapiens (assembly GCF_000001405.40). NCBI lineage: Eukaryota > Metazoa > Chordata > Mammalia > Primates > Hominidae > Homo > Homo sapiens. The sequence continues at coordinate 73,465,210 of NC_000023.11, read as the reverse complement.
ATGAATTGGAAAACTTAGAAGAAATGGATATATTCCAAGACATACAACTTACCAAGATTGAACCATGAAGAAATTCAAAACCTGAATAGATCAATAACAAGCAACAATATTGAACCCATAATAAAAAGTCTATCAAGGAAAAGCCCAGGTCCCAATGGCTTCACTGATGAATTCGATCAAACTGTTAAAGAGCTAATGCCAATCTTATTCAAACTATTATGAAACATTAAAGAGAAAGGAATACTTCCAAACTGACTCTGAAAGACAAATATTACTCTGATACCAAAATCAGACAAAGACACAAGCAAAGCAAAGCACAGGCCAATATTCCTGATGAGCATTGATGCAAATATCCTCAACAAAATACTAACAAGTCACATTCAAGAATACATTAAAAAGATTATTCATCATGACAAGGGATGCAAGGATGGTTCAACATACACAAATCAATCTATGTGATACATCACTTCAATTGAGGACCAAATAAGAATAAAAGACCAAAACCATATAATCATTTCAACTGATGCTGAAAAAGCATTTGATAAAATTCAATATCCATTAATGACAATAACTACTCTCAAAAACTGGATATAGAAAGAATAGAGCTCAACATGATAAATGCCATAATTGACAAAGCTATAGCTGTTATCAAACTGAATGGAGAAAAGCTGAAAGCCTTCCCCCTAAGACCTGAAAGAAAAAAAGGATGCCCACTTACACAACTGTTATTCCACTTAGTACTAAAATTCCTAGCTTGAGCAATTAGACAAGAGAAATGAGTAAAATGCATCCAAATTGGAAAGGAGGAAGTTAAATTATCTTTACTTTTAGAAATGTAAACTTATATCTAGGTAAACCTAAATGCTCCACCAAAAAAAATCTGAACTGATAAACAAATTTGGTAATGTTGTAGGCTACAAAATCAACATACAAAAATCAGTAGCATTTCTATATGCCAAGAATTAACCATCTGAAAAAGAAATAAAAGACTAATCCCATTTATAATAGCCACACATAAAATTAAATATCTAAGAATTAACCAAAAAAGTGAAAGATCTCTATAATAAAATCTATGAAACATTGGTGAAAGACATTGAAGACATCAAAAAATGGAAATACACTCCATGGTCATAGATTGAAAAAATCAATACTGTTAAAATGTCCATACTACCCAAAGAAATCTACAGATTCAATGCAATTCCTATGAAAATACCAATTACATTCCTCACAGAAATAGAAAAAGCAATCTAAAATTTATATGGAACCAAAACAGACCCAGAATAGCCAAAGCTATCCTAAGCAAAAAGAACAAAACTAGATAAATCACATTAACTGACTTTATATTACAGAGGTATAGCAATGAAAACTGAATGGTACTGTCATGAAAACATACACATAGACCAATAAAACAGGACAGAGAACCCAGAAATAAATTCACACGTCTACAGAAAACTCCTTTTTGACAAAGACGTCAAGAACGTACACTGGAGAAAGAACAGTCTCTTCAATAAGTAGTACTGGGAAAACTGAATACCCATATGCAGAAGAATGAAACTAGACTCTTGTCTTTCACAATATACAGAAATGAAACCAAAATGGATTAAAGACTTAAATCTAAGACATGAAACATTGAGGAAACTCTCCAGAATATTTGTCTGGACAGCAATTTCTTGAGTAAGACCTCAAACACACAGGCAACAAAAGCAAAAATCGACAAATGGGATCACATCAAGCTAAAAAGCTTCTGCACAGCAAAGAAAACAATGAACAAAGTGAAGAGACAACCCACAGATTGGAAGAAAATATTTGCAATCTAACCATCTGACAACGGATTAAGAACCAGAAATTATAAGGAGCTCAAACAACTTGACAGAAAAAATAAATAATCCAATTTTAAAAATAGGCAAAAGACCTGAATAGACATTTCTGAAAAGAAGACATACAAATTGCCAAGCATATGAAAAAAATGCTCAACATCATTAATCATCTGATAAATGCAAATCAAAACTATAATAAGATGTCACCTTACCCCAGTAAAAATAACTTTTATCCAAAAGACAGGCAATAATTAATGCTGGTGAGGATGTGGAGAAAGAGGAACACTTGTATACTGTTAAGAATGTAAATTCATCTAGCTACTATGGAGAACTGTATGGACGTTCCTAAAAAAACTAAAAATGGACCTATTATACAATTGATCCAGCCATCTCACTCCTTCAGATATATAATCTCACTCTTTCAGATATATAATCTCACTCTTTCAGATATATAATATCTGAAAGAAAGGAAATAATGATATTGAAGAGATATCTGTACTCCCATGTTTATTGCAGTACTATTCACAATAGCCATGATTTGGAAGCTACCTAAGTGTCCATCAGCAGATGAATGGATAAAGAAAATGTGATGCATACACACAAGGGAATATTATTCAGTCATAAAACAGACATAAAATCCTGTCATTTGCAACAACATGGATGGAATTGGAGGCAATTATGTTAAGTGAAATAAGCCAGCCAGAGAAAGACAAACTTCACATGTTCTCACTCATATGCGGGAACTAAACATTAAAGCAATTGAACTCATGAACATAGTAGAATGATGGTTATCAGAAGCTAGGAAAGGTACTGGGCAGGGTGGAGATGTGTAGTAGAGAGAGGGGGACATAAAACGATAGATAATGTGTGCAAAAATATAGGTCAACAGAATGAATAAAATCTAGTATTTGATAGCACAACAGGATGACTGTAGTCAACAATAATTTATATATTTTGAGATGGAGTCTCACTCTGTCGCCCAGGCTGGAGTGCGCTGGCGCGATCTCAACTCATTGCAAGCTCCGCCTTCCGGGTTCACGCCATTCTCCTGCCTCAGCCTCCAGAGTAGCTGGGACTACGGGCGCCCACCACCACGCCCAGCTAATTTTTTGTATTTTTAGTAGAGACGGGGTTTCACTGTATTAGCCAGGATGGTCTTGATCTCCTGACCTTGTGATCTGCCCTCCTCAGCCTCCCAAAGTGCTGGGATTACAGGCGTGAGCCACCACACCCGGCCTTTATTGTATATTTTAAAATATCTAAAAACATGAAATTGGAAGATTCCTAACACAGAGAAGTGTTAAATGCTTGAGGGGATGGATGCCCCAATTATCTTGATGCGACTATGACACATTGTATGCCTGTATTAGAACATCTTACGTACCCTGTGAATATATACACCTATTATGTACTCATATTAATTAAAAATAAATTTTAAATGGTTTTAATAGTAAATTTTATGTTATGTATATTTTGTCACAATAGAAAAAGGACTACCAGCTCAACACCCTGGGGCCAATTTTTGACAGGTTTTGTTTCTTTCAACAGTTTGAAAGTGTCATTCCACTCCTTTCCGGCCTCCATGGTTTTTAATGAGGAATCTGCTATTAATTTTATCGAGGATCTCTTAGATGTGACAAGTTGCTTCTATCTTGCTGCTTTCAAGATTCTCTATTAGCCATTGACATTGAATAGTTTCATTATAATGTGTTTCAATGTGGACCTCTTTAATTTTCTTCTACTTGAAATTCATTGAGCTTCACAGATGTATATATTCATGTCTATGATTAAAATTGAGACTTTTTTGCCATTATTTATTATTATTCAAAATATTTATTATTTATTCAAATATTCTTTTTGGTTGTTTTGCTCTATTTTCTCCTTTTGGTATTCCCATGATGTGTATGTTGTTAAACTCCATGATGTGTCATAGGACCCTTAGGTTCTGTTCATTTTTTTCTTCATTCTTTTATATTCTATAGACTGGATAATGTCATTATATAGACTGGATACTATCATTCCATAGACTGGATAATGACCAGTTCCATAGACTAGATAACATCAAAAGACCTATCTTCCAGTTCACTTTTTAAAAAATTTTAGTTATTGTACTTCTCAACTCCAGAATTTCTGATTGGTTCCTTTGTAAATCTCTATTGTTACCCTCCATTTGTTCATATATAATTCTGTCTTTCCTTTAGATTTTTTTCTGTGATTTTCTTTTCTCTTTGAGCATATTTAAGGTAGTGGATTTAAAATTCTTGTTTATTATGTCCTATGTCTGTGCCTTCTCAGGGGCAGTGTCTGTTAATTTGTTCTTTAAATGGGTCATACTTCCTTGTTTATGTTTCCATTATTTGGCAATTTTGTTGAAAACTGAACATTTTGAATATTACAATATAGTAACTCTAGAAGTCTGATTCTTATTCCTCTGCTCAGTTTATGCTGCATGCAGTCACTGTAACTGTTTGTTTGATACTTTTAAAAACTATTTTTGTAAAGTCTACATTTATTTGTCATATGGGATCTAGGAAGTCTCTGTTCCTTTAAGTGTGTCTGCTAGTTCTGACAGAGGTTTCTTTGAACAGAAGAAGAGCGGGGAAGAAAGGGGAAAGAGAGAAAGAAAGAAAAGAGAGAGAGAGAAAGAGAGAGAAGGAGCAAGAAAGGGAGAAAGATGAAGAAAAAACCCTTCTCTTAGTCTTTAGAGTTGGCTCTGTATTACAGCAGTGCTTAAATGCTAGGAACTAAAATTATAAAGTAGAGCTTAGTGTTGGAAAACAGGAGCGGCCTGAAGTCTGCTTCCTTGTGAAGAAAGATTGCAGCAACCTTGGTTTAGTCTTCACTCTCTGCTTGCACTGGGCCTAGAGATTAGTCAGAAGTGAAAACTTAACATCTTCTTAAGTCTTTTACGAGCTTGAATCTTCCCTTGGTCATTTGTGTCACTTTTTAAATTTCCCAGTACACACAAGCAATTTTAAATGCCCTAATTTCCCAAAGAAGCTCTCTTCCATGCTTTTCTTTCCAGGCTTTTGTCATTCTATTGTATGTATCAACCATAAATGTTTGCTCCAGGCAGCTTCAGTTATTTGTTAATGTTACAATGGTTTGAGGACTACCCATCACTTTTCAGATCTGAGTAAGTTCTGAATTAAGCAAAATATAGACAAGTACCTTGCATCAGTCCTTCAGGTATCCTCCAAATAGGTTAGAACAAACAAAGTTCTTTGCAAATAAGATTGTTTATGCTCCCTCCAGAACAAGGCACCAAAGTTCCACACTGGTAACATGAGCTTCCATTTTTAAGATTGTCACTGAACTGGCAGGGGGGTGAGGCAAAAGACAAGTAAAAATGTCACAAAGCTTTCCTATTGCCTTTAAGTTGCACTTTTCTTGATTCAGCATTTACTTGGTTGCTGAAAACCTTTGACTGTTTTCCAGAGCTCTGACCAAGTTGATTCTAACAGGTTCTGATTGATTTTTTGATGTTTTTGTGAAGGGAAGGGCGCTTGAAGCTGCCTACTTTGCCATTTTGCTGACACTGCTCTAAGAGTGATTTCTTTTTCACTAAACATTTTATGGAACTGATAAAAAGTGGTGATCAGTTTAGACTTGGTTGGAAGGGCCCTTGTAAAGGCTCTGTATTCATTTTCTGTAGCTGCCATGACAAATTACCATAAACTTGGTGGCTTAACAAAACATAAATTTATATTCTCATAGTTCTGGAAGTCAGAAGTACAAAATCAAGGTGTTAGTAAAACTACTCCTTATAGATGCTCTCGGGGAAAATTTGTTCCTGGCCTCTTCCAGCTTCTCTTGGCTCCAGGCATTACTTGGCTTTTGATCACATCACTCCAATATCTGCCTTCAAGTTTACATTGCTTCCTTTTCCTCTTCTGTTTTAAATATCCTTCTGCCGCTATCTTATAAGTATACGTGATTGTATTTAGGGTCAACCCAGGCAATCCAGGATAAGATTCCCCTCTCAAGTTCCTTAACCTAATCATATATTTTATCACAAGAGATAATATGTACTCTTTTGTCGTATTCAGAAGTTATGTAGATTAAGATATGGACATGCCTTTCGGGAAACCACCATTTGGCTCATTACAGGCTCCATTTTACATCCACTTTTCTTTTGTCAGGCAAGCAGAGACTGTGATGGAAAAAGAAAAGGGATAATTTCCCCCTTTTTCCTAAAAGGGGTTTGAATTCCTTCTTCCCTTATCTATAGGGAAGAATAAAATATGTGTGCTTAAGTACAACTAAAGGCAAACTTCTAAAGTCCAAGTAATTTGAATTTATTGATTTATGATATACTTCTCCTGTCTTGGGGGTTTATTCCTATTTGGGGGGACATTTTCATGTGATCCATTTAGAGCAGGCCTTTCTAAGGCTTTTCTGGTTTTAAAGGGATTAGAGAAATAACTTATGGCAGCTTAAGTGCATTTCTTTTTCAGTGATATTTGTATTTTAATTAAAGATCCACAAACCTAGAATTTTGGACGTTGGTGAGATTAAGCTCAAGGTTCACATTTTATAGGTGGAGACATGGGGACTCTGAAATCAGAGTAGGCCCTCATAGTAAACTCTAGAAGACAGAAAAAGTCTTTGAGACCAAAGGGCTGACTCTCCCAACAGTGATACTTTAAGCCCTGGGAAGCCAAGAAGGAAGGTGTATGTGTGTGTGTATATGTGTGAGTTTTACTTTGTATGAGTGGTGGGGAAGTGGGAAAGCATAGAGTCTTCTCAAAATGTCATGTAGAAATTAGAGCTAGAATAAACCCTTAAAGCCAAGTCAAATCTTCAGATTTTACAAATGAAATTACAGTGGCCCGTATTGGTGGAATACTTTTTTGACTTAACAAAAAATTACACAGCTGTTTAGTTACAGAATTGGGTAAAACTAGAGCTTCAGGTCTCACTTCCCAACTCAGTACTTCTTACACCATACCACATGAATATCTGCTTTTTTTTTTTTTTTGAGACAGAGTCTTGCTCTGTCACCCAGGCTGGAGTGCAGTGGCACAATTTCGGCTCACTGCAAGCTCTGCCTCCCGGGTTCACGCCATTCTGCCTCAGCCTCCCGAGTAGCAGGGACTACAGGCGCCTGCCACCACACCTGGCTATTTTTTTTTTTTTTGGTATTTTTAGTAGAGACGGGGTTTCACCGTGTTAGCCAGGATGGTCTTGATCTCCTGACCTCGTGATCTGCCCACCTCGGCTTCCCAAAGTGCTGGGATTACAGGTGTGAACCACCACGCCTGGCTGAACATCTGCTTTTACTAACAACTCATAATATTGTTCCTGAAGGCACTGCAGTAAGGGACTTCTTTGCTTTGCATTTTTTCACTTTGAAAATTCAATCCTTACATAACCTGGTCTCCCTCTGTCTTCCAAACTCATTCCCATGATATGAGAGACCCAGTGATTATCAATTGTTGGTGTCCTTCCTCAGTAGCACATTTAGACATGAACATACAAGCAAGTGATCTCTACCTGGGAAGGTGGGGCTGAACCTAAGTTATATAAAGTGACTATAGACTAAACAGTCTAGCGATTCCCTCCCTTCTTTTTTGTCACCAGGGTTGCAACAACTCTGTTGTTTTTTGCAGCTTTCTTAGACATAATTGACATACAAGAAACTACAAGTATAAAAGTTGATGAGTTTTGACATATGTATACACTCATAAAACTGTCAGCAGAATTGATAATAAATCCATCACCCCCAAAATGTTCCTTGTTCCCTGTTATAAATACATCTCTCCCTTCTACCACCCTCCTCCCTTGCTGGCCCCTCATTCTCTTCTTGATGTAATACAGTAGTATTAAAATGTTCCAACTCAGAAAAGCAGCCAGATTCTCTGGATCTGAGCCAAGAGTGGAAAACTTTCCTTGGGCCTTGCTTCCTTCCTTCTTTGAAAAGAAGCCAGATCCTCCCAAAGACCTTTCTTTGCAACTCCACACAAACAACTCCAAGGGCCTTAAGAAAGTTACTGGGAAATTGGAATACTTGAATAAGTTGCAAAGAGGATTCTAAAGTCTGCAAATTACTTGAGGATGAACTGAAGAAATATTTGGGAAGGAAACATTGTTTCCCTATTATAAAACAGAATAAATTTTAGTGATAATAAAAGAAGAAAATCCCTCATAATCCCACTACCCTAAGTGAACACTGTCAGTCATTTGGTATGTTTTCATTCTTGCCGCTTTCCCCGTAAAAAAGAAAAAAGCCTTTATTAAATACTTTGAATGCAACTTTTGAGCTTCAGTGTTTATATTTCTTTTCTCTACATACCTCCAGCATAAACCACCATAAGCTAGAAATAAAAGCTTGTGGTCGTATACTTTTCTTAGGTCTCAGAGAATGAATTAACATGTATTCTTAGAGGGAGTGGCCGCAATATGCTAGTCAAAACAAAAGCTCCATTTTGGTTCTATTTGCAGATTCTAGAGAATCAGAATCTATACAAATAGGAAAATGTTTTTTTCTTTGGGAGAAAAATTGTTTGCAGCAGGAAAGAGAAACTCCTGAGAAAATCCAACTGATATAGCCAAAGTTATACCTTTTGTGGAGTGGGCACTAGGATGACAAAATTAAGTTCTGAGTGTACATAGACAAGTAACACTTCTCATCTCTCCACTAGATTGGAAGGACCCATTTCAATGCTGATTTTCTATGTTCTGCACTACAGATGGCCTGCCAATCAATTAGCATGCTGTGTAGTTCACCTCAAATTTACTGGAGGCGGTGAGTGGAGTAGAATATGTGTTTTTCTGGGAGTCAAGAAACCCTAGCATAGTGCCTGGTAGAGTAGGCACTCAATAAATATTCACTGAATCAGCAGACCTGAGATCTAGTTTTAGATTTTGCCAACAACTTACCGAAAAAAGTCAGTAACTTTTTGAAGAGGAAAGAATTTAAATTGATCTATCCTTATCACCATCCACCAATATGTAGATGTGGGCTAAGAGAAGTAAATTAGTTTATCAAAGATTCATAAGCGTTTCTGGTCTCTAGCTTCTCAAACTACAAAATAGGGGTAGCAATTCTTTCATATCTTGTGAGGATATTGGATCTAATAAAATAACAGGTGTAAAATTGCATTGAAATATATAAAAATATTACACATATATAGGGCATTATTAAGATTATTAGTAGAAGCTTCAAACTCACTAATCAGAAGGGTAAGGGAGCTGGAAAACAAGAAAAATTAGGCTGCATTCCTAGGTGGTCATTACCCACTGACTGGTGTTTAGGGAGCTGTATGCACCTGCAGTAGCATAATCAGATACAAAATGCAAAGAAAGGGATGCTTTGAGTTTAGACCTATCACTAGAGACCAAGGAAGATCATCCTAAGTAGCTAGGGGTTCACATCAGCATCCACAATATCCTTGCTATGTATCTTTGGAAAGTGAGTTGATTGCACACATCTCAGTTTCCCTATCAGTAAAATAGGGCAATTGATACCCTCCTTATAAATGTGTTTTGAAGAATATAATTCCAAGAGGTTGGATCAAAAATGGAAAGGTTTTTTTTCCCTTAAATCTTTTCAGAACTAATGACGTGCCTTCAGGAGCAGCCAGGGGAAATGAAACCTCTTTCTGAGATTTTCATAAGAAAAGGGAGGATACATTTCTTACTCCCAACTCAAAGACAGATAGTTGTGCTCAAAATTCTAATTTTCTTAAGAACAGTGAAAGTGCATCTTGAAAAGAAAAGTTGAACCCTGGTGGCTTTTATGCTTTAATCAAGCTTTCCTTTAAACCATCTCAATTCAAAAGGACTCACAGCCTAGTCTTTGGCCACTACAATATGCAAACAGTATGCTGGACCCACACTAAAAGCTCTAGGCAACCTGCATCACTACAACCCCTTTTCTTAGTCAAGCTGTGTGTTTTTAACCTGTAAACTGCAGCTCCTTGGATTATAAACCAGTAAACTGCATTGACATGACATAATGTGGGTAAAATTGAACAGGTTGAAAGGTGATGGCAGGTACAGGTTACATAACAGTTCACTGTCTTGTGCTTACGCAAGTCTGACTGGAATGGGAATGGAGAGACAGAAGAGGGGGTAGAGTTTACTCTATGAGTTGGAGATGTGCCTTACTCAACCAAGCTGGCCTATTTTGTTTTAGTCTGATTTCATTGTTTTGACAAGATTTTAAAATGACACTGCAAGTTGAAAGTTCTGAGATAATTGATGCCAGACAAGTATGATTGAGGGCCAAAATTGTCTTTTTTATTGGTTATTCTTGTTAAGCAGTGACAATGGAATCAGAATCACCTTCTGATGATTTTTAAAACATTTATCTTATTATAAAAATTCTGTTAGCTTTTGAATTAAACACTTGGAAAGGTAGCTAAAGATAGATAAACTTCGGTTTACCTTCTTCTCACTCCTTAAAGATAGCATAAAAGAAAACACCTAGCATCAAATAACAAACAGAAGTACACATACACAAATGTGCTTTCTGGCAAAATTGTATTTTACAGTCTATTCATAAGCAAGTTTCTGAAATTGTGAACAGAGTTGGAAGGGCCTGTGATTCTAGCTTTTAATTATATACCTTACCACTAAGATTCCTGAGTGACTGACATATAGCACAGCACGTGACAGGAGTTTTCTGGGGATAGTTTCTAAAAGTAAGAGTCCCCTAAATTATCTTCAACCCATTGTGCATCCATCTGTTCCAAATACTGCCTTACAGGGAATTACACCCTGCTCCAACTCCCCTGTAGATAGCTTAGAGACCCAAAAGACATCACTAAAAAAAGGGCACTTTAAATTTCTCTTTGCTTTCTTTCATTCGGAGACTATAACCTGCTGTATCTCAATAGGTTGAAATCCACGAACAGCAGATGGTGTGGTGAAAAAAGTGTTAGGTAGTTCCCCAGGGCTGATGGAGTCAGAGTCACTTTGCACCGAGCCTCCACTATTCTCAAACTGGGAGATTTTCTTTTTGATCATCTTTCTCTCCTTGGCTCTGCGATTCTGAAACCAGATTTTCACCTGAAACACAATGGGGCAACATACTGAATGCAGTTAACTTAGTGATTTCTGATATTGTACAGAGACTTTAGCATTTACAAAGCCCTTTCATATGCATCACTTCATTTCAGCCTCACAATGACCTTGTGAAGTATGCCCACTTAACAGGTTAGAAAAAAAGCTTGAGACTTAGAGAGGGCAAGTACCTTGCATGAAATGAAACTGAGATCCAAGTCTAGGGCTACTAACTCTGAATGCAATAATCTTAATATTATACCTTACCCACCTCCTCTGTTGCACAGGTAGAAATAAATAATGCTGGAATGACAGAAGCTGAGGTGTGCTGATAAGAGAGAGAGATTTAAATAGCAAAGGTAATTATAATCAACCATTTCTATGTTTTATTAATATTTCACTAAAGAGAAACGTCCTATTAGTATAATATTAATAAAATAAAATAGAAAATTTATCTTCCTATTAGTATACTATTACTAATAAGAAGTTTGTCTTCCTATTAGTAAAATATTAATGAAACACATAAATGAGAGAACAAGGGTGATGAAATATTTTATATCTCTTGCTGGAGATAGAAGAGAGCGATATCAATGTGCCTTCACACGTGGTTGAAATGCAAGCTACTTGGGATAAGGCAATGCATTAAGGGACTTTACAATTCTAGAATTCTGATTCTATTGAAATGGACTATACGGGACATGTTGGATATACTTCTGGTGTACCTGTCTCTCGGAAAGGCCCAGGTTAACTGCCAGCTCTGATTTTCTCTGGATGGTGATATATCTATTGCAATGGAATTCCTTTTCCAGCTCCAATCTTTGATGATCAGTGTAAACTACACGATACTTTTCTTTTGTCCTGGTTTTCCCTGTTAGGAGAGAAAGCATTGCATTTAATCTTTTTCTGCTTCTTGGAGATTGTTTTAGTTAAAGAAATCATAGACACTCTTCCCACCCTCATCTTTGCTTTAAAATATAAAATAAGTATATTTTTGAATCAAATATTCATAAAAGTCAATTTCTCCATTAAATACATTCTCATCTGTGGCTATGATAGCAATATCTCTGTCTACCATCTATAGACATAGACATATATCTCTATATCTATATCTCTCCTTATATATAAAACCAACATCTCTTTAATTAATGTTTCTCCTAAAATGATTGGTCAAATCACAATCATCCCATCTTGACCTATTTTCACAGCAGAGCATTGAAAATGCTTAAACACTTTAACCCATGGTGTTTATTACCTTCCCACTTACATATGTGATTAGCATTGGCAGTAATAGCAGCTGTCCATTATACAGGCACTTCCCACTACATTTTATGCAGTCTTTTCATACTGTTCCTATTAAACCTCTTACCTACCTTCTTGAATTATGCAGAACATGTCTTATCTCCATTTTACAGATAAGAAACATGAAGCTCAGTTAAGGTAAATGACTTTGTGTTAGAGAATTGAGGAGTGGGGACCCAAACACATATCTTTGACTCCTATTTAAGTATGCTAACTAAATGTTATTCCAAGTTCAAATATGCTGGGACGCATAATAATGGCCCAAGAGTGGAAAACACTTGTGGGATCCTAACATTATAGTTACATAATTTCCTAGAGTTTGGTTTGAATAGTAATTTAAAAAGAAAACATTAATTGTCATTTAGCAGATTCTGTTTCAGAAAACCCCATTACCTATTAGAAAAAAAAATAGTTTTTATGTGGGAGTCTTAATTTTTATTACCAAGTAGGTAGTGAATGGGGGAAGGAGGAGGTGTTGACTTAAGCAGAATAAAGTGAGTATTCCATGCCCTTTGAAAGGATATACAAACATTTGCTTTGTGTTACAACATTTAACTAATTCCTCATGCCCTCCTTCGAATAGAGCTTTATTCCTCCTTTCAAATTTTCCAAAGATACTTAGGAAGTTCTCTTTTCTTTTTAATTTCTCTACCCTCCTCCAGGATCTTCCTCCTTTTCTCTATGGCTTTTAAATACTCCTTCTGATCTTCCCTGGTTGTTTTTTATGTGATTTTTTGGGGGCGATCTGTAGGACAAAGACGTCTTTAAAGTGGTTCCCTAAACTCCACTGAGGTGTTAAGATACAGCACAGGCCTAACAAAAGAGTTACATAGCATCAGATCCCATTCTGAACCCTCTTTACATTCAGGAACACCAGCCAATTGGTTCAGAATTTACAAGCCCTAAACAAATGTCAGACACCCTTTCATCTCCAGAAAAGGAAAAAAAAAAAAAAAAAAAAAGGACACCAGTGAAGAAATAAATTTTAGATAAGTGATATATTTTAAGATTAATCTAAATGGCTAAATAATGAACTGAACAAAATCTCCTTTTCCCGCTCTTAGAAAAGGAAAACTATGCGGTCCAGTCAGTTAACCTACCTTAAAATCCTAAATTTTGAGCTGGTTTTCTGAGTCTAAGCAAAAACCTGGAAACCGTAAGTCTGCCTTTTGGCATGTTGCAAAGACAGAATGCATATTTAGAGAAAAAAATGAAAACTTGGAGATTTAATTTATTTCTAGAACATCAAATCTTGAGATCGAAATGTATCTTTGAAATCATGTTTTCTAAAACCCTTCTTAATCTTAAAGTTGCTGAGTGTTTAAATTATAACTTGAGGCAGACTGGTTAAAAATTCAACTTGTCTTTATCCATGTTTTATGCTCTTTGATAATCAATAAACATAATCAGACATCAATAACTCTGGAAATGTTGTAGTCCTTCCCCACCCCCATTGGTCATAAATTCCCCTCTTGCAGTTTCTTCTGAGGACAATAAAGTCAAGACCAGGCCCCTTTATTTGCCATAAAAATCCTACCCTTTCCGGCAATATAACCCCTGAAGAAAGGAGGGATAAGGAAGATCCTGGCTGCATATCAAAGCCATGTGAAGTGTTAAAAAGAGTCTGTTGCCAAAATCTGACAGATAAGACCTAAAACTCCAAGAAGATGTAGCTCAGGGGAAAAAACTGACTGCACAGTTTACAAAGAGAAATAAATTTGAATTTCCTGGTGCTCCTTTTGTGTCCCGCTCCTCAAATTGTCTCTCTCAATCCCATTGCCCCTTCTTCTTAAATGATGAAACCAGATAAAATGATGAAACCAGAACAGATGATGAAGGGGATTTGGACATTTTCTGGTAAAGCATAATGTCCATATTCCCATACCCAAGCACCAAAAAAATAGCACTAACAGAACTAACTTTTATTGTTCAAGCTGTTCTCTTCTTCCAGAGACTATGACATTTCTGAGGGTGATGGGCTCCATTTTCAGCCATTATTGAGTTTATTTAGGAAATTAATACTATCTATGATGTATTTGCCTTCTCCTCAAAGAGTCAGAAAAACTTCTGTAGTTAAAGATGGATGGAGTCCTTCCCATCCTCCCAACCACATTATCTCCCCAGAATTCACAAGCAAATGTCATAATATATGATAACTTATCACCCTAAATAAAATTAAAATGGTGTTCATTTGAAAGACTGGCTGCAAAAGTGCTGCTAGGCAGAAAGTCACTCTCCAAACATAGAGGTGATGATGATGGGAGTGAATGTAAAGATTATGAAAATGAATATTCTTATGTAGGGAGTACTGTCTAATGGACTCCACTGTGAGGACTTTTCATCTTATGGTAATATTTCACTGTTTTTAGCTAAAAATTGCATCCAAATTCATTTTTAAAAAGTTGTCCCATGAAATGAGCAAAACCAAGGGACAATGATAACTCTCAAGAATTATTAAGCAACTAATTTTATGAAGTGTCCTTATTGAATAATGCCTTTCAAGCATAAATTCCTTCATGTTGTCCAGTGGCTTAAAACAATCAATCAGAATCAGAATCAATCACAATTACTTCCTGCTCTCCCCCTCTTTTCCACTTCTAACAGAAAAGCCTCTCTCCAGCCTGCTTAGGTTATCACCTTGCCAATGTTTAAAATGTGAAAGTGCATGAAAATATTAAATTTTCCATAGAAACTTTTCTGTCATATTCCTTTTTGCATAATATTTAAAGTTAGATATGTATAGAAATAGACCACTTAGAGAACTAAGTGGAAATAAACATGCCTTCTTTTTAAATCAGGTCACTTAGGGAACAGTCATTTACTCTATCTGTCAGCCTCCTTGCTCTCATTAGAAAATAACATGCTATAATGGTCGCTATGAAATGTTTTCTGATTGTCCACTAATACATGCATTTTTTCCTTTTTTACATTTATTTAAGACATTTTTCAGTAATGGAAAGAACTTTCATCTGACTACCTTAATCAAGGGTTACTTCCATATTGAAGTTCATCTTTTCCTCTCAGTCATAAACCATATGTTATCCCACAGTACTACAGAGTGAAGTGGAAAATTTAGGAGGATCTGACTCATTCATTCATTAAACAAATATTTAAGACCCACTATGTACTAAGCATATAAATGGGTGCATTTTGGTCCTGAGTGGGTGGCCTAGTGAGGTGATCAGCTTAATTTTTTTCGTGGGGTTTATAACCTGATGTCCCTTGAAAGGGCTTCAATGGATCCATGAATCTCCTAAAATTATGTAACAAATTACTTGTGTTTGTGTGTGTGCTGCTGTGCCTTTGTGCATTTTTTCTAGGGAGATAACCAAAGTTTTTCATCATATTCTTAAATTGCTGCTAAATATGCACCTTAGACTATAAGAATACAGCAAAAGGGTTATTTTCATTTATAAGACATTAAAATGAAACGAAGTTTTAATTTAATGAAGCCTCATCTATAGAATAGGCTGCCAAAAATCGAAATGGTTCCAATATCATTCCATTTTAAACTTCTCATAGAAATTGGATAGAAAATCTTGTGACGGTGCCATTGTAAAGTCAGGTTTGAGGGTTTAGCTCAAAGATGCAAGAGACTAAGGAGCCCGTTTCGAAACCTTTCCTGGCATTAGAATTGCCCAAGAGAGAGACTCAGGCTAATAAAAGCAAATGTAAACGGAAGACCTTTAAGCAGATAAAACTGTCATATTTTTCCTCATAAATAGAAAATTCAAGGCTGGAGATAATTTCTTTTATCTCATCCATTTCCTCTCTTGTTCTCTATTGCAAACAGCACGCCAGTGACTTTCCTCTTAATGTGTTTCAAAACATAATCCTAGACTGCGAGCAACTACTTTTCTAGCTTTTGTGTCTTTTGCTGATTGTTAGGGTTTAGTGAGTGGATGTTAATTACAACCCCGAGATTAGATGTAATAAAAACTCTGGGAGTGCCCCACCCTAACCTCTTTTTCTATTCTACTTAGTCGACAGACTCACTCATATTTTTTTAAAATGCAGATTTACTTGCAAACGCTTTAAAGCCAAGTATTTCAACTCTACTTTTACCTTGGGATCGCTACTCTAGTGAGGTTCTAATACACAGAACTTCCTCTTCCTGGCTAAAAGTTCTCCTAATGGTAAAAATGGGTCACTTCCCACCCTCCTGTCTTTGCTTTTTGGAGGAAAGACAAAGTGCAGAACTGAGAACAGGAGCATAATCATTGCGGACAAATGCTATTGAAATGCCATTTCCTCCCCAGAGGGATGAAAATACTCAGAGTCGATTTTTACTAATTTTCTCTAATGACAGGGAGCGAGGGTTGGAATAATAAGAATGTAATAAAAGAACAACAGTTGAAAACAAACATTCCTCCCCCAGCCCCGGTTAAGATTAAAGTGGAACGGCCACTTCCCTCGCCCTGGCTCCCAGCAGTCGCCCACTGGCTTGCTGGTTAGGCTGTGATCGCGATCGCTTTGACTTCTCTCGCGCTGCCGCAGACCTGCATTCAGCCCCCACGCCTGAGAGACGCCTGCTTTGATAGTTATGAGGGCTTTAGCCATTTATTAGTGCTGGAGCTGATTCGTTTGCGTGTCGGGCGGGTGTGAGGGTTAGGTACCGTATTATGTACCAGGTCAGTGCTGTAGCCTTCTCGCCTGCCTCAACACTTGGGTTAGAAGAAAGGACGTTGTAAGATGGCAATGGATTTTAGGCCAATTTGCCTCTGCCAACTTGTAGGAAGGAAGCTGGAGCTTCCCTGAGAGGCCAGGGTGAAGAGGTTGCTTTGCCGTCGGGGACTTAGTGGCTAAACTGGAGGGTCCGTTGCCAGCCAAGCACTGTGAACCTAAATTGAGCATCACCAGCTTTGGGGGCGGGGAGGGGGGAGACAGCCCGCTCAGATGGGTAAGGGTTTGGAAATGGAACAGTCAAGCAGCAGTGCCTGAACAACGGGACACTACAGCTGCCCTCTCGCTTCATTCACCCGTTGAGCTTTCTCATGCATCTCTTTTCCCATGTGGGCAACTACAGGGTTGCATCCTGATCCTTGTGGCTTAACATACCCATTGTCCACTCACTCGCTTTCTTCATGGAGCAGCGAAAGGCGAAAATCACCTCTAGGGTAGGTTTAGTCCCAATCGCTGCACTCAGTGAGTGAGTTTTGAGCCCAGGCGAATGCGAGGGAGATGCCTAATAGGCCAGCCAGCCATATAGGGGTCGCCTCAGCTAAGCCCTCTTGGGAGAGGCCTGAGAAGTACGAGGGCAGGCCGACCAAGAGAAGTAGCGGAGAAGGGAAGGAAGGAAAAGTGTGTGGGCATTGGAATTGATTACTCACCCGTCACCTGCACCGTCTTGCGCATCCATGCATAGGGGCTGTGGCGGCTCCTGCTGGGGGAACTGGCCTTGGCGGCGCCTGCGTCCGTCGGGACAAGCGACCCGCCAGCCTGGCCTGGTAGGCTGCTGCCGCTAGTTCCACCGCCCACAGGGCCCAAGTTGCTGTAGTCGGTCGAGCAGAAAGCGGCGGGGCTAGAGGTCACGTCGTTCACCGGCACTGTGCCCATTGTACTAGACGGCCCAGGATACACGCTCCAGTCTTCTCGCGGGGGACTGTAGGGTGAGCCCCAGACTCCCAGAGACGGCCAGTGAGGATCCATGCTGGGCATATGAGGATACCCCATATAGTGCGAGAAAGCCGGTGCCGCAGCGAAATTGGAGGCTGGCATCGGACTCCCACCGCCCCCTGTGCCGCCTGTCCCAGCTGTGCCGTCGCCCCCAGGGCTCATGAGAGTGCCCGGGTACATGCCTGCTTCTTTCTCCAAAAGACAGCTTCCGTACATCGTGTCTTGGGTAGAAGGCGCTCCCTAAGCCATCCTGAAGTCCCTGTAAGGCCCCAACTCGACTTTGAGAAGCAGCAGAGAATAAACTTATCAGTACGTAGTTGTGCCGCAAGCTCTTTTGCACCCCTCAGGCTACTCCATCCCACGTTTCTTACGAGGGTATCCAGGTGACTAGCAGCCCTGTATAGATAGGCCACCAATGGCTGGGCTGACGTCAAGGGGCTTCAGGCTTTTACATAGCATTTGCATTCAAATGAAGGGCCATTTCACTTTCACAGGAACTTGTTCACCCACTCCCCAAGCTCCCAGGCCTTTCTGTCTCATCTTTCTTGATTCTGTCCATCTGGTCCCCATAGCGTCAGTATTGTGCTTTTGGGGACAGGAACTCCTCCAGGGATTTCTGACCAGCTCCCCTCAAAGTCAGATAGAGACCTGCAGAAACCGGGCAAAGTTCCGCTCTCTAGGATTCAGTCCTTACACCGCGGCCTCCTCCCTTTCACCGATCTTCCCGCGTCCAACCTGCATCTGCAGTCTCCTTCTGCCCAATTCCCTCGCAGGGGTTTACTGCATGGCACTGGCCCAGGATGCCAATGAAAAGAGCTTTCCCTTACTCTCCTTACTCCCTCCATCAAGAGGACGCCTTTGTTTCCAAGGGCAAAGATTCATTTCACAACTCTCTGTTGAGCGTCTACTGTGTGCCAGGTACTGTGTAGGCATGGGGATACAGCAGTGAATAAAAGACAAAAATTCTTGCTCTGCCTTCCTAAGATTACACTGTAGTGGATGGCAGGCTGAATTAATAGAACGTTGTTTACAAATATGCACAAATTAAAGAAAGATGAGTAACGTAGGTTATGCAAAATGGTAGGAGAGAGAGAGAACCATGTGGATAATAAACTTTCCTATTTTCATGTCAATCCACTACTCTCAGGTGTCTCCTTCTGCCAGGTATGGCTTCTGTCTGAAATCCAGTGCCTCAAGGGGCCAGAACTCTTGCAGTCTCAAATCCATGGCAGCTGCAGCAAACTAAAAAAGTTTTCTTTGTAAAACTCCAATTGTTGAAAAAGACATAGACTTGCTAGTAGATGCCAATGAAATCAGTATCTTGCCTCAAGAAACCAGGTCTCCTCTTGTGTTCCTCCTCTCCACCCAGCACCCCCAAGACCTACCACAGCCTTTACTCCAGGCTGCTTCCTACTCAGGAAATGTGCTCCTACACAAAATCCAACATAACCTGGCACCCCCACCCCCTTTTAGCTAATCCATCTATGGCTTTGGGAAAGTCACTTAACCTCTCTGAGTTTCACGGGTTTTCCCTTTTAAAAATAGAGAACCTAATGGTATCTACCTTACAAGCAGGATTTCCTCAGATAATGCAAGCAAACTGCTTAACTTAGTGCTTGGCACACAGTATGGGACCACTGTATTCACTCAGCAAATATTTATTGAGTACTTAGTGCTGTTCTATGTATGGAGACATCAGTGGTGAGCAGATAAAGCCTCCGGCTTTATTAAGCATATATCATAGTGGGGAGAAACACTGATAAGTAATTAAATTTTATGGTATATCAGACAGTAATCAACTCTATGGAGAAAAAAAAAAGCAGGGAAGGAATATACGGAATGCTGGGAGGTGGACGTCACAATTTTAAATGTGATAGTCTAGGATGACTTCACAGATAATTGACATTTAACTAAAATATGAAAGAGTTAATGGAGTGAGGTAAGAGGACAGAGGATTCAGAAGAAAGAAACAAGTGAAAACAGAATGTTCATTTTCTGTTGGAGAAAGTGCAAGGAAGACAGTGTAGCTAAAGACTAGATGAGGTCTAAAAGCTGAAGGGAAATAGGCCATTGCAAAAATTCTAGTTTTTGCTTTGAGATAGGGAGACATTGTAGGGTTTAGAGCAGAGGAGTGACATGATTTGAGTTAAATTTTGAGTGGCTCTCTCTGGCCATTGGATCAAAAATAGACTGTAAGTAGACAGAATCAGGCAGATTTAAAAAAAAGACTATTGCAATAATACAGGTGAATGGCAGTGTGGGTGGAGATAAGTGGTTGGATTCGGTATATATTTTGAAACTTGTTTCAGAGAAGAAGGAAAATGAGTAATTGATCAGAAAAGACCAATTAAAGTCTGGTGCTGGGGAGAAGGGACTAAGAGGCAGGAAAGTAACATACCTATTGGCACTTTTTACACTTTTTGCACATTATTTTATCTTCACAACAGCCCCATGAGTTATTGTCATTCCCATTTTAGAGATGTAGAAACTGAGGCTCAGAGAGGTGGCATGACTATTTAAATGCACATGGCTGGTGTGTGGTAAAGCTAGGTTCAAATTCTGGGCCACCCTGACTGCAAGGCATGTGTTCTTCAATTGGTACCAGGCCCAAATACACAACATCAGCGTTTAGAACTGGGGCTTAGCTTCTATTTTCTTTCTTTGCTCAAGCTTTCAGGCCTGGCATTCAAGTCTTCACAGTATAGATCCAATTACCTCGCATTATTCTTTCACCTATTCAATTCTGAAGCAAAGTATACTATCTGATATTTGAAAAAATATGTCAGAGTGGAAGCACATGGAGGATCTTTAGAAGTTAACAAACCCAATCTTATTATTTAACAGATTAGGAAACTGATGGCTTAAGAGAGGAAGGTAATCTTTAAGGAAGTAAACCCAGGTCCATTGACTACCAGGTCAGCACTCTTTCCACTAAAATAAAAGTATCTTTGCATATGCAATTCCTTCGACTAGTCTGTTTCTTTCTACAATCTTCTAATTGTGGAAAGAAAAAGAAGTGTTCAAAATCTCCAAATTTTTCTTTAAGAGATGTAGTCTCACTTGTCACCCAGGCTGGAGTACAGTGGCACTATCATAGCTCACTACAGCCTCGAACTCCTGGGATGAAGCAATCCTTCCACCTCAGCCTTCTGAGTAGCTGGGACTACAGGCACGTTACCAACTTACCCAGCTGTCTCTATTCTTCAAGGTTCAGTTGAAATGTGCCCTTCTCGCTAAAGCCCTATGTAGTGATGCTCCTCTCAGAAAACACTCTTCCTCTTCTGTGAATCTCATTATCAATTCCCCTTCCCAATGGACTGATGGAGACTATTTTGTCTACCTTAGAGTTATTTGAGATCTTATCTGAATCTTCTGAAATTTGAGCACCTTGAAGGGGTATGGGGAAGTATTTTTGAACCCATTGGAATAAAGCTCCCTTGTACATGGTAGGGTCTTGGGAAATATTTGTGTAATGAATCAGTAAATGACCTTGGAATTGTAGATTGGAAATCACTATTTGATCCAGCTCCAGGGATGTCTGGAAGAGAAGTGAGTAAGAACATTGCCCAGTGGTTTTTGTTTGTGTGGTGATGGGGAGGAACAGACAGGGAGGTTTAGTCTAGTTTATTTAATGGAACTTTTGATTTATTTCTTAACCTGAAGATTAACCAGAGAGGTGGCTTCTCTGCAGCGATCTTACTGCCACTAGGGAGTAGTCTCTTAGCTTTTCTGAGACTTAGAGAGGCAGGTATCAAATAGGGCATCTGTTGGACTCTGCGCTGACTCCTACTGATCAGATTTGTTTTAAGGCTTCAGGGAGATAACGAATGTGAAATTGCTTTGTAAAGAATGAGGTCCGCCTGTGATGAACTATGGAGCTCTGGATAAACCTTTTCTTTAGCAGCCTTAATGCTTTGGGAGAATCCAAGTGCCTGGTAAATATTCTCTAAGCCTGGTATGGCCTCTCAGTTCTGTGATAGTAGCCAAAGGCTACTCTCCACCCTACTACACCCCTCCCTAACCCTTTTCCACTACCCTGGCTCAGATTCAGGCCTGATCTGGGTCTCTGTGCTATGGAACTTGGCTCCAGTCATCAATCATTGGGCCCTCCTACTACTGGGAGGGAGATGAGGAATGCAGAGTTTAAGTTCTTTTTTGTTTATATGGTAACTGAAGCTGAGAGTAGGGCAGGGTCTTACCCAAGGCAGACACTATTAGGTGATCTGTGGAACTGTGACCTAAACCCAAGCGTGGCTGACTGTAGACCTCTGCAAGGCACTCCACCTCTCTCAGCCTCAGTTTCCAACACACAACAAATGGGGCAGACAATAGAGACCATTCTATAGGGACGTTGGGAGAATTAAGTGCACTAGTAGTGTGCTCAGTAAATAGCCATTATTATTGTCATCTGGAGAGTGGCTGGGACTTCACAGCGTGTGGGCCTACTGTGCCTCTTCTGGTTCACATCCATGCATGGAAAATGCTTAGCAATTGGAATGAAGGCCCAGAGAAATTTAACATGCTGCTTGTTGCCTCTCCATTCAAGCTTTACACTCTGGGCTCTGAACATAGCCCCCATTCACTCACTCACTCCTATCTCCCTCCTCAATCCCTTTGGAACTTTAGCAACATCAGTGCTTGGGTTTCTGGAAGGAGGGAAGACTCAAGCCCTTTCCGTCCACCTTCTTGATCACTGTGATGGGCTTTTGCACTTCCAGGACTAGATACTCTGGAAAATGAGCAACACTAGGCTCTGGGCCTGCCCTAAAGTGTCACCGTTGAGGCAGGACCTAGGTATGTTTTGGAGAAAAATTAAGATTCTTTTGTGGGAACATGAGTAGTAAGGGCAAGTACCAACTGGAGTGGTGGAGGACCGGGGCTCTATACCCACCCTGTCATCGGATCTAGCTGCCTGGTTCTGGATTAGGGTAAAAAGAATGAGAAAGGCCCAGGGCTCTGAGATGAAGACCAAAGGACAAAGCCGTGAAGAAACAGGCTTCTTTGGCATCCAAGGATGGCTCAACTCTGGGAAAGAGGTGTATATGAGGAGGCAGGTAGGGCTCAATGACTAATGCCGAGAACCCAGACTTGAAAGGGATGTGTAGGGGAGGGATTTTGCAGAAGAGAGAGAGAAAAGAAAGATAGGCCAATGAAGAATGGGGGAACCGTGCAAACTCAACACTCTAGCCATGGTAGGAGAGTCTCAAACTAACAGTCTGAGAGGATGAAGGAGGCCAATTCTCTCTCTAAAATAAAAAGATAAGTACAAGTCCTGGCTGTCTGCTTGGAGAAAGAAAACCAGAAGTCTAGTTCACAGAGCAGGCACTTTAGGCTAGAGCCTGTGCTGGGTCCTTGCTTGTGCAAACTCCCATCAGGCTAACTATAATCAAAGGGAGTAGATAGGATCAGCCTTATTTTACAGAGGTGAAGAATACAGAACTAAACCCAGTAATGGGATCAGTTGTAATGTCATTTTTGTCATTTCTTATTGTCTTACTTTGATCTCCCTGTTTTCTTTGTTAAAATATTTAAATTTTTTTCTTGAGATTTCTTCTTTGTCTTATGTGTTGTTTTAAAGTGTATTGGTTAATCTCCAAGTATTTTGGGGCTTTCTACATAACTTTCTTTTATTGATTTCTAGTTTAATTCCATTGTGGTGAAAGCAGATGTTGTATGATTTCTATTCTTTTAAATTTTTTAAGTTGTGTGTTATAGGTTAGAATGTCATCTATGTTGATTAATGTTTCACGTGAACTTAAGAAGAATGTGTATTCTTCTGTTGTTGGATGCAGTGGTCTACAGTGTCAATTATATTTAGTTGCTTGTGATATTGAGTTCAACTGTGTCCTTAATAACTTTCTGCATGGTAGATCTGTCCATTTCTGACAGAGGGGTATTAATGTCTTCAAAAAATATAACAGTGGATTCTTCCATTTCTCTTTGATGTTCTGTAAGTTTTTACCTCATGCATTTTGATGTTCTCTTTTTCAGTGTGTACACATTATGAAATGTTATTTCTTCATGTGTCTTTTGGCTGCATAAATGTCTTCCTTTGAGAAGTGTCTGTTCATATCCTTCACCCACTTTTTGATGGGGTTGTTTGTTTTTTTCTTGTAAATTTGTTTGAGTTAATTGTAGATTCTGGATATTAGCCCTTTGTCAGATGAGTAGATTGCAAAAATTTTCTCCCATTCTGTAGGTTGCCTGTTCACTCTGATGGTAGTTTCTTTTGCTGTGCAGAAGCTCTTTAGTTTAATTAGATCCCATTTGTCAATTTTTGCTTCTGTTGCCATTGCTTTTGGTGTTTTAGACATGAAGTCCTTGCCCATGCCTATGTCCTGAATGGTAATGCCTAGGTTTTCTTCTAGGGTTTTTATGGTTTTAGGTCTAACATTTAAGTCTTTAATCCATCTTGAATTAATTTTTGTATAAGATGTAAGGAAGGGATCCAGTTTCAGCTTAAAATGCTCATCATCACTGGCCATGAGAGAAATGCAAATCAAAACCACAATGAGATACCATCTCACACCAGTTAGAATGGCGATCATTAAAAAGTCAGGAAACAATGTGCTGGAGAGGATGTGGAGAAATAGGAACACTTTTACACTGTTGGTGAGACTGTAAACTAGTTCAACCATTGTGGAAGTCAGTGTGGCGATTCCTCAGGGATCTAGAACTAGAAATACCATTTGACCCAGCCATCCCATTACTGGGTATATACCCAAAGGATTATAAGTCATGCTGCTCTAAAGACACATGCACACGTATGGTTATTGCAGCACTATTCACAATAGCAAAGACTTGGAACCAAGCCAAATGTCCAACAATGATAGACTGGATTAAGAAAATGTGGCACATATACACCATGGAATACCATGCAGCCATACAAAAGGATGAGTTCATGTCCTTTGTAGGGACATGGATGAAGCCGGAAACCATCATTCTCAGCAAACTATCACAACGACAAAAAAACAAACACTGCATGTTCTCACTCATAGGTGGGAATTGAACAATGAGAACACATGGACACAGGAAGGGGAACATCACACACTGGGGCCTGTTGTGGGGTGGGGTCGGGGAGAGATAGCATTAGGAGATATACCTAATGTTAAATGACGAGTTAATGGGTGCAGCACACCAACATGGCACATGTATACATATGTAACAAACCTGCACGTGGTGCACATGTACCCTAAAACTTAAAGTATAATAAAAAAAAGCAATTGTTGCTTTATAATCATTATCATGAAGCAAAAATAATAGCCAATATAAAATAATTAACCTATTTACTACCTCATCTTAAATATATTAAGAAACTTCAAGATGGCATTAATACTATCCTAATCTGCTCCACTTAACAAGTTGATATTTAAGATGCTTCCATTTTCAAGTATCACTACCCACTGTACATTTAGAAAACCTACTTGTGAAAATCTGTTTTATTTAATTTCTTAGAAAACTACTAGTTCAAAGAAAACCTACTTTGTGAATGCTATTTGACTTGCTACCTCATTATCTCATCTTTACAACAATTAGTTAATATTGATCTCAAAAAGAGCATAATGCAAAGTGAAAGAATTATTATAATCTGAAGACAAGAAAACAAGTTTATATTACAAAAGTAAGCAATACTCAAGATCAGGTATTTTTAAGCATATAGCACATTGTAGTCATAATTAGCTCACTGTCAGTTAGAAATATACGTACACATTTTTCAAAATAAGTCTTTTAAATATAGTCTTGCAAGTATCTTTCTAGCTTAAGAATTTGAAATAGGAATTAAGTATGAACCTTAAATCACTCATGTTTATAACTAGAAGAGCAAGTCCCAAGGATATAAATCTCACCCAATGAGACAAGGGATGCTGAATGTATTATTAATTGCTAAGCAATCTCTTAATTTTAGAATCTAGCATGCAACGCTAGCAAATAAATAATGTAATTTATGAGCCTGCACTCTCATGCTGCTTTACTAGAGTTCAATAAACACATGCAGATCCAAAAAAAAAAACACAAACGAAATGTTATTTCTTGTTGGAGCACTGACTTCTTTATCAGTATGTAATAACCCTCTTATTCCTGATAACTTTCCTTTCTCTAAAGTTGGCTGTGTCTGAAATTAATATAGCTACTTCAACTTTCGTTGTGTTTGCATGCCATGTCTTTCTCCACCCATTTACTTTAAGTTTATACATGTCTTTATATTTAAAGTGGGCTCCTTGTAGACAACATACAGTTGGATATTTTTGGATCCACTTTAACTGTATGTGTCTTTTAATTGGTGTATTTAGACCATGGGTGCAGTTTAAAGTGATTGTTGATATAGTTGGATTAATATATACAATATTTGTTATGTTTTCTATATGTTACCTTTGTGTTTTTTCATATTTTTGTCTTTCACACTGCTATGGTCTGTGTTTCCCCAGAATTCATATGGAGAAGTCTTAACTCCTGAGGTGATGGTATGACAAAGGGGAGCCTTTAGGAAGTGATTAAGTCATGAGGACTCCACTTTCACGTACAGAATTAGTGACCTTATGAAAGAAGCCTGAAGGAGCTTGGTCACCCATTCTGCCATGTGAGGACACAGCTAGAAAATGTCATCTATGAGGAAATAGACCTTACCAGACACTAAATTTGCTGGGGCCTTGATCTTAGATTTGCAGCCTCCAAAACTGAGCAATAAATTTGTGTTGTTTATAAGTTTCCCAGTCTAAGGTATTTTGTTATAGTGGCCTCAAAAAATGAAGAAACATACTTTTGCTGACTTTTTGTGGTTTTAATTAGGCTTTTAATATAATTTCAACTTATCTCATTTCTTAGCACATCAATTGATATGGTTTGCCTGTGTCCCCACCCAAATCTCAGCTTGAATTGTAATAATTCCCACCTGTCAAGGGCAGGGCCTGGTGGAGATAATTAAATCATGGGAAGTTTCTGCATACTTTTCTCATGGTAGTGAATAAGTCCCATGAGATCTGATAGTTTTATAAATGGGAGCTCCCCTGCACAAGCTCCCTCTTGCCTGATGCCATGTAATATGTGTCTTGCTTCCCCTTCATCTTCCACTATGTTTGTGAGGCCTCCCCAACCATGTGCAACTGTGAATCATTTAAACCTCTTTCCTTTATAAGTTACCCAGTCTTGGGTATGTGTTTATTAACCATGTGAGAACAGGCTAATACAGTAAATTGGTATTGGGAGTGGGGCACTGCTGTAAAGACACCTAAAAATGTGGAAGCAACTTTGGAACTGGGTAACAGGCAGGCGTTGGGCCAGTTTGGAGCCTCAGAAGAAGCCAGAAAAATGTGGGAAAGTTTGGAATTTCCTAGAGACTTTTTTGTTGGTTTTGACCAATTTGGATAGTGATATGGACAATAAAGTCCAGGCTGAGGTGGTCTCAGATGGAGATGAGGAACTTGCCAGGAACTGGAGCAAAGGTGACTCTTGCTATGTTTTAGCAAAGAGACTGGTGGTATTTTGTCCTTGCTCTAGAGATTTGTGAAACTTTGAACTTGAGAGAGATGATATAGAGTATCTGGAAGAAAAAATTTCTAAGCAGGAAAGTGCTCAAGAGGAAGGAGAGCATAAAAGTTTGAAACATTTGCAGACCTAATGATGCAGTAGAAAAGAAAAATCCATTTTCTGGGGAGAAATTCAAGCCATCAGCAGAAATTTGCATAAGTAACGAGGAGCAAAATGCTAATTGCCAAGACAATGGGGAAAATGTCTCCAGGGCATGTCAGAGACCTTTGTATCAGCCCCTCCCATCATAAGCTTGGAGGCCTAGGAGGGAAAAATGGTTTCCTGGGGTGGGTACAGGGCCCCAGTGCTGTGTGCAGCCTTGAGATTGGTGCCCTGCATCCCAGCTGCTCCAGCCTTGGCTTAAAGGGGACAAGGTATGGCTCAGGCTGTGGATTCAGAGGGTGCAAGCCTTGAGCCTTGGCAGCTTCCATGTGGTGTTGAGCCTATGCATGAACAGAAGTCAAGAACTGAGGTTCAAGAACCTCTGCTTATATTTCAGATGATGTGTGGAAATACCTGGATTTCCTGACAGAAGTTTGCTGCAGGGGTGGAGCCCTCATGGATTACCTCTGCTAAGGCAGTGCAGAAGGCATATGTGGGCTTGAAGCCCCCACACAGAGTCCCCACTGAGGCACTGCCTAGTGGAGCTGTGAGAAGAGGGCCACTATCCTTCAGACTCCAGAATGGTAGATCCACCAACAGCTTGCACTGTGCACCTGGAAAAGCCACAGACTCAATGTCAGCCCATGAAAGCAGCCAGGAGGGGAGCTGTATCCTGCAAAGCCACAGGATGGAGCTGCCCAAGACCATGGGAACCCACCTCTTGCATCAGCATGACCTGCATGTGAGACATGGAGTCAAAGGAGATCATTCTGGAGCTTTAAGATTTGACTGCCCTTTGGATTTCAGAAGGGCCTGTGGCTCCTTCATTTTGGCCAATTTCTCTCATTTAGAACAAGTGTATTTACCCAATGCCTGTACCCCCATTGTATCTAGGAAGTAACTAACTTGCTTTTGATTTTACAGGCTTATAGGTAGAAGAGACTTGCCTTGTCTCAGATAAGACTTTGGACTGTGGACTTTTGATTTATGCTGAAATGAGTTAAGACTTTAGAGGACTGTTGGGAAGACATGATTGGTTTTGAAATGTGAGGATGTAAGATTTGTGAGGGGATGGGGTGGAATGCTACAGTTTGGCTGTGTCCCCACTCAAATCTCATTTTGAATTGTAATAGTATCCATATGTCAAGGGCGGGGCAAAGTGGTGATAATTGAATGATGTGAGGCAATTTTGTCCATACTGTTCTCATGGTAGTGAATAAGTCTCATGAGATCTAATGGTTTTATTAATGGGAGTTCCCTTGCATAAACTCTCTCTTGCCTGCTGCCACATAAGACATCTCATGCTTTGTTTTTGCATTCCACCATGATTGTGAGGTCTCCCCAGCCATGTGGAACTGTGAGTCAATTAAACCTCTTTTCTTTATAAATTACCCAGTCTTGGGTGTGTCTTTACTAGCAGCACGAGAACAGACTAAAACATCAATTATGTATTTTTTTCTACTTTATTTAGGTGTCTCTTTAGTTTGCAATATAAATTTACAACTAATCCAAGTTCATTTTTAAATAATATTATACTGCTTCACAGCTGGTACAGGTACATTATAATAACAAAATATTTTCTATTCTTTCTTTCTGAAATTTCTATTATAGCTGTAATTCACTTCTCTTATATATAAGCACACACACACACACACACAGGGTTGCTATTTCTATTTTGGACAAAGTGTTTTCTGTTAGATCAATTAAGATAAAAATATAAATTTTTTATTTTACTTTCACTTATTCTTTTTCTAATATTCTTTCTTTCTTTAAATACATCCAAGTTTCTGACAAATATTTCTTTCATTATTCCTGAGGAGCTTCTTTTAACTTTATGAGACCATTCTTCTGGTGACACACGTTCTCAGTTCTTGTTTGTCTGACAAAATGTTTATTTCATCTTCACTTTTGAAAGATAATTTCATAGGATACAGAAGTTTAAGATGCTGGATTTCTTTTCTCTCGATACTTTACATATTTCATTCTAATTTATTTTTACTTCTCAGCAAGTAAGCCATTTTTTAAACTTCTGTATCTTTTTTAAACTTCTTACATCTTTTCCTTATCTTTGATTTTCTGCAGTTTAAATATGATAAGACTAAGTGTAGCTTTTTCTTTTATTCCTTTTTTTTTTTTTTTGGAATCATCCTGGTTGATTCTCTTAGTGTCCTGATTGTTGTTAAGTGTTTGACATTAATTTCAGAAAATTCTCAGTCACTTCAAATATTTCTTTTTTTTCTCTTTCTTCTCCTTATGGTGTTCCCAGTATGCATAGTTACATCTTTTGTTGTCCCACTATTGTTAGATATTCTGTTCCTTTTTCAAATATTTTTCTCTTTGCTTTTCAGTTTTGGAAGACTATTGTCATATCCCCAAGCTGAGAGATTTTTTTTCTCCCCCATGTCCAGCCTGCTGATGAGACAATCAGAAGCATTTTTTATTTCTGTTGCATACCATATTTTGATTTATAGTATTTATTTATTTACTCATTTGAAAATTTGATTAAAATATAATTCACTGTTCAAAAATAACAACGTTTTTTGTACTTATAAATTATATAGACATAAAATGTATGACCACAATCGCACAAAAGATAGAAAGCGTAAATAGATGTACATTGTTGTAAGGTCTTATACATGAAGTAATATAATATTATTTGAAGGTAGGCTGTAATAGAATAAATACACATATGCAAAACCAGAAGCCAAAAAAAAAAAACTCTCCAAATAAGTGCAGCTAAAAAAATTCAAATACAGGAAGATAAAATGGAAAGCTGCAAAAGCAAATCAAGTAATTCAAACGAAGTCAGAAAAGAAAAAAAGAACAACAAATAACAATAAAAAGAACAAATGTTACACGTGGAAAACATAGCAAGATGATAAACTTAATCTAACCATATAGAAAATTACATTAAGCATAAATGGTTCACATAGTCAAGTAAAAACAAAGACCAACTTTCTGCTGTCTACAAAAACTCATTTAAATAAAGAAGCACAGACAGGTTAAAATTAAAAGGATAGAAAAAGATATGATTGCAAACACTTATCAAATAAAGTGCAGTGGCTATATTAATATTGAAAAATAGACTTCAGGTGGATCCAAGATGGCCGAATAGGAACATCTCCAGTCTACAGCTCCCAGCATGAGTGATGCAGAAGATGGGTGATTTCTGCATTTCCAACTGAGGTACCGGGTTCATGTCACAAGGAGTGCCAGACAGTGGGTGCAGGACAGTGGGTGCAGTGCACTGTGTGTGAGCCGAAGCAGGGCGAGGCAGCGCCTCAACTGGGAAATGCAAAGGGTGAGGGAATTCCCTTTCCTAGTCAAAGAAAGGGGTGACAGATGGCACCTGGAAAATCAGGTTAGTCCTACCCTAATACTGCGCTTTTCCAACGAGCTTAACAAATGGCACACCAGGAGATTATATCCCGCATCTGGCTCAGAGGGTCCTACGCCCATGGAGCCTCGCTCATTGCTAGCACAGCAGTCTGAGATCAAACCGCAAGGCGGCAGCAAGGTTGGGGGAGGGGTGCCTGCCGTTGCCCAGGCTTGAGTAGGTAAACAAAGCGGACAGGAAGCTCGAACTGGGGGGAGCCCATAGTTCAAGGAGGCCTGCCTGCCTCTGTAGGCTCCACCTCTGGGGGGAGGGCACAGACAAACAATAGACAGCAATAACCTCTGCAGACTTAAAAGTCCCTGTCTGACAGCTTTGAAGAGAGCAGTGGTTCTCCCAGCATGCAGCTTGAGATCTGAGAATGGGCAGACCACCTCCTTAAGTAGGTCCCTGACCCCCGAGTAGCCTAACTGGGAGGCAACCCCCAGTAGGGGCAGACTTACTCCTCTGAGACAAAACTTCCAGAGGAATAATCAGGCAGCAGCATTTGCAGTTCACCAATATCCAGTGTTCCGCAGCCACCGCTAATGATACCCAGGCAAACAGGGTCTGGAGTGGACCTCCAGTAAACTCCAACAGACCTGCAGCTGAGGGTGCTGACTGTTAGAAGGAAAACTAACAAACAGAAAGGACATCCACACCAAAAACCCATCTGTACGTCACCATCATCAAAGACTACAGGCAGATAAAACCACAAAGATGGGGAAAAAACAGAGCTGAAAAACTGGAAACTCTAAAAATCAGAGCACCTCTCCTCCTCCAAAGGAACGCAGCTCCTCACCAGCAATGAAACAAAGCTGGATGGAGAATGACTTTGATGAATTGAGAGAAGAAGGCTTCAGAAGATCAAATTGCTCCAAGCTAAAGGAAGAAGTTCAAACCAAGGGCAAAGAAGTTAAAGGCTTTGAAAAAAAATTAGATGAATGGACAACTAGAATAACCAATGCAGAGAAGTCCTTAAAGGACCTGATGGAGCTGAAAACCATGGCATGAGAACTATGTGACGAACGCACAACCCTCAGTAACTGATGCGATCAACTGGAAGAAAGGGTATCAGCGATGGAACACAAAATGAATGGAATGAAGCATGAAGAGAAGTTTAGAGAAAAAAGAATAAAAAGAAATGAACAAAGCCTCCAAGAAATATGGGACTATGTGAAAAGACCAAATCTACGTCTAATTGGTGTATCTGAAAGTGACAGGGAGAATGGAACCAAGTTGGAAAACACTCTGCAGGATATTATACAAGAGAACTTCCCCAATCTAGCAAGGCAGGCCAACATTCAAATTCAGGAAATACAGAGAACGCCACAAAGATACTCCTCGAGAAGAGTAACTCCAAGACACATAATTGTCAGATTCACCAAAGTTGAAATGAAGGAAAAAATGTTAAGGGCAGCCAGAGAGAAAGGTCGGGTTACCCACAAAGGGAAGCCCATCAGACTAACAGCTGATCTCTCAGCAGAAACTCTACAAGCCAGAAGAGAGTGGGGGCCAATATTAATCATTCTTAAAGAAAAGAATTTTCAACCCAGAATTTCATATCCAGCCAAACTAAGCTTCATAAGTGAAGGAGAAATAAAATACTTTACAGACAAGCAAATGCTGAGAGATTTTGTTACCACCAGGCCTGCCTTAAAGAGCTCCCGAAGGAAGCACTAAACATGGAAAGGAAAAACCGGTACCAGCCACTGCAAAAACATGCCAAATTGTAAAGAGCATCCAGGCTAGGAAGAAACTGCATCAACTAACGAGCAAAATAACCAGCTAACATCATAATGACAGGATCACTTTCACACAGAACAATACTAACCTTAAATGTAAATGGGCTAAATGCTCCAATTAAAAGGCACAGACTGGCAAATTGGATAAAGAGTCAAGACCCATCAGTGTGTTGTATTCAGGAAACCCATCTCATGTACAGAGACATACATAGGCTCAAAATAAAGGGATGGAGGAAGATCTACCAAGCAAATGGAAAACAAAAAAAGGCAGGGGTTGCAATCCTAGTCTCTGATACAACAGACTTTAAACCAACAAAGATCAAAAGAGACAAAGAAGGCCATTACATTATGGCAAAGGGACCAATTCAACAAGAAGAACTAACTATCTTAAATATATATGCACGCAATACAGGAGCACCCAGATGCAAAAAGCAAGTCCTGAGTGACATACAAAGAGACTTAGACTCCCACACATTAATAATGGGAGACTCTAACACCCCACTGTCAACATTAGACAGATCAATGAGACAGAAAATTAACAAGGATATCTAGAAATTGAACTCAGTTCTGCACCGAGCAGACCTAATAGACATCTACAGAACTCTCCACCCCAAATCAGTGGAATATACATTCTTTTCAGCACCACACCACACCTATTCCAAAATTGACCACAGAGTTGGAAGTAAAGCACTCCTCAGCAAATGTAAAAGAACAGAAATTATAACAAACTGTCTCTCAGACCACAGTGCAATCAAACTAGAACTCAGGATTAAGAAACTCACTCAAAACCACTCGACTACATGGAAACTGAACAACCTGCTCCTGAATGACTACTGGGCACAAAATGAAATGAAGGCAGAAATAAAGATGTTCTTCAAAACCAACGAGAACAAAGACACAACATACCAGAATTTCTGGGACACATCCAAAGCAGTGTGTAGAGGGAAATTTATAGGACTAAATTCCCACAAGAGAAAGCAGGAACGATCTAAAATTGACACCCTAACATCACAACTGAAAGGACTAGAGAAGCAAGAACTAACACATTCAAAAGCTAGCAGAAGGCAAGAAATAACTAAGATCAGAGCAGAACTGAAGGAAATAGAGACACAAAAAAACCCTTCAAAAAATCAATGAATCTAGGAGCTGGTTTTTTGAAAAGATCAACAAAATTGATAGACCACCAGCAAGACTAATAAAGAAGAAAACAGAGAAGAATCAAATAGACACAATAAAAAATGACAAAGGGGATATCACCACTGATCCCACAGAAATACAAACTAGCATCAGAGAATACTATAAACACCACTATGCAAATAAACTAGAAAATCTAGAAGAAATGGATAAATTCCTCAACACATACACCATCCCAAGACTAAACCAGGAAGAATTTGAATCTCTGAATAGACCAATAACAGGCTCTGAAATTGGGGCAATAATTAACAGCTTATCAACCAAAAAAAGTCCAGGACCAGATGGATTCACAGCCGAATTCTACCAGAGCTACAAGGAAGAGCTGGTACCATTCCTTCTGAAACTGTTCCAATCAATAGAAAAAGAGGGAATCCTCCCTTACTCATTTTATGAGGCCAGCATCATCCTGATACCAAAGCCTGGCAGAGACACAGCAAAAAAAGAGAATTTTAGACCAATATCCTTGATGAACATTGATGCAAAAATCCTCCATAAAATACTGGCAAAACGAATCCAGCAACACATCAAAAAGCTTATCCAGCATGATCAAGTGGGCTTCATCCCTGGGATGCAAGGCTGGTTCAACATATGAAAATCAGTAAACGTAATCCAGCATATAAACAGAACCAAAGACAAAAATCACATGATTATCTCAATACATGCAGAAAAGGTCTTTGACAAAATTCAACAGCCCTTCATGCTAAAAACTCTCAATAAATTAGGTATTGATGGGACGTATCTCAAAATAATAAGAGCTGTCTTTGACAAACCCACAGCCAATATCATACTGAATGGACAAAAACTGCAAGCATTCCCTTTGAAAACTGGCACAAGACAGGGATGCCCTCTCTCACCACTCCTATTCAACATAGTGTTGGAAGTTCTGGCCAGGGCAATCAGGCAGGAGAAGGAAATAATGGGCATCCAATTAGGAAAAGAGGAAGTCAAATTGTCCGTTTGCAGATGACATGATTGTATATTTAGAAAACCCCATTGTCTCAGCCCAAAATCTCCTTAAGCTGATAAGCAACTTCAGCAAAGTCTCAGGATACAAAATCAATGTGCAAAAATCACAAGCATTCTTATACACCAATAGCAGACAAATAGAGAGCCAAATCCTGAGTGGACTCCCATTCACAATTGCTTCAAAGAGAATAAAATACCTAGGAATCCAACTTGCAAGGGATGTGAAGGACCTCTTTAAGGAGAACTACAAACCACTGCTCAATGAAATAAAAGAGGACACAAACAAATGGAAGAACATTCCATGCTCATGGGTAGGAAGAATCAATATTGTGAAAATGGCCATACTGCCCAAGGTAATTTATAGATTCAATGCCATCCCCATCAAGCTACCAATGACTTTCCTCACAGAATTGGAAAAAACTACTTTAAAGTTCATATGGAACCAAAAAAGAGCCCGCATTGCCAAGTCAATCCTAAGCCAAAAGAACAAAGCTGGAGGCATCATGCTACCTGACTTCAAACTATACTACAAGGCTACAGTAACCAAAACAACATGGTACTGGTACCAAAACAGAGATATAGACCAATGGAACAGAACAGAACAGAGCCCTCGGAAATAATGCCACATATCTACAACTATCTGATCTTTGACAAACCTGACAAAAGCAAGCAATGCGAAGGGATTCCATTTTTAATAAGTGGTGCTTGGGAAAACTGGCTAGCCATATGTAGAAAGCTGAAACTGGATCCCTTCCTTACACCTTATACAAAAATTAATTCAAGATGGATTAAAGACTTACATGTTAGACCTAAAACCATAAAAATCCTAGAAGATAACTTAGGCAATACCATTCAGGACATAGGCAAGGGCAAGGGCTTCATGTCTGGAACACCAAAAGCAATTGCTGCAAAAGCCAAAATTGACAAATGGGATCTAATTAAACTAAAGAGCTTCTGCACAGCAAAAGAAACCACCATCAGAGTGAACAGGCAACCTACAGAATGGGAGAAGATTTTTGCAACCTACTCATCTGACAAGGGGCTAATATCCAGAATCTACAGTGAACTCAAACAAATTTACAAGAAAAAAACAAACAGTACCATCAAAAAGTGGGCAAAGGATATGAACAGACACTTCTCAAAAGAAGACATTTATGCAGCCAAAAAACACATGAAAAAATGCTCATCATCACTGGCCATCAGAGAAATGCAAATCAAAACCACAATGAGATACCATCTCAAACCAGTTAGAATGGCAATCATTGAAAAGTCAGGAAACAACAGGTGCTGGAGAGGATGGGAAGAAATAGGAACACTTTTACACTGTTGGTGGGACTGTAAACTAGTTCAACCATTGTGGAGGTCGATGTGGCGATTTCTCAGGGATCTAGAATTAGAAATACCATTTGTTCCCACCATCCCATTACTGGGTATATACCCAAAGGATTATAATCCTTGCTGCTATAAAGACACATGCAGATGTATGTTTATTGCGGCACTATTCACAATAGCAAAGACTTGGAACTAACCCAAATGTCCAACAATGATAGACTGGATTAAGAAAATGTGGCACATATATACCATGGAATACTATGCAGCCATAAAAAATGATGAGCTCATGTCCTTTGTAGGGACATGGATGAAGCCAGAAACCATCATTCTCAGCAAACTGTCGCAATGACAAAACAACCAAACACCACATGTTCTCACTCATAGGTGGGAATTGAACAATGAGATCACATGGACACAGGAAGGGGAACATCACACACTGGGGCCGGTTGTGCGGTGGGGGGAGGGGGGAGGGATAGCATTAGGAGATATACCTAATGTTAAATGACGAGTCAATGGGTGCAGCACACCAACATGGCACATGTATACATATGTAACAAACCTGCACGTTGTGCACATGTACCCTAAAACTTAAAGTATGATAATAATAATAATAAAGAAAAAAGAGAAAACAATCCTATTAAAAAGTGGCCAAAGGACATGAAGAGACACTTTTAAAAAGAAGACATACACCGGGACAACAAGCATATGAAAAGAAGCTCAATATCATTGATCATTAGAGAAACGCAAATCAAAACAACAGTGATATACCATGTCACTCCAGTCACAATGGCTATTAGTTAAAAGTCAAAAAATCAATAGATGTTGGTGAGGCTGCAGAGAAAAGTGAACACTTATAAACCATTGGTGGGCGTGTAAATTAATTCAGCCATTGTGGAAAGCAGTATGGTAATTTCTCAAAGAGCTAAAAGCAGAACTACCATTCGACCTAGCAATCCTATTACTAGGTGTATATCCAGAGGAATATAAATCATTCTACCATAAAGACACATGAACACGAATGTTCATTGCAGTGCTATTCACAATAACAAAGACATGGAATCCACCTAAATGCCCATCAATGACAGATTGGATAAAGAAAATATTTACATATACACCATAAAACATATGCAGCCATAAAAAAAGAACAAGTTGATGTCTTTAACAGGAACATGGGTGGAGCTGGAGACCATCATCCTTATCAGACTAACACAGGAATAGAAAACCAAATACCGCATGTTCTCACTTAGAAGTGTGAGCTAAATGATGATAACTCATGAGCACAAAGAAACAACAGACACTGGGGTGCACTTGAGGTTGGAGGATGCGAGGAGGGACAGGAGCAGAAAAGATAACTATTGAGTACTAAAATTGATATCTGGGTGATGAAATAATCTGTACAACCCCCATGACACGAATTTACCCACGTAACAAACCTTCACATATACCCTTGAACATAAAAGTTAAAAAAATGAAATATTAATACAGACTATAATAAAGATGTCCCTTTAAAAGGTTATGCTATGTGAAAGAAGCCAGCCACGAAGACCATATAGTGTATTATTTCATTTACATGAACAGCCCACAATAAACAAATCCATAGAGACAAAAAGTAAAAAAAAAAAAAAATAGACTTCAGGACAAGAAATATTACCAAGGATAATGAGGGACATTTTTAAACAACAAAAGTATCAATTAATGAAGGAGATTTTAAATGTATATACACTCAGTAATAGAGCTTCAAAATATATAAATAAAAGCAGAACAAATATAAAAGGAGAAATGGACAAATTCACAATTATAGTTGGAGATATGAACACTCCATATTTAGTAATTGATAGAATTTAAAGATAATCAATAAAAGAAGGCTAGAGCATTATCTACCCGTTGACCTAATTGATGTATAGAATGTTAATACTCAATAACAACATAATACACATTTTTTTCTTTCCTCCCATCCTCTCATCTCAAGTAGATTCCAGTGTCTGTTGTTTCCTTCTTTGTGTTCATAAGTTCTCATCACTTAGCTCCCACTTATAAGTGAGAACATGTGGTATTTGGTTTTCT
The DNA here is from genome assembly GCF_000001405.40 of Homo sapiens. NCBI lineage: Eukaryota > Metazoa > Chordata > Mammalia > Primates > Hominidae > Homo > Homo sapiens. Next base: position 73,427,168 of record NC_000023.11, on the reverse strand, counting down.
GTGCCTGCATTACTTTGCTGAAGATAATAACCTGCAGCTTTTTCCATGTTCCAGCAGAAGACATAATCTTATTCTTTTTTATGGCTGCATAGTATTCCATGGTGTATCTGTAACACATTTTCTTTATCCAATCTGTCATTGGTGGGCATTTACATTGATTCCATGTCTTTGCTATTGTGAATAGTGCTGCAATGAACATATAAGTGCATGTGTCTTTATGGTAGAATAATTTATATTCCTCTGAGTATATACCCAGTAATGGGATTGCTGGGTCGAATGGCAGTTCTGCTTTTAGTTCTTTGAAAAATCATCATACTGTTTTTCACAATGGTTGAACTTATTTACACTCCCTCCAACAGTGTATAAGTGTTCCCTTTTCTTCACAACCTCACCAGCATCTGTTATTTTTTAACGTTTAAATAATATCCATTCTGACTGGTGGGAGATGGTGTCTCATTTTGGTTTTAATTTTCATTTTTTAAATGATCAGGAATATTGAGCTCCTTTTCAAATTCTTGTTGACTGCATGTATATCTTCTTTTGAGAAGTGTTTGTTCATATCCTTTGCACACTTTTTATGGGGTTGTTTTTTTTTTCTTCTAGATTTATTTAAGTTCCTTATAGATGCTGGATATTAGACCTTTGTTGGATGCATAGTTTGCAAAAATTTTCTCACATTCTGTAGGTTGTCTGTTTACTCTGTTGATAGTTTCTTCTGCACTGTGGAGGGTCTTAAGTTTAATTAGATCCCAATTGTCAATTTTGCTTTTGTTGCTATTGCTTTTGGTGTCTTTGTCATAAAATCTTTGCCCATCCCTATGTACAGAATGGTATTGCCTAGGTTGTCTTCATGGTTTTCTTCATAGTTTTGGGCTTTAATTTTAAGACATTTCAGTCTTTAATCTATCTTCAGTTGATTTTTGTATATGGTATAAGAAAGGGATCCAGATTCAATCTTCTGCATATGGCTAGCCAGTTACCCCAATGCCATTTATTGAATAAGAAGTCTTTTCCTCATTACTTGTTTCTGTCAAAGATTGGAGGGTTGCAGATGTGTGGCCTTATTTCTGGGCTCTCTGTTGTGTCCCAATGGTCTATGTGTCTGTTTTTGTACCAGTACCATGCTGTTTTGGTTACTGTAGCCTTGTAGTATAGTTTGAAGTTGGGTAAGGTAATGCCTCCAGCTTTGTTCTGTTTCCTTAGGATTGCCTTGGGTATTTGGGTCCCTTTTTGGTTCCATAGGAATTTTAAAACCATTTTTCTAGTTTTGTGAAGAATGTTGTCAATAATTTGATAAAAATGACATTAAATCTGTAAATTTCTTTGGCCAGTATAGCCATTTTAATGATATTGATTCTCCTATCCATGAGCATGGGTGGTTTTTCCATTTGTTTGTATCTTCTCTGATTTCTTTGAGCAGTATTTTATAATTGTCATTGTAGGAATTATTCACCTCCCTGGTTAGCTGTATTCTTAGGTATTCTATTCTTTTTGTGTCAATTGTGAATGGGATTGCCTTTCTGATTTAGCTGTAGATTTGGCTGTTGCTGATGTATAGGAATGCTAGTGAGTTCTGTACATTGATTTTCTATCCTGAAACTTTACAACAGTTGTTTATTAGCTGGAGGAGCTTTTGGGCCAAAACCATGGGGTTTTCCAGATATAGAATCATGTCACCTGCAATCAGAGATAGTTTGGCTTCATCTCTTCCTATTTGGATGCTTTTGTTTTTTTCTCTTGCCCGATTGCTCTGGCTAGGATTTCCAATACTATGTTGAGTAGAAGTGGTAAGAGAGGGCATTTTTCTCTTCTGCTGGTTTTTAAGGTGAATGTTTGAGCTTTTTCCCATTTAGTATAATGTTGGCTCTGGACTTGTCATAGATGGCTCTTATTATTTTGAGGTATGTTCCTTTAATACCTAATTTATTCAGAGTTTTTAACATAAAGTTGTGTTTAATTTTATTCAAAACCTTTTCTGTGTCTATTGAGATAATTCTGTGGTCTTGTATTTAATTCTGTTTATGTGATGAATCACATATATTGATTTGCATACATTGAACAAATCTTGAACCCCAGGGATGAAGCCTACCTGGTCATAGTGGATTAGCTTTTTGATATGCTGCTGGATTCAGTTTGCAAGTAGTTTGTTGAGGATCATTGCATCAATGTTCATCAAAAATATTAACTTGAAGTTTTCTGTTTTTGTTGTGTCTCTGACAGGTTTTGAATAGATGCTGCTGGATTCATAGAATGAGTTGGGAAGGAGGTCCTCCTCCTCAATTTTTGGGAATGAATTCTGTAGGAATGTTACCAGCTCTTCTTCATACATCTGGTAGAAGTTGGCTGTGAATCCATCTGGTCCAGGGCTTTTCTTTTGGTTAGTAGGCTATTTATTACTGACTTAATTTCAGAGCTCTTTATTGTTCTGTTAAAGGAACTAATTTCTTCCTGGCTCATTCTTGGCAAGGTATATGTGTCCAGGAATGTATCAATTTCTTCTAGGTTTTCTAGTTTGTGTGTCTAGAGGTATTCATATTAGTTTCTGATGGTTGTTTTTATTTTTGTGGGGTTAGTAGTAACATTCCCTTCATTCTTTCTAATTGTGTTCATTTGGATCTTCTATATTTTTTTCTTTATTAGTCAAGCTAGTGGTCTATATACTTTATTATTTTTTTCAGAAAAACAACTCCTGGATTCATTGATCTTTTGAATGTTTTTTTGGCTCTCAATTTCCTTCACTTCAGATCTGATTTTTGTTATTTCTCATCCTCTGGTAGTTTTGGGGTTGGTTTGTTCTTCCTTCTCTAATTCATTCAGTTGTGAAGTGAGGTTGTTCACTTGAGATCTGTCTTTTTGATGTGGGCATTTAGTGTTATGAATTTCCATCTTAACATGGCCTTAGCTGTGTCCCAGAGATTCTGGCATGCTGTAACATTGTTCTCCTTATTTTCAAAGAACTTCTTGATTTCTGCCTTAATTTCATTATTTACTGGAAAGTCATTCGGGAGCATGTTGTTTAAGTTCCATGCAATTGCATGGTTTTGAGCAATTTTCACAGTTTTGACTTCTATTTTTATTGCACTTTGGCCCAAGAATGTGTTTGGTATGATTTTGATTCTTTTACTTTGTTGAGGATTATTTTATGTCCAATTATGTGGTTAATTTTAGAGTACGTGTTATGTAGCAATTAGAAGGCTATCCTGTTGTTTTGGAGGGGAGAGTTCTGTAAAGGTCTATCAGAGTCATTTGTTTCAATATTGAGTTTAGGTTCTGAATATCTTTTTTAATTTTCTGCCTCAATGATCTGTCTAATACTGTCAGTGGAGTGCTGAAATCTCCCACTACTACTCTGTGGGAGCCTACATCTCTTTTTAGGTCTCTAAGAACTTGCTTTATGAATCTGCATGCTCCTGTGTTGGCTGTATATATATTTAAGCTAATTAGCTCTTCTTGTTGAATTGAACTTTTTACCATTATGTAATGACCTTTTTTTCTCATTTTTGACTTTTGCTGGTTGAAATCTGTTTTGTCTGAAATTAGGATTGCAACCTCTACTTTTTTCTGTTTTCCATTTGCTTGGTAGATTTTCCTCCATCCCTTTATTTTGAGCCTATCTGTGTCACTACATGTGAGATAGGTCGCTTGAAGACAGCATACAACAGGGTCTTGCTTTTTTATCCAGCTTGCCACGCTCTACCTTTTAAGTTGGTCATTTAGCCCATTTACATTCGAGGTTAATATTGATATGTGTGGGTTTGATCCTGTCATTACGTTGTCAGCTAGTTATTATGTTGGCTTTTTTGTGTGGTTGCTTTACAGTGACACTGGTCTGTGTGTTTAGGTGTGTTTCTGTATTATTAATAGCTGGTAGTGGTCTTTTCTTTCTATATTATTTCTTTAAAAATCTTTTGTAAGGTAGGTCTGGTGGTAATGAATTTCCTTAACATTTGCTTATCTGAAAAGGATCTTATTTCTCCATCACCTAGGAAGCTTAGTTTGACTGGATATGAAATTCTTGGTTGAAGAATTTTTAATAAAGAATGTTGAATATAGGTCCCCTAATCTCTTCTGGCTTGTAGGGTTTCAGCTAAGAGGTCTGTTGTTAGCCTGATGGTGTTCTTTTTGTAGGTGACCTGCCATTTATCTCTAGTTGACTTTAACATTCTTTCTTTCATTTTAACCTTGCAAAACCTAACAATTATGTCTCAGATTGGGAATTATCTTTTTTTTTTGTAGAATCTTGCAGGAATTCTCTGTATTTCCTAAATTTGACTTTTGGCCTCTCTAGTAAAGTTGGAGTTTTCATGGATGATATCCAGAAATATGATTTCCAAGTTACTTGCTTTCTCCCCCTCCCTTTTAGGGATGCCAATGATTTGTAAATTTTGTCTCTTTACATAATCCCATACTTCTTGGAGGTAGCAATTTGGTGACTCCATAGACAGAGGCTCCAAGGCAATTGAAATTCTCACTGCCACTGCCTCTGCAGTGGAACTGCCCTTACCACCCTCAGACTAATGGAGAAATGAAGACTCTTTGTGCCCTTTCCACACATCCAATAAGCTGCAGTCAACCCCAGGAGAGGAAGCCAGTCCATCTTATATGGGTTCTTCACACCCTCCACTTCTCATTAGCAGTCACAGAACCCCTGGCTTGGACCCACAGCACAGACTCTCCATCTTGGGCTGATTGCACTGAGCAAACACTGACCTGCATCTCTCTGTGGTGGAGCCCCCAGGAAAGAAGTAAATGACCCTTGGCCATAACCACTACTATTATCCCTTTCTTTGCTCTCTCCAAGTTGGGTAAGGAACAAAACACTGAAGTCACACAAGAGCCACAATGGTCAGCCCAGAGTACCAAATTGTGATCTATAGCCAGCACTCAAGGGGGAGAAGAATTCAGACTTTCAGAGCATTGAGAAGAAACATGGCTGCAACTGTGAGGAAACATAGGGGAAACACACAACTGAGCAAGAGTCTACCAACTGACCAGTAAGCCCGAATGTCACCTGCTGGATCACACCCCAAACTTCAACACTAAAAATATCTCACTACCACACCCATCTCTGAAACCAGAGACAAAAAGTCAGCTCCAGATAAAGACCCTTCACAAAGGCTCAGCCCAGTGAAAACACCCAGAAAAGACGTCTATTGACTGTGCTCAATCTACACTGCAGTTAAAGAAATACCCACACACAGAGATGACAAAGAACCAATGCAAGAACTCCAGTAAATCAACTGGGCACAGTGCTACATGTCCTCCAAATGACCACACAAGCTCTCCAATAAGAGTTCTTAACCAGGCTAAACTGGTTGAAATGACAGAAATGAATTCAGAATATGGATAGGAGCAAAGATTATCAAGATTCAGGAGGATGGCAAAACCCAATCCAAGGAAAATGAGAATCACAATTAAGCCATACAGGAGCTGAAGGATGAACTAGCTGATATAAAAAAGAACCTAACCGATCTGACGTAGGTACATAACACAATACAAGAATTTCACAATGTAATTACAAGTATTAACAGCAGAAAAAACCAAGCTGAGGAAAGAATCTCAGAACTGGAAGACTGGTTCTCTGAAATAAGACAGTCAGACAAAAATTTTAAAAAAGAATAAAAAGGAATACACAAAACCTTTAGCATTTATTTTTAATGATCCCTTAGAATTTCCATTTTTTCTGCTTAAATTATCTATCTGTGTTCCCTTGGAATTTTTCACTCTCAGGTTTGTTCACAGGGAGCTTCTAGCAATTTGTCACTTATAGTTCAAGTTTTCCTTCCCAGGCACTGGTTTCTGCACAGGTTTCTGCTTGTAGGTTTCTGGTCCAGAATATTATGATTTTGTATCTACTCATCTGTCTTTCCAATTTTGGGGGCAGTGATATTCCTTTGACCTCACTTCTCTGATGTATCTAAAAAAATTCTTTGTTTTAATTTTAAGTTCTAGGATACATGTGCAGAACATGCAGGTTTTTTACTTAGGTAAGCTTGTGCCATGGTGGTTTGCTGTACCTATCAACCCATCACTTAGGTATTAAGCCCCACAAGCATTAGCCATTTGTCCTGATGTTCTCCCTCCCCTCACCCCCTGACAGGTCTCAGTGTGTGTTGTTCCACTCCCTGTGTCCATGTGTTCTCATTGTTCAACTTCCACTTATGAGTGAGAACATGCAGTGTTTGGTTTTCTGTTCCTGCATTAGTTTGCTGAGAATAATGGCTTCCAGCTCCACCTATGTCCCTGCAAAGGACATGATCTCATTCATTTTTATAGCTGCATAGTATTCCATGGTGTATATGTACCACATTTTCTTTATCCAGTCTGTTGTTGATGGACTTTTGGGTTGATTCCATGTCTTTGCTATTGTGAATAGTGTTGCAATGAACATCTGTGTGCATGTATCTTCATAATAGAATAATTTATATTCTTTTGCTTATATATCCAGTAAGAGGATTGCTGGGTCAAACGGTATTTCTGGTTCTAGATTTTTGAGGAATTGCCACACTGTCTTCCACAATGGTTGAACTAATTTACACTTCCACCAACAGTGCATAAGCATTTCTTTTTCTCCACAACTTTGTCAGCCTCTGTCACTTTTTTGACTTACTAGTAATAGCCATTCTGACTGGTGTGAGATGGTATCTCATTGTGGTATTGATGAGCATTTCTCTATTGATCAGTGATGTTGACCTTTTTTTAAAGGGTATGTTAGGGAGGCATTTTTGGTGTTGAAGCTTTGGGGTATGATCCAGCAGGTGGCACTCAGGCTTATTGGTCAATTGGTAGATTCTTGCTCAGTTGTGTGGCTCCCCTATGTTTTCTCACAGTTGCAGCCATGTTTCTTCCCAATGCTCTGAAAGTGTGGGGTCTTCTCCCCCTTGAGTGCTGGCTGTAGATGGTGACTCGGCACTCTGGGCTGCTCACTGAAGCTCTGGTGTGATCTGTGTTTGTGAATGGGATTTCATTTATGATTTGGCTCTCCACTTGCCTGTTGTTGGTGTGTAGAAATGCTTGTGATTTTTGTACAATGACTTTGTATCCTGAGATTTTGCTATAGTTGCTTATCAGCTTAACAAGATTTTGGACTGAGACGGGGTTTTGTACATATAGGATCATGTCATCTGCAAACAAAGACAATTTGACTTCCTTTCTTTCTTTTTAAATATGCTATTTCTCCACATCCTCTCCAGCACCTGTTGTTTCCTGACTTTTTAATGATTGCCATTCTAACTGGTGTGAGATGGTATCTCATTGTGGTTTTGATTTGCATTTCTCTGACGGCCAGTGATGGTGAGCATTTTGGTGGGACTGTAAACTAGTTCAACCATTGTGGAAGTCAGTGTGGTGATTCCTCAGGGATCTAGAACTAGAAATACCATTTGACCCAGCCATCCCATTACTGGGTATATACCCAAAGGACTATAAATCATGTTGCTATAAAGACACATGCACACGTATGTTTATTGTGTCACTATTCACAATAGCAAAGACTTGGAACCAATCCAAATGTCCAACAATGATAGACTGGATTAAGAAAATGTGGCACATATACACCATGGAATACTATGCAGCCATAAAAAATGATGAGTTCATGTCCTCTGTAGGGACATGGATGAAATTGGAAATCATCATTCTCAGTAAACTATCGCAAGGACAAAAAACCAAACACCGCATGTTCTCACTCATAGGTGGGAATTGAACAATGAGAACACATGGACACAGGAAGGGGAACACCACACTCTGGGGACTGTTGTGGGGTGGGGGGAGGGGGGAGGGATAGCATTAGGAGATATACCTAATGCTAAATGATGAGTTAATGGGTGCAGCACACCAACATGGCACATGTATACATATGCAACTAACCTGCACATTGTGCACATGTACCCTAAAACTTAAAGTATAATAATAATAAAATAAAAAATAAATAAATAAATAAATATGCTTTATTTCTTTCTCATTAGACTCCTGGAGTACAGATACTTTCAGAATAGGACCTTAGAGATGAGTTTCTTAAAGTCCTTTATTTTTTAAAAATGGGGAATCTGAGGCCTCAGAAAGGGAAGCAGCTTGCTCTAGGTGGTCTTGTAGGGTAGCTAGGAAGTGTCTGGGCTTGGACTCCTGGCCCACTAAAATGTCTTCGTGGCCTCCCTTCCCCTTCTTTCTTTCAGAGTTAATTTCTCATAGCGAGGCTAGTAGTGTTGGCTTAATTCCATCCAGTTGTGCCCCTCTCTTCCCAGCAACCTAAAATTTTCATGCCAGCTACATCTTTTTATGATTGGTAATGTATGTCCAGCACTAAGCCTAGTAAAATAGTTAATATTTATTAAGCCCTTCCTATGAGTGAGATACTCTTCTAAGTTTTTCCTGTATGGTAACTCAGTTAATCTTCACAATAACTTCCAGATTGTTATTGTTAGTCCAAAGGCACAGAAAAGGAAGTAACTTAGGGTGATTCGGTTAGTAAGTGAAAAATTCAAATCCAGGTAGTATAGTTGCAGGATCTATGTACTTTAATATGGCTAAAGCTGTCTTAGTAAAGTGAAGGCCACTCCCTTCTTTATACACTCATCAGTCTCAAGCCATGTTAGTGTTTATCTCTGAATTATGAGTGGGTCATTCCCAGTGAAATGTTGAGGACTTACTACATTTTCTTACTAGCATTTGTACTTAAAAAGAGAAAGCTAGAAGAGTGATATTTATTAAGAGTGGAATTTTGAGCACAGTTAAGGAAAATATTTTTTGACAAGAAGTTTTCTTTCATGTCATCTCATATAGTTTTGATATGTGTCCCTGCCCAAATCTCATGTTGAATTGTAATCTCCAATGTTGAAAGTGGGCCCTGGTGGGAGGTGATGGGATTATGGGGGAAGATTTCTCCTGAAAGGCTTAGTAACATTTCCTTGGCATTGTCCTCACAATAGCGAATAACTTCTCATAAGATCTTTCTGTTTAAAAAGGCATGGAACCCTCACTGTCTTTCTCTTGCTACTGCTTGTGTCATGGAACGTGCCTGCTCCCTCTTTGCCTTTGGCCATGATTGGAAGATTCCTGAAGCCTCCTCAGAAACAGGTGCTGCTATGCTTCTTGTACAGCCTGTGGAATCATAAGCAAACCAAAGCTCTATTCTTTATAAACTACCCAGTCTCAAGTATTTGTATAGCAATGTGACAAAATGTACTAATTCAGAAAATTGATACTGAGGAGTAGGGCATTGCTATAAAGATACCTGAAAATGTGAAAGCAGCTTTGGAATGGGGTAGCAGGCAGAGGCTGGAAGAGTGTGGAGGACTCAGAAGAAGTCAGAAAGCTGAAAGGAAGTTTGGAACTTCTTAGAGGCTGGTTAAATCGTTGTGACCAAAATGCTGACAATGAAGTCCAGGCTGAGGAGGTCTCAGATGGAAATGAGAAACTTATTGCAAGCTGGAGAAAAGGTCACACATGTTATGCCTTAGCAAAGAGCTTGGCTAGATTGTGTCCATGCCCTAGAGATATGTAGAAGTTTGAATTTGAGAGTGATAACCTAAGGTATCTGGCAGAAGACATTTCTAAGCAGCAAAGCATTCAAGAAATGATGTGGCTGCTTCTAGCAGCCTAGGCTCAGATGTGGGAGTAAAGAAATAAGTTGGAACTTATATTTAAGAGGGAAGCAGAGTGTAAACATTTGGAGAATTTCCAACTGGCCATGTGGTAGAAAAGCAAAGCCCACTTGGAGAAGAAATCAATTATGCTGCTGAGCAACTGCTTATGAGAGAAATTTGTCTAACTAAAAACAAGGCAAGTTCTGATAGCCAAGACAATGAGAAAAAGGCCTTGAAGACATTTCAGAAATCTAAAATGCAGCTCTTGCCATCACAGGCCCTGATGTCTAGGAGGACAGAATGGTTTTGTGGGCCAGGTCCAGGGTTCTGCTCTCCTGTGCAGCCTATGGACACTGCTTTCTGCATCCTGGCCAATCCAGTTCCAGCTATGGCTCAAACTGGCTTGGGCACAGCTTGGGCCACTGCTTCAGATAGTGTAAGCCATAAGCTTTGGCAGCTTCAATGTGGTGTTAATCCTGCAGGAGCACAGAGTGCAAGAGTTAAGGCTTGGGATCCTCTGCCTAGATTTCAGAGGATGTATAGAAAAGCTTGGGTGTCCAGGAAGAAGCCTGCTGCAAGGGTGGAGCCCTCACAGAGAACCTCTACTAGGTCAGTGCAGAGGGGAAATGTGGGGTTGGAGCCCCTACACAGAGTCTCCACGGAAGCACTGCCTAGTGGAGCCCTGAGAAGAGCACCACCATCATCCACTGACAGCTTGCATTCTGTGTCTGGAAAAGCCACAGGCACTCAATGCCAGCCTGTGAGAGCAGCCATGGGAGCTGAACCCTGCAAAACCACAGGGTTGGAGCTGCCCAAGGCCTTGGGAGCCCACCCATTACACAAGTGTGCCCTGGATGAGGGACATAGAGTTAAAGGAGATTGTTTTGGAGTTATAAGGTTCAATGACTGTCCTGCTACATTTTGAACTTGCATAGGGCTTGTAGCCACTTTCTTTTGGCCTATTTCTCCCTTTTGGAATGGAAATGTTTACCCAGTGGTGGTACCCTCATTGTATCTTGGAAGGAAATAACTTGTTTTGATTTTATAGGCTCATAGGTGAGAGGAACACATCTCCAGATAAGACTTGGGACATAAAACTTTTGAATTAATGGTTAAATGAGTTAAGGCTTTGGGGGATTATTGAGAAGGGATGAATGTACTTTGCCATGTGAGAAGAACAGGAGATTTGGCAGAGTGTGTGCCAGGGTCAGAAAGATATAGTTTGGATGTGTCCCTGACCAAATCTTATGTTGAATTGTAATCCCCAATATTGGAGGTGTGGCCTGCTGGGAGGTGATTGGATCATGGGTTTCTCATGAAAGGTTTTGTACCATCCCCTTGGCATTGTATTCACAACAGTAAGTGACTTCTTGCAAGATCTGGCATTTAAAAGTGTGTGGTTAGCGTTAGGAGATATACCTAATGTAAGTGATGAGTTAATGGGTGCAGGACACCAACATGGTGCATGTATACATATGTAACAAATCTGCACGTTGTGCACATGTACCCTAGAACTTAAAGTATAATTTTAAAAAAGTGTGTGGCACCTTGCTCTCTTGCTCTTGCTCCTGCTCCTGCCATGTGATGTGTCTGCTCCCTCTCTGCCTTCTGCCATGGTTGGAAGCTTCCTGAGGCTTTTCAAGAAGCAGATGCCACTATGCTCCCTATAAAGCCTGCAGGACTGTGATCCAATTAAACATTTTTTTGTATAAATCACCCAATCTTAGATACTTCTTTATATCAATGTGAGAACATCCTAATACGTCATCTAAATCACACCTTTAGTGAGTAGTTTTCTGCTATCCAAACTATGTTTTATTCTCCAACCTCCCAATTCAGAGCCTTGTTGAGGACTTGGCAAAAGGGGTCTTGGGTCTATGTCAACTAAATCAGTATCTTAAAGATAACCAAGCAACTAGTAGATTGTAAACTTTTCATAGTGTTGATACAGGGTAGATACTGATGCATATTTGCTGATGCATGACTCAGTTACCAATTGCCTCTTTCCTTTCATTATTTTTGAAAAATATATCATTTCAGGAATCTGTCTTGTATGATATTTCTAGAATGATTATCACCATGAGAAATGGAAAGTTGACAAGTGAGTTGTGTCCTGGATCAAAGGTCAGGGAGGTTTGTTGTTAGGGCCTTTCCAATATAGCTCCAAAGCTATATTAACCCACTGACTCCTGGAATTGTAAAAAACTCTTTAGATGACTTAAGTAATTACCCAGGGATAACCTTGATAATAGTGGGATAAAATGCTAGAGTGAAAGAGAAATCTTCTGGGAAGTAGGGCCATGGATGTAAACCAGTCATTTTTGTCAAGTATGGTTGCACATAAAGTGTGGACTCAGAAACACTCTTGGAGTTTTGAAAGGAGGAGGCAAAAACAAGTGAGTAAAAGGGGATTTCCTAAAACACAGAGGATAGGACTAGTGAAGACAGCTTTCTCATTATTGTCAGATGAGAAAAGCTGAAGTCCAGAAAGGAGATTTACTTACTCTTTGATAATGACTTGCTCAGTGTTACAAAGTGAGTTACTGCCAGAGCTGGCACTTGAACCTAGGGTTTATTGATCCACCATTCATTGCCTTTTCAAGATGCTGCATAAAAGATCAAAAAAGAAAACTCTAACATCTTTTCAAGATTTAATAATTCATCATGCCAACACTTCTTGTAAGAGATTCAGTCCATTAGGGGACTCTCAAACAGATAAAATGTTGCTGGTGTATTTTAGGAGATTCTTGAGTAACGTGACTCCATGTATATTTGGAGGCTGGGTTTTTAGCATAAAACCATAATCACTAAAGCAACCTTTAGTATGGTTAAGCATAAATGACCACCTTTTCCCTCTAAACCAGTATATCCTTTTCATTTTTTCATTTTTCAGAATGTAGCACCCAGGCTTAAATTTTTAAGTCATCTTCTCCTCTTTCTCCCTTGTCCTTATTCAACCCTTCAATCAAATTCCAAGCCCTAGGCCAGGCATAGTGGCTCATGCCTGTAATCCCAGCACTGAGATTGGGAGGCTGAGGTGGGTGGATCACCTGAGGTCAGGAGTTTGAGACCAGCGTGGCCAACAGAGCAAAGCCCCGACTCTATGAAAAAGACAAAAATCAGCTAGGTGTGGTGGCATGCACCTGTAGTCCCAGCTACTCAGGAAGCTGAGGCAGGAGAATCGCCTGAACCTGGGAGGTGAAGGTTGCAGTGAGCCAAGACTGCACCACTGCACTTCAGCCTGCATAACAGAGCAAGACTCCGTCTCAAGAAACAAACAAACAAACAAAAATTCCAAGTCCTGAAAACTATTATTTTTAATGTTGACCATGCTTAGTGATATCTTTTAAATCATGTTCTCACCACCCAGTATTGGTGCTTATTACCTCTTCCTGGACTATCGCAAGAACTTCCAAAGTTGTCTCCCTACCTCTCCACTCCATTCATACCTAAATACTGTTATATTAATCTTTCTACAGCACTTATGCCATTTCCAGCTCAAAATCTTTAAATGTTTCTCAATTGATAATTAAATCAAATTTAAACTTATAAAAGCTGGCATTCATAGTCATCCTCAACCTGGCTTCAACCCATCTTTTTATCACTCTCATTGACACTTGCTATTCCATTACTTTACTTGGCATGCTCCAGTCAGCATCTTTGCTTGTTTGCTGGTTTAAAATATTACTCATTCCTTAAGACATACCACAAACACTATGTTTCTGCAAAGGCTTTGCTAATTACTCATGCTGAAGTGATTTCTCCTCTCTCAGAACTCCTATAGCACTTGGATCACATACTGCCTTAAACTGAGATTATTTTTGGACATGTGTTATCGTCTCTGGCATTATATCCTGCACATAATGGGCTCTTAATTATTTGACTAATGATTAAATGAATCACAGCATTATAGAACTTGTAAAGTTAAAAGGGTCTTTTATGCTCAAGGGCTCAACCTCTTACCACACATGGATATCTCTACATTGATGATCATTCAGCAAATATTTATTGACTACCTCCTATGTGCCAAGCACTTTACCAAGAGCTGTGGTATTTGTACTAAAATAAAAGGAGACATGTCTCCTTGTCTCAGAAAACTTAATCTTGGAGGTGGTGGTAAATAGACAATAAAAAATTAAACATGAAGATCATTAAAAATTGTAGAAAACACTATATGTGTGTATATATATATATATATATATATATATATATATATAGAGAGAGAGAGAGAGAGAGAGAGAGAGAGAGAGTAGAAAACATGTAGAAGGTGCTCCAATATCAAATAATGGGTTAAGATGGGGATAGCTATTTAAGATAGAGTGGTTAGAGAAGTCCTCCCTAAGAACACAAAATTTAAAAGATGAGAAGGAGCTAGTCATGCAAATATCTAAAATAAGAACATACTGGGAAGAGAGAACAGTGAGTATGAAGATGTGGAGATATGGAAAGAGATTGGCTTGTTTGGGCAAGTTTTGCATACAATGACTAAGGGAAGACTAGTACAAGATAAAGTTGAAAAGACAGGCAATGACTACTTTGTATGAGACTTCATAGCATCTAGCAATGAGCTTAGATCTTGTTCCAAGTGGACAGGAGGTCATTGGAAGGTTTTAAGCAGGAAGTAATATTATCTAATTTATATTTTCAGAAATTCATATTGGTAGCCATATGGAGAATGGAATGGTGTAGCAAAAGTGAAACCAAGAACACATTCTTACTACATTCTTACACAGCTTCTATTTAGCTCCAGTGACTGGCAATTTATCACATTTAGAGTAGTCTCTTCCATTTTCCAATCTCTTTGAGGGTTTTACTGCCGTTTCAGTCTGAATGCATTTTTCACATTCTTTCATGCTTTAATTTTGATGTGTGTCTTTATGGTAGGATTCTTAACTGGGAAGGTTTTATATCCAAGGGAATATTTGGCAATGTGTAGATACATTTTTAGTTGCCACAGCTGGATGTGTGTGTGTGTGTGTGTGTGTGTGTGTGTGGGGGAGTGCATGTGTGATGCTACTGGCAACTAGTGGGTTGAGGCCTGGGTTCTACTAAACACCATACAATACACAGGACAGACCTCCACGATAAAAAAGTTACCCCGTGCAAAATGTCAACAGTGGTCAGAAACCCTGGTTTAGAGAGATGTAGTGTGATGGCAAGGAAAAGAGGACAATGAGTTTCTGAAGAGAGTGTCTATCGTGGGGTGAGGAGATGGGAGTTGTAGAAAGGAGATGGTGCATATGCAAATGATAAACCACTAACATTCATCTAACCCAGGATTTCAGAGCTGAAAGGTATTAAGCTCATGTTTTCTAGCACCCTAGTAAAAGGGAACAAATGCCAAATAGTGGAACTATCTTACCCAACTAAATTAATAGCAGGAGCAAGACCAGAATCTACATCTTACTGATTCTCAGACTGTCCTGCCTTCTCCTCATATTGTCTTTCTTTTCCATAGCATACATCTAACCTTGCTGTGAGACCTATCTGGAGGTAGGGAATTGGCCAAATAAACTCTGAAACATCATGTGGATTTTAAGATTCACGGATCTCATGAAGGGATAGAAAGGGAATGAAAGTATCCAAACTTGGATAGACATTCTGTTGTTGCTGAAGGCATTGGCTCAGTCCTATATTTAACAGTAATGCAATAGCCCAAACCCACGTGATGAAATCCAAGCTTCCATCATTTTTGTAGAAATACTTACATGTAAAATTACAGAAGTTCTCGTGTTGATGTTTCACATCATTGCACATTCCTGCTTCTCCTGGAATGGGAACTTTCTTTCCTGGTGGCCAAGAAAAGCCTCTATACCATATGGATTTTCTGTGGAATCTGCTTTCTGAAGTAGTGTACCACTCTAGACTGATGAACTAAATGTGGCAGGCTGAGTAGAAATAAAATTTCTCTTTTAACTTGTTTCCCTTCTTCCAGAGAGAAACTGTCCTAACTGGCACATGTGCATATATTTAAGGAAATGAGCTGGATTTCCACCTGCTGCTGAATTTATGAGCTGTGGATATTGTCCAGACACGTTTATACTTCTTCAAGGGATAGGATTTAAATTCAATTATTTCAGGTGTGAATGTTCTCTTCTTAGGGATTTACTCAGGTTTACAAAGAGAGGTTCAGTTTGAAGGTAGGAAAACATTCCCTTAACATTTAGCTATACCTTCCATAAACTCAATTGAACTTCTTTTCACGTGCTTATCATTCATCGATCAGAAAACCAGAACAAGCTGGGGTTTGTGTAGAAAGCTATTAGTAGACTGAAACAGATCCAAAGGAGATCTTCAAGTAAAACCGTTTATATGATCTTGAAAGTTTCCTCAGTGTCTCAATGAGGCACTCAATCACTTTTACAAAATTCCCTTTCTGGCCTCACCTGCTCACGCATCTTATGCATGAGTCCCTGACCCTAGTTCCCTAAACATTTTTTTACTCATTTTAAACTCCCATTAGTTACATGCTGCTATTTCTATCTGGAATGTATTCTTTTCACTTTGTTTGTCAAAATCTAACCTATTCAGTAAACACCCTGGCACCCAATAGCTACTTAATAAGTAATTATGGAGTGAAAGAGTTCTAATATAGTCTCAAGGATCAAAATGTCTCCTTCAGTTTCTTATTCTTCAGTACAACCCATTTAGTCATTATGATTGTTTATATCTATGGTTTTACTTTATGAAGTCATTTCTTTATTGCCAAAATAATATAAATATTGCCAAACATTGAGAAAATTTGAAAGGGTTCTACTATAGTAAATCGGATAAATGAGGATACATTCAAACTTTTTTAACTGGAAAAGGTTGAGCTGCTTCAAGCTAAAAGAAGCATAACTTTTCTGCATTGATATCTCCAGTAAACGCTTACAAACATCATTTGAATTTTTATTTTAGAGAATGTCATTGCCTTTCCTTGCTTATTGGATGCAATATAAATGTTCCCTTGGAATTCACTAGGTGGGTAATAAAAGTGACTCACTCCACTTTGGCTATTGGATTTTTCATGCATTATTTCTTCCTTGAAGCTAGGATAATCTTCATTATCCTTAGTACATAGATCCTCCTGCTCTTTGATGACTCAGCTGAGGTATACAGCATAAGGTTTTGATTTATGTGTACATTTTGAGATGATTACCACAATCAGGCTAATTAACATATCCACCACCTTACAAAGTTATCATTTTTTTTGGTACGGTAGGAATACTTAAGATAAGCTGTGTAGCCTGGTGTTAAGGGAGAGGTTATGCCAACACTCGCTTAGCTCCCCCAGCTGGTGTCTCAGCAGGTCACATACTACCCTCACCCTGGAGTCCACTGTCTCTGGGCCCAAATAAATAAAATCAGAGATAAAAAAGGAGACACTACACCCAATACTTCAGCAATTCAAAGGATTGTTAAAGGCAACTATGAGGACTTTATAAATTGGGAAACCTAAAAAAATTGGATAAGGTCCTAGACTCATACAACCTTCCAAGATTGAACCAAGAAGAAATCCAAAACCTGAACAGACCAGTAACAAGTCGTAAGATCAAGGCCATTATAAAAACTTCCCACAAAGAAAAGCCTGGGAATCAATAAATTCATTGCTGAATTTTACCAAAAATTTAAAGAAAAATTAATACCAATCCTACTGAAACTATTCTGAAAAATAGAGGCAGATGGAACATTTAAAAACTCATTCTATGAGGCCAGTACTGATACCAAAATCCAACAAAGACTCATCAAAAAAAGAAAACTATAGACCAATATCACTGATGAATATTAATACAGAAACTACTTACATATCAATAATAACATTGAATATAAATGAAGTAAACTCTCCAAACAGAAGACAGAGTAGCTGAATAAATTTTTTTTAAAAAGACAATGATCTACTGTCTACAAGAAGCACACTGTCAGTTTGACTAATGGTTTGTCAATTTTATTCATTGTTTCAAAAACCCAACTTTTGATTTTTGTCCATCTTTTGTTTGGATTTCTTCATTTTCATTTTATATCTGCTCTGACTTTTATTATTTTTTTTCTTCTACTGAGTTTGGGTTAGTTCACCTCTTGCTTTTCCAGTTGTTTAAGATGCATTATTAGGTTGTTTATTTGAAGCTTTTCTTATTTCTTAAAGTTTATAGGCACTTATAGCTATAAATTTTCCTCAGTATTGCTTTAACTGGAACCCCTAGGTATTGATGTGTTGTGTTTTTATTATTGCTTCTTTGAAGAAGTTGTGTAATTTTCTTTTTAATCTCTTAATTGATGCACTGGTTATCCAGGAGCATATTGTTGAATTTCCTTGTGTTTGTATAATTTCCCAAATTAGTCTTGCTATCAATTTCTGGTTTTATTCTATTGTAATCGAAAAAGATATTTTATATTATTTCAATTTTTTAAATGTTTTAAGATTTTTTTGGCTTAACATATGGCCTGTTCTTGAGAATGATTCATATGCTGAGGAGAACAATCTGTGGCCATTGAATGAAATGTTCCATAAATATCTATTAGGTCTCTTTGTTCTATAGTGCAGGTTAAGTTCAATGATTCTTCATTGATATTCTGTCTGCATGATCTGTCCAATGCTAAAAGTAAGGTGTTGTGAGCTCCAGCTATTATTGTATTGGGCTGTATTTCTAACTTTAGCTCTAATAATATTTACTTTATTTATCTGTGTGCTACAGTGTTGGGTGTATTTATATTTACAGTTGTTATATTCTCTTGCTGCATTGACCCCTTTATCATTATATAATGACCTTCTTTGTATCTTCTTAGAGTTTTTGTCTTGAAATCTATTTGTTTTATCTAAGTATAGCTACCCCTACTCTTTTTTTATTTCCATGTGCATTGAATAACTTTTTTATGTTTTAACTTTCAGTCTATGTGTGTCTTTCTAGATAAAGTGTGCTTCTTGTAGACAGCGAATTGTTAGGTCTTGTTTTTTATTCAGCCACTCTGTGTCTTTTGTCTGGAGGTTTACTTTATTTATATTCAGTATTATTACTGATTTGTAAGTACTTACTTCTACCATTTTGTTATTTGTTTTCTGGTTGTTTTGTAGTCTTGTCTTTCTTTTTCTCCTTTCTGTCTTTTAGTGAAGGTGATTTTCTCTTGTGGTATGTTTTAAATTTCTTAGAAGTTTTTTTGTCTATTGTATATATTTTAGATTTTAGATTATCATGAGGCTTGCAAATAATATCTTATAATCTATTTTTAAAAGCTTATAACAACACTGGTTGCATAGAGAAACAGACAAGCAAAAATATAACAAATAAAAACTCTATACTTTAACTTCATCTCCCCACTTTTTAGCAACTTGTTCTTTCTATTTATATCTTATTGTATTGTCTTTGTCTTGAGAAGTTGTAGCTATTATTTTGTTTGGTTTATCTTTTCATCTTTTCACTTAATATATTAGTAGTTTACACACCACCATTACAATGTTATAATATTCTGTATTTTTCTCTGTACTTGCTATTACCTGCAGATGATTTCTTATTGCTCATTAACATCCATTTCTTTCAGGTTAAAGAACACTTTTTAGCATTTCTTGTAGAACAGGTTTGGTGTTGATGATATCTCTCAGCTTTTGTTTATCTGGGAGAGTCTTTATTTCTCCTTCATGTTTGAAGAATATTTTTGCTGAATATACTATTCTAGAGTAAAAGTGTTTTTTTTTTCCCTTCAGCACTTTAAATATGTTGTGCCACTCTCTCCTGGTCTGTAAGGTTTTAATTGAAAACTCTGCTGCCAAACATATTGGAGCTTCATTTTATCTTCTTTGTTTCTTTTCTCTTGCTTTTATAATCTATTCTTTATTCTTAACCTTTTGGAGTTTGATTATTAAATGTCTTGTGATAGTCTTCTTTGGATTAAATCTGCTTGGTGTTCGACAACCTTCCTGTACTTGAGTATTGATACTGTTCTCTATACTTTGAAAGTTCTCTGTTATTATCCTATTTAATAAACTTCAATGCCTATCTCTCTCTCTCTACCTCCTCTTTAAGGCCAACAACGGTTAGATTTGCCCTTTTGAGACTATTTTCTAGATCCTGTAAGCATATCTTATTGTTTTTTTTCTTTTGTATCCTCTTGCTGTGTATTTTCAAATAGCCTGTCTATTTTTTATATACTTTAAGTTCTGGAGTACATGTGCAGAATGTGCAGTTTTGTTACATAGGTGTATATGTGCCCTGGTAGTTTGCTGTACCCATCAACCCATCACCTACATTAGGTATTTCTCCTAATGTTATGCCCCCAACACACCTCACCCCCTGATAGGCCCCAGTGTGTGATGTTTGCCTCCCTATGTCCATGTGTTCTCACTGTTCAACTCCCACTTATGAGTGAGAACATGTGGTGTTTGGTTTTCTGTTCTTGTGATAGTTTGCTGAGAATGATGGTTTCCAGCTTCATCCATGTCCCTGCAAAGGACATGAACTCATCTTTTTTTATGGCTGCATAGTATTCCATGGTGTATATGTGCCACATTTACATTATCCAGTCTATTATTGATGAAAATTTGGGTTGATTCCAAGTCTTTGCTATTGTAAATAGTGCTGAAATAAACATACGTGTGCACGTGTTTTTATAGTAGAATGATTTATCAACTTTTGAGTATATACCCAGTAATGGGATTGCTGGGTCAAATGGTATTTCTGGTTCTAGATCCTTGAGGAATCACCACACTGTCTTCCACAATGGTTGAACTAATTTACACTCCCACCAACAGTGTAAAAGCATTCCTATTTCTCCACATCCTCTCCAGCATCTGTTGCTTCCTGACATTTCATGATCGCCATTCTAACTGACATGAGATGGTATCTCATTGTGGTTTTAATTTCCATTTCTCTAATGATCAGTGATGATGAGCATTTTTTCATATGTCAGTTGGCTGTGCAAATGTCTTCTTTTGAGAAGTGTCTGTTCATATCCTTTGCCCACTTTTTGATGGGGTTGTTTGTTTTTTTTCTTGGAAATATGTTGAAGTTCTTTGTAGATTCTGGATATTAGACCTTTGTCAGACCTTTGCCTGTTCACTCTGATGATAGTTTCTTTTGCTGTGCAGAAGCTCTTTAGTTTAATTAGATCAGATTTGTCAATTTTGGCTTTTGTTGCCATTGCTTTTGGTGTTTTGCTCATGAAGTCTTTGCCCATGCCTATGTCCTGAATGGCATTGCCCAGGTTTTATTCTAGAATTTTTATGGTCCTAGGTCTTATGTTTAAGTCTTTGATCCATCTTGAGTTGACTTTTGTATCAGGTGTAAGGAAAGGGTCCAGTTTCCGTTTTCTGCATATGGCTAGCCAGTTTTTCCCAACAACATTTATTAAATAGGGAATCTGTTCCCCATTGCTTTTTTTGTGTCAGGTTTGCCAAAGATGAGATGGTTGTAAATGTGTGGTGTTATTTCTGAGGCTTCCATTCTGTTCTATTGGCCTATATATGTGTTTTGGTACCAGTACCATGCTGTTTTGGTTACTGTAGCCTTGTAGTATAGTTTGAAATAAGGTAGCATGATGCCTCCGGGTTTATTTTTCTTGCTTAGGATTGTCTGGGCTATGCAGGCTCTTTTTTGGTTCCATATGAAGTTTAAAGTAGTTTTTTCCAATTCTGTGAAGAAAGTCATTGGTAGATTGATGGGGATAGCATTGAATTTACAAATTACTTTGGGCAGTATGGCCATTTTCACAATATTGATTCTTCCTATCCATGAGTATGGAATGTTTTTCCATTTGTTTGAGTCCTCTCTTATTTCCTTGAGTAGTGGTTTGTAGTTCTCCTTGAAGAGGTCCTTCACATCCCCTGTAAGTTGTATTCCTAGGTATTTTATTCTCTTTGTAGCAATTGTGAACGGGAGTTCACTCATGATTTGGCTCTCTGTTTGTCTGTTATTGGTGTATAGAAATGCTTGTGATTTTTGCACATTGATTTTGTATCCTGAGACTTTGCTGAAGTTGCTTATCAGCTTAAGGAGATTTTGGACTGAGATGATGGGGTTTTCTAAGTATAAAATCATGTCAACTGCAAAGAAAGACAATTTGACTTCCTCTCTTCCTATGTGAATACCCTTTATTTCTTTCTCTTGCCTGATTACCCTGGCCAGAACTTCCAATACTATGTTGAATAGGAGTGGTGAGAGAGGACATCCTTATCTTGTGCCAGTTTTCAAAGGGAATGCTTCCAGTTTTTGCCCATTTGTATTATATTAGCTGTGGGTTTGTCATAAACAGCTCTTATTATTTGAGATACACTCGATTGATGCCCAGTTTATTGAGAGTTTTTAGCATGAAGGGGTGTTGAATTTTATCAAAGGCCTTTTCTGCATCTATTGAGATAATCATGTGCTTTTTGTCATTGGTTCTGTTGACGTGATGTATTACATTTATTGATTTGCGTATGTTGAACCAGCCTTGTATCCCAGGGATGAAGACGACTTGATCATGTTGGATAAGCTTTTTAATGTGCTGCTGGATTCGGTTTGCCAGTATTTTATTGAGGATTTTCACATCGATGTTCATCAGGGATATTGGCCTGAAATTTTCTTTTTTTGTTGTGTCTCTGCCAGGTTTTGGTATCAGGATGATGCTGGCCTCATAAAATGAGTTAGGGAGGATTCCCTCTTTTTCTATTGTTGGAAGAGTTTCAGAAGGAATGGCACCAGCTCCTTTTTATACATCTGGCAGAATTTGGGTGTGAATCCATCTGGTCCTGGACTCTTTTTGGTTGGTAGGCCATTATTTATTGCCTCAATTTCAGAACCTGTTATTGGTTTATTCAGGGATTCGAGTTCTTCCTGGTTTAGTCTTGGGAGGGTGTATGTGTCCAGGAATTTATCCATTTCTTCTAGATTTTTTAGTTTATTTGTGTAGAGATATTTATAGTATTCTCTGATGGTAGTTTGTATTTCTGTGGAATCAGTGGTGATATCCCCTTTATCATTTTTTATTGCATCTATTTGATTCTTCTCTCTTTTCTTCTTTATAAATCTGGCTAGTGGTCTATCTATTTGTTGATCTTTTCAAAAAACCAGCTTCTGGATTAATTGATGTTTTGAAAAGTTTTTCGTGTCTCTATCTCCTTCAGTTCTGCTCTGATCTTAGTTATTTCTTGTCTTCTGCTAGATTTTGAATTCGTTTGCTGTTGCTTCTATAGTTCTTTTAATATTTATGCTAGCATGGTAATTTTAGATCTTTCCTGCTTTCTCTTGTGGGCATTTAGTGCTATAAATTTCCCTCTACACACTGCTTTAAAAGTGTCTCAGAGACTCTGGTAAGTTGTGTCTTCATTCTCACTGGTTTCAAAGAGCATCTTTATTTCTGCCTTCATTTTGTTATTTATCCAGTAGTCATTTAGGAGCAAGTTGTTCAGTTTCCATGTAGTTGAGCGGTTTTGAGTGAGTTTCTTAATCCTGAGTTCTAATTTGATTGCACTGTGGTCTGAGAGACTGTTATTATTTCAGTTCTTTGGCATTTGCTAAGGAGTATTTTACTTCCAATTATGTGGTCGGTTTTAGAATAAATGTGATGAGATGCTGAGAAGAATGTATTCTCTGTTGATTTGGGGTGGAGAGTTCTGTAGCTGTCTACTAGGCCCTCTTGGCCCAGACGTGACTTCAAGTCCTGAATACCCTTGTTAATTTTCTGTCTCGTTGATCTCTCTGATGTTGACTGTGGGGTGTTAAAGTCTCCCACTATTATTATGTGGGAGTCTAAGTCTCTCTGTAGGTCTCTAAGAACTTGCTTTAGGAATCTGGGTATTCCTGTATTGGGCGCATATATATTTAGGATAGTTAGCTCTTCTTGTTGCATTGATCCCTTTATCATTATGTAATGCACTTCTTTGTCTCTTTTGATCTTTGTTGGTTTAAAGTCTGTTTTACCAGAGATTAGGATTGCAACTCCTGCTTTTTTTTTTTTTTTTTTTTGCTTTCCATTTGCTTCATAAATATTCCTCCATTCCTTTATTTTGAGCCTATATGTGTCTTTGCACATGATATCGGTCTCCTGAATACAGCACACTGATGTGTCTTGACTGTCTAATTTGCCAGTCTGTCTTTTAATTGGAGCATTTTGCCCATTTACTTTTAAGGTTTATATTGTTATGTGTGAATTTGATCCTGTCATTGTGATGTTAGCTGGTTATTTTGCTCGTTAGTTGATGCAGTTTCTTCCTAGCCTCAATGGTCTTTACAATTTGGTATGTTTTTGCAGTCGCTGGTACCGGTTGTTCCTTTCCATGTTTAGTGCTTCATCCAGGAGCTCTTGTAATGCAGGCCTGGTAGTGACAAAATCTCTCAGCATTTGCTTGTCTATAAAGGATTTTATTTCTCCTTTGTTTATGAAGTTTAGTTTGGCTGGCCATAAAATTCTGGGTTGAAAATTATTTTCTTAAAAATGTTGAATATTGGCCCCCACTCTCTTCTGGCTTGTAGGGTTTCTGCAGAGAGATCCACTGCTTCCCTTTGTGGGTAAACCCACCTTTCTCTCTGGCTGCCCTTAAAATTGTTTTCTTCATTTGAACCTTGGTGAATCTGACATTTAAGTCTATTATTGATGAAAATTTGGGGTTGCTCTTCTCCAGGAGTATCTTAGTGGTGTTCTCTGTATTTCCTGAATTTGAATATTGGCCATCTTGCTAGGTTGGGGAAGTTCTCCTGGATAATATCCTGAAGAGTGTTTTCCAACTTGGTTCCATTCTTCTCATCACTTTCAGGCACACCAATCAAATGTAGATTTGGTCTTTTCACATAATCCCATATTTCTTGTAGACTTTGTTCATTCCTTCTTATTCTTTTTTCCCTAATTTTGTCTTCTCTCTTGATTTCATTAAGTTGATCTCCAATCGCTGATATCCTTTCCTCCACTTGATTGATTCAGCTATTGAAACTTGAGTATGCTTCACGAAGTTCTTGTGATGTGTTTTTCAGCTCCATCAGGTCATTTATGTTCTTCTTTACACTGGTTACTTTAATTAGCAATTCTTCTAACATTTTTTCAAAGTTCTTAGCTTCCTTGCATTGGGTTAGAACATGCTCCTTTAGCTCAGAGGAGTTTGTTATTACCCACCTTCTGAAGCCTACTTCTGTCAATTCATCAAACTCATTCTCCATCCAGTTTTGTTCCCTTGTTGCCGAGGAGTTGTGATCCTTTGGAGGAGAAGAGATGTTCTGGCATTTGAAATTTTCAGCCTTTTTGTACTGGTTTCTCCCCATCTTTCTGGATTTATCTACCTTTTGTCTTTGATGTCGGTGACCTTCAGATGGGGTCTTTGAGTGTACATGCTATTCCTTTCTGTTTGTTTGTTTCCCTTCTGACACTCAGGCCCCTCTGCTTCCAGTCTGCTTGGGTTTTCTGGAGGTCTACTCCTGACCCTGTTTGCCTGGGTATCACCAGCAGAGGCTGCAGAACAGCAAAGATTGCTGCTTGATCTTTCCTCTGGAAGCTTCCTCTCAGAGGGGCCCCTGCCAGATGACAGTCAGAGCTCCCCTGTATGAGGTCTCTGTCGGCCCCTACTGGGAGGTGTCTCCCAGTCAGGAGACACGGTGGTCAGGGACCCACTTGAGGAGGCAGTCTGACCCTTAGCAGAGCTTGAATGCTCTGCTGGGAGGTCCGCTGCTCTCTTCAGAGCCATCAGGCAGGGACGTTTAAGTCTTCTGAAGCTCCACCCACAGCTGCCTTTTTCCCCAGGGGCTCTGTCTAAGGGAGATGGGAGTTTTATCTATAAGTCCCTGACTGGAGCTGCTGCCTTTTTTTCAGAGATGGCCTGCCCGGAGAAGGGAAATCTGGCAGTCTGGCCACAGCAGCCTCCCTGAGCTGCAGTGGGCTCTGCCCAGTTTAAACTTCCCAGCGGCTTTGTTTACACTGTGAGTGTAAAACTGCCTGCTCAAGCCTCAGCAACGGCGGACGCCCCTCCCCCTACCAAGCTGGAGCATCCCAGGTTAATCTCAGACTGCTGCTGTGCTGGCAGTGAGACTTTCAAGCCACTGGATCTTAGTTTGCTGGGTTCCATGGGGGTGAAACCCGCCAAGCCACACCACTTGGCTCCCTGGCTTCAGCACTCCTTTCCAGGGGAGTGAACGGTTCTCTCTCGCTGGGGTTCCAGGCACCACTTCGGTATGGAAAAAAAATAACTCCTGCAGCTAGTTTGGTGTCTGCCCAAATGGTTGCCCACTTTTGTGCTTAAAACCCAGGGCCCTGGCTGGGTAGGCACTGGAGGGAATCTCCTCGTTTGTGGGTTGTGAAAACCATGGGACCAGAAGAGTATCTGTGTCATAGTTCCTCAGGCTCAGTCCCTCATGGCTTCCCTTGAGTGGGGCAGAAAATTCCCTGACCCCTTGAGCTTCCCGGGTGAGGTGACACCCCACCCTGCTTTGGCTGGCACTCCATGGGCTGCACCCACTGTCCAATTGGTCCCAATGAGATGAACCAGGTACCTCAGTTGGAAATGCAAACATCACCCACCTTCTGCGTCGATCTCACTAGGAGATGCAGACTGGAGCTGTTCCTATTTGGCCAACTTGCTAGTAACCCATAGCCTGTCTTTTTAAGCTATAAATTCTTTTTTCTGCTTGATCAATTCGGCCACTAAGAGACTCTGATGCATTCTTTGGTATGTTAGTTGCATTTTTACCTCCAAGATTTCTACTTGATTCTTTTAATTATTTTCATTTCTTTGTTAAATTGATCTAATGAGATTATGAATTTCTTTTCTGTGTGTTATCTTGAATTTCTTTGCGTTTTCTATAACAGCTATTTTGAATTTTCTATCTGAAAGGTCTCTTTCTCTCCAGGATTGGCCCTTCATGTCTTATGTAATTTGCTTGGTGAGTTCATGTTTTCCTGGATGATCTTGGTGCTTGTGGATGTTTGTTGGTTTCTAGGCATTAATGAGTTAGGTATTTATTGCAGCTTTCAAAGTCTGGCCTGTTTGTACCCATCCTTCTTGGGAAAACTTGTCAGGTATTTGAAGAGACTTGGGTATTGTGATCTATGTTTTGGTCATTTCCGTATCTTCCTTAGAGGGCACCCTAAGCCCAGTAGTGCTTTGGTTCTTTCAGACTCTTAGGTACCACCTTGTGGTCATGGATAAGATCCAGAAGTATTCGCTGGTTTATCAAGCAGAGACTTTTTTTCCCTTATGTTCTTTCATAAAATTGGAGTCTCTCTCTCTCTGTGCTGAGCTGCCTGAAGCCGAGGGATGAGTAACACAATCACCACTGTGGCCACCACTACTGTGACTGCAGTGTGGATGACCTCAAGCCAGCACAGCACTGGGTTTTGGCCAAGGCCTGCTGTAACCACTACCTGGCTACCACCTATGATTACTTAAGGCTGTAGGGCTCTACAATTAACAGGTGATCAAGCCAGCCAGTGTTATGTTATTCTCTCCAGGGTGGCTAGTTTCCTGAACCCCACGTGGGTCCAGATATGCTTTCTGGGGGCCAGGGCCTGGAATTGGCAACTTTAGAAAGCCACCTGGTCCTCTATTCTACTGTGGCTTAGTTGGCACCAAAATCACAAGACAGTATCTTTCTCTTCCCTTTCTTCCCTCCCCTTTCTCCAGGCAGAGGAATCTCTCCCTTTGTCCACCACCACCATGGTCTCATGAAGATTACAGCCGGGGTATCACTGATGTTTACTTAAGGCCCAACAACTCAGCAGTCATCTTGTCATGAATGTTACCAGGTCTGGGACTCACCCTTCAAGGTAGTGGGCTCCTCTCTGGCCCAGAACAGGTCCAGAAATACCATCCAAGGCTAAAGCCCTTGAGTGGGGGACCCCAAGATCCCTTTAGGTGCTCTTTCTCACTCTGGCTGAGCTTATACATAAAGCTGCAAAACAAATTCATTTTTAATCCTTTCCTCTTTTCTCAAGCAGAAGAATTCTCTCCTTGTTAATGCACACTTCAAGCCAGCGAGTCTCAGAATCTCACCTGAGGCCCACAGCATGTACTACCTGATTACCACTGCTGATTTTTCAGGGCCCAAAGGATCTTTATTTAGCATATAATGACTTCTCCAAGGACTTGATCCTTCTTTTAGAGGCAATGGGTTCCCCTCTGTCCCAGGGTGTGTCTATGAATGTTTTCTGGGAGCTAGGGTCTGGATTGGGGGCCTTATGATTCTGCCCAGTTCCCTATTCTGCCATGGCTAAGCTTGTATCCAAATTGCAAGACAAAGTCCTTTTTACTTTTCTCTCTCCTCTGCTCAGGCAGAAGGAAGAGGTCTCTTTTGGAGCTGCAAACTGTGCTGTATGGTGCTAGGAGAGGGGTGATGGAAACACTCCTCTAGCCACCCCTGTTAACGCCTCACTATGTCACATGCCACCCACATCGACTGGCTCTGAACCCAGAACAGCACTGGGACTTGTGTAGGAATTTCAGATCTTATGGCTAAGCCTTTCAAGTTTATTTAGAACCCAGAGCACTTTAGCCTGTGAAGGTGAGACTTGCCAAAACTCAAGTTCCCACCACTGGTATGTGTGATTCTCCTCTGATTAGGGCTGGTCTAACTGCTCGCTGCTTGGGGCTCAACTGAGTTCTGCTTAGTGTTGGAAGCACTAAGTTCTGATGTAAAATCTCACAATTGCAGTGCTCTTCACCACCCCACCCCACCCCCAACTCTAAGTGCATAAATTTTCAGTCCATACCACATGGCCACTGCCAGGGGATGGGGAAAAAGTGGTGTCAGCAGTTCAAAACTGTGTTTTCTACCCTCTTCGTGGCTCTCTCAGTGATATGAAGTTAAAGCCAGGTACTGTGATTGTTCATCTGACTCTTGGTTCTTTAGAAGGTGCTTTTTGTGTAAATATTAACCTCTGGGATCCTAGCTACAGGGGAACCCTGGATATTTGAACTGGCAGAAGGATCTGACCAGAGAGTAAGCAGAGGCAGAGCTTCAGCCAGTGCAGAGCCCATGGGCTTTTGTGCACAGGGCAACTGTAGCAGGGCACAACCATAGGTGCCTGTCCCCTAGGGCACCCATCATCCTCCAAGTTGCTCTAGCCCCAAGTGACTGCTAGGCTAGGAAAAAGCAGGGCCATCATCATCGTGGGAACAGGGCATGTCTGTTCTGCAGGCCCTCCAGATGCTCCCAGGTTTCCTATCTGTCTATTCTAAAGGAACATGTGCACAGCACAGCCTCTGCTGCCCAGCCTGAGAGCTTTGCTCCAACTGAATAATTTCCCTGTGGCCTGGCAGCACTTTGGATTTCACAACTCAGCCAGAGTGTGACCATGAAGGTCCAGAGTACAAAGTAATGGTGCCCCAGGGTTGTGGTACACAGCTTAGGAGTGCCAAGATGATATCTGTGGTCAGCATTTAAGCAGGAGAAGGGCCCCCACTGTCAGAGCACTGAGAGGGATGAAACACACAGATTCATGGGCTGGTCCATGAGCAGGGTGTTTCTCCTACCACAGGGCCCATCTGAAAATAGTGTGACCTAGCTCTCTGCTGCAACCTCTGCCTGACAGTGCCCCATGGCACAGACCACCTAACAAAGGAAATGCAGACATGATGTCAGTGATTGGAGAGGGCTCCCCCAAGGCCCAGGAGTGGACCTAGTGAAGGAGTCACCTTTCTCTCTCCCATAACTACAAAGCATGGCTACCAGTGTGAGGCAATACAAAAAGGCTGCCTGGCTAAGAGCCTATCTTCTGGCCATTACTCTTAAATATTGTAGGTAGCAGTTGTCATTCTTTGGATTTCATGTAAGGATTTTTTGTAAGGCTGGTATAGTTGCATAAAATTCTCTCAGCACTTGCTTGTCTTTGAATATATGCAAGTTCTACCAACATACACCCCTGTGAAACAAAGGACAACAATCCAGCCACAAATAAACATCCTTTACAGAGTCTTCGCCTTCTGAAAACATTATAAAAGAAAGTAAACTGACTACACTCAACTTACCAGACAGTTAAAGAAGCATGAGTCTTTGCAGATGAGAAAAAAATCAGTGCAAGGTGCTCACTACAGCAGCACATATACTAAAATTGGAAGAATACAGAGAAAATGAGCATGGTCCCTATGCAAGGATGGCAGGTAGATTTGTGAACCATTACATGTTAAAAAATCTTACGTTTTCATAAAAACAGAATCAATGCAAAAACTCTAGCAATTCAAAAAACTAGAGTAGCCAGAGTAGTGCCTTACCTCCAAAGAAGCCCACTAGCTCCCCAGCAATGGTTCTCACCTAGACCGAAATGACTAAAAAATTTACTGAGAATTTTGTAATATAATTGGAAGGATTATCAGAAGAATAGACCAAGTTGAGGAAAGAAGCTCAGAACTAGAAGACCAGTTCTTTGAATCAAGTCAGCCAGACACAAATAAAGATAAAATAATTTAAAAATTGAACAAAACCTCTGACAAATATTGGCTTATGTAAAGAGATCAAACCTACAACACATTAATATTCCTGAGAGAGATGAGATAATGAGCACCCTGAAAAATATCATTGAGGACGTAGTCCATAAAAATTTATCTAGTGTCACTAGAGCAGTGTACATGCAAATTCAAGAAATACAGAGAATCCCTGCTAGATACTATACAAGACAACCGTCACTAAGGCACATAGTCATCAGATTCAAGAAAGTCAATGTGAAATTAAAAAATCTTATAGGAGGCTGGAGAGAAGGTTCAGGCCATGTACAAAGGAAACTTCTTCAAGCCAGCAGTAGAATGCTTAGTAGAAACTTTACAAGACAGAAAAGATTGGGGCCTATTTTCAACATCCTTAAAGAAAAGAATTTTCAATGAAGATTTTATTTCCCATCAAATTAAGCTTCTTTAGCAAAGGAGACTTAAAATTCTTCAAAAACAAGCAAGTTCTGAGAGAATACCCATTGGGTACTATGCTTAGTACCTGGGTGACAAGATCTATACCCCAAATCACAGAATCGTCTCATATATCCATGTAACAAACCTGCACATGTACCCCAGAATTAAAAATGAAAGTTGAAAATAATTCTCTTTATTAACACTTTTCTACTGCTTTTTCTTGATTACTCCAAGGATTACAATATGCATCCTTGACTTATTACAGTCTAACACAAATGATTACTTTTATTCCTTTTCTGATATTACTAGAGCCATGGAAAAATTTAAGGACATTTATTTTTTTCTTGAATTTTGCCTTGTTTTCTGTACAAATTAGAGAAAATATGAAGTTCTCTGATTATGTAGCTTATCTTTTCATGGGTCACACTTTGTGCCTCAGCGTTTGGGGCTTACTGGGACCTGAATTTAGTTATAGGTATAGACACAAAGAGAAATTGTAGATAGGTCCTGAGAAGACTCAGCAGTATCTTACAAAGCAGCTACCTCAGGGAATGTCTTCTATTCTTAAGCCAAGCAGGATTACCTACTCAGGCGAGGTTGGAGATGATGCTTTTTGCTGGTAAGAAAACTCTGCCTAATTTAAACATTCAAAGTCTCCAGCACAATTGAGATTTTCCCTTTGTCCCCATCTCAAATTTCCTGATTCAATTTTTTCCCAGTAAATGTTTTTATTTCAACAGAAAATACCTTCTGAGATAGAGAATTCAATATGCATTGTTATTTATCCTCTCATAGGATCAGACCCTGGCACTGGTTTTCAGAAATTTCATCCTTTTTGCTACAAGATATAAGGATTTCTTTCAGGGAAGACATGGAAGTCTCACATTATTTGTGCAAGGCTTGAGGTGAAAATTTGAAGCCCCCAACGCATCATTTTCTTTATTTTCTTTCCCTAATTTGTCCTGGTAATCTAGGAGCAACAAGCCAATCTTATTGTACTCATTATTTTCAAAAAGATGTTCTAAGGTATCAAACATGTAGTAGTTAATCACTTTGCGTTTTGTTAATATTTGATTAAGAGTTTCCCATAGCAATACTTTACATATCTCTATTGGCACATCATGCCATGGACTATTGCCCTCTTTATCACTGAAAACAGTCAATCCAAGAAAATATATAACTAATTCAGAAAATTCAGCATTAAGATTCTGTTCCTCTAGGATCTCTCTCAGTACTGAAATTGATGTGAGGCTTCAGAAGCTGTCACTGAACTCCACAGGGGAAATTTCCACATCCTCAGGAAAACCTTGGCTTAGGTCTTTTCTAAATTTTCTTTCTTTTTAAAAAAAAATTAATAGTTTTGGGAAAGCAGGTGGGCTTTGGTTACATGGATAAGTTCTATAGTGGTGATTTCTGAGATTTTGGCACAGCTGTCACCTGAGCAGTGTACACTGCACCCAAAATGTGGTCTTTTTTATTTTTGTAATTACATTCTAAGTTCTGGAATACATGTGCAGAACGTGCCGGTTTGTTACATAGGTATACAGGTCCAAGTTGGTTTGCTATACCCATCAACCCACAATCTACATTAAGTATTTGTCCTAATGCTATTTCTCTCCTAGCCCCCCACTCCCCAACAGGCCCTGGTGTGTGATGTTCCCGTCTCTGTGTCCATGTGTTCTCATTGTTCAACTCCCACTTATGAATGAGAACATGTGGTGTTTGGTTTTCTGTTCCTGTGTTAGTTTTCTGAGAATGATGGTTTACACCTTCATCCATATCCCTGCAAAGGACATGAACTTATTCTTTTTTATGGCTGTGTAGTATTCCATGATGTATATGTGCCACATTTTCTTTATCCAGTCTATCATTGATGGGCATTTGGGTTGGTTCCAAGTCTTTGCTATTGTGAACAGTGCTGCAATAAACATATGTGTACATGTGTATTTAGAGTAGAATGATTTATAATCCTTTGGGTATATACCCAGTAATGGGATTGCTGGGTCAAATGGTATTTCAGGCTCTAGATCCTGGAGGAATTGCCACACTGTCTTCCACAAAGGTTGAGCTAATTTACACTCCTACCAACAGTGTAAAAGCACTGCTCAAGGAAATAAGGGATGACACAAACAAATGAAAAACATCCCATGCTCATGGATAGGAAGAATCAATATCATGAAAACGGCCATAATTCCCAAAGTAATTTATAGATTCAATGCTATCCTCATCAAGCTACCATGGGCTTTCTTCACAGAATTAGAAAAAACTCCTTTAAATTCCATATGGAACCAAAAAAAAAGCCTGCATAGCCAAGACAATCCTAAGCAAAAGAACAAGCTGGAGGCATCTTTCTACCTGACTTCAAACAGTACTACAAGGCTACAGTAACCAAAACAGCATGGTCCTCACACCAAAACCGATATATAGACCAATGGAACAGATCAGAGGCCTCAGAAAGAACACCACACTTCTACAACCATCTGATGTTTGACAAACCTGACACAAACAAACAATGGGGAAAGGATTCCCTTTTTAATAAATGGTGCTGGGAAAACTGGATAGCCATATGCAGAAAAGCAAAACTGGACCCCTTCCTTACAACTTATGCAAAAATTAACTCAAGATGAGTTAAAGACTTAAAACTAAGAGCTAAAACCATAAAAACCCTAGAAGAAAACCTAGGCAATACCATTCAGGACATAGGCATGGGAAAAGACCTCATGACTAAAACACCAAGAGCAATAGCAACAAAAGCCAAAATAGACAAATGGGATCTGATTAAACTAAAGAGCTTCCGCACAGCAAAAGAAACTATCATCAGTGTTAACAGACAACCTACAGAATGGGAGAAAATTTTTGCAATCTATCCATCTGACAAAAGGCTAATATCTGGAATCTACAACAAATTTACAAGAATAAAAACAAACAGCCCCATCAAAAAGTAGGCAAAAGATATGAACAGACACTTCTCAATTGAAGACATTTATGCAGCCAACAGACATGAAAAAAAGCTCATCATCACTGGTCGTCAGAGAAATGGAAATCAAAACCACAATGAGATACCATCTCACGCCAGTTAAAATGGCAATCATTAAAAAGTTAGGAAACAACAGGTGCTGGAGAGGATGTGGAGAAATAGGAACATTTTTACTCTGTTTGTAGGAGTGTAAATTAGTTTAATCATTGTGGAACACACTGTGGTGATTCCTCAAGGATCTAGAACCAGAAATATCATTTGGCCCAGCAATCCCATTACTGGGTATGTATCCAAAGGATTATAAATCATTCTACTATAAAGACACATGCACATGTATGTTTGTTGCAACACTGTTCACAATAGCAAAGACTTGAAACCAACCCAAATGCCTGTCAATGATAGACTGGATAAAGAAAATGTGGCACAGATACACCATGGAATACTATGCAGTCATAAAAAGGATGAGTTCATGTCCTTTGCAGGGACATGGATTACACCGGAAGCCATCATTCTCAGCAAACTAACACAAGAGCAGAAAACCAAACACCACATGTTCTCACTCATAAGAGGGAGTCGAACAATGAGAACACATGGGCACAGAGAGGGGAACAACACATATCAGCTTCTGTCAGGGGGTGGGGCCTAGGGAAGGGATAGCATTAGGAGAAATACCTAATGTAGATGATGTATTGAAGGGTGCAGCAAACCACCACGGCATGTGTATACCTATGTAACAAACCTGCACATTCTGCACATGTACCCCAGACTTTGAAGTATAATAAAATAAAGTAAAATGCTGAATATAGGCCCCCAAAACTTCTGGCTTGTAGGGTTTTTGCTTAAAGGTCTGCTGTTAGCCTAATGGAGTTCCATTTGTAGGTGACCTGCTCCTTTCCTCTAGGGGCTTTTAACATTTTTTCTTTCATTTTGATCTTGGATAACATGATGACTATATGTTTTTGTTTGTTTATTTGTTTGTTTGAGACAGAGTCTTGCCCTGTCACCCAGACTGAAGTGCAGTGGCGATCTCTCAGCTCACTGCAATCCCCACCTCCTGGCTTCAAGCGATTCTCTTTCCTCAGCCTCCTGAGTAGCTAGGATTACAGGCATTTGCCACCACTAACTTTTACATTTTTAGTAGAGATGGTGTTTCACCATGTTGGCCAGGCTGGTATCAAACTCCTGACCTCAGATGATCCACCCACATCAGCCTCCCGAAGTGCTAGGATTACAGGTGTGAGCCACCCCACCTGGCCGATGACTACGTGTCTTGAGGATAGTCATCTTGTATAGTATCTCACGGATTCTCTGCATTTCCTAAATTTGAAAGTTGTACTCTCTAGTAAGGTTGGGGAAACTTTTATGGGTGACATCCTCAAATATGTTTTCTACATTGCTTGCTTCTCTCGCTCTTTCAGGAGTGGCAACGACTGATAGATTTTGTCTTTTTACAGAGGTTTTGTTCATTCTTTTTTATTTTTCTCTTTTTTGTCTGACTGTTTTATTGCAAAAAAAAATCTTTCAGTTCTGAGATTTTTTTTCAGCTTGGTCTATTCTGCTGTTAATATTTGCAGTTTTATTAAGAAATTCTTGAAATGAGTTTTTCAGTTTTAGCAGATTAGTTTGTTGTTGTTTTTTTCTGAAAATGACCATCTCATCTTTCATCTTCTGTATCATTTACTTGTATTTCTTTTTAAGTTCCTTGGGTTTGGTTTGACCTTTATCCTGAATCTCAATGATATTCCTTGCTATCCATATTCTGAATTCTATGTCTATCATTTCAGCCATTTCATCCTGGTTAAGAGCTAGTGCAGTCATTTGGAGCTAAGAAGACACTCTGACTTTTTGAGATGCCAGAGTTCTTGCACTGGTACTTTCTCATTTTTACATGCTGATGTTCCTTCATTCTTTGAAGTTTCTGTCCTTTGCATAGTGTTTTTTGTTTTTATCTTATTTGATGCTCTTGTAAGTTTAAGTGTGGTATAACATGAGTTCAGTCAACTGGCATTGTTCCTGGAAGATTTCAGGCAGCCAAGGCTCAGCTCAGAACTCCTGGGCTGTGTGCTCTAACTGTGGGCCACTTGTACTGGGGCAGCTTTGTTCTCTGGCCTCTCAAGTTTAGAAACCTGCTGTGCTAGAGGGGCTGTGGTGTTCCCAATCTTCTGGCCATATCACTCTGATGGGGAATGCTGGCAAAAGCACTTCATTAAGGTGGTGGCAGTGGTATCTGTGCTAGCTCACACATGCCAGTAACTGCAGCAATGTGGTTGAGATGCATGCCTGTCATTTGTGGTGGGGCATGGGCTGGAGCAGGGTGGCAGTGTTCCTGTGCCAAATAACAGTAGTGGTGCTGGCAGCATGGCGGGGTGGGTCACTGGGAGGAGCGGGCTTGCTGGCATTCATGGTCACACTCACACTAGCAATGATGGTATGGGTGGGGAACTGGCAGGGGTGGAGTTGCTGGCATCTGTGCTTATGTGTGCACTGGCAGCAGTGGTGTTATTGGTTGCTTGTTTTATCGGTGGGGTGTGTGGTGGTGCTGGCAGGGTGCATTCATGCTGGCAGCAGTGGTGTGGTGGGTAGTACCCACACATGTATACCAGCAAGGGAGGGGAGACATGGTCTACCTGTGTGCAAAAATTGACAAATATGTTTGAGGGGGGGAAATGAGTGAGTGCAGGCCAGAAAAATAGTCCGGCGAGGCTGCTATGGGGAAGGCTGCAGGTAGGCTGGTGTGTGTTGGCAGGGGCCAGTCTGCTGGAGCTCTCCAATAGTCAGGTGTTGTATGGTTGCAAAGGAGCTGTGATGAGGGCCCCT
Organism: Homo sapiens; assembly: GCF_000001405.40. NCBI lineage: Eukaryota > Metazoa > Chordata > Mammalia > Primates > Hominidae > Homo > Homo sapiens. The sequence continues at coordinate 73,391,026 of NC_000023.11, read as the reverse complement.
GAAAGCACCCTGACTGGGCATCTGAGGCTCCACTGCAATCAGGTCTGAAGAGGTTGGGACCCCAGGAGGGACTGGCAGACACTGAGGTGCTCAGACTTGACTAGATCTATCCCACAGGCAAGACTGCCCTGTTCTGTCAAGGTACAAAAGTCACCCTAAGGTTAAAGTATCCCAGTGGATCATGGTGAACCTTGGAGTATGGGCTTCCCTGGCTGTGCTCCACTGAAGTGTTCTCATGCCAAATCCTCTGGGCTCTGTACAAGCTGGAGTCCTGCCCCTGCCACCTCTCTAAGCAGCTCTCCCTGCCAGCTCAAGTTTCTGTGTGGGTTGTGGGGTTTCCTGCAGCTAGAATTGTGGAGGTCCATGGTGAGGGGTGTGCTAGCTACACATCACCTGTTCAACTGAACCCTTCTGTAAGAGTTCCTAGGGGCCAGGAAAGAATCCCAGTGCTTGGCATCTCTGTGCAGTGCTCCCAGTTTCCTCCTCTTTCATCCTAACATCTGGAGCCTATTTCCATCCATTCTTAATGCCTTCCTTCTGAAGATCTGCTTGGAGTTTGCCAGTCTTCTCAATGTCCCGGTCTATTTTTATGAGATGTGCCTTCTGCCTGCATCTAGTCAGCCATCTTCACTCTCTAGAGTTTTTAAAATATTTTGTTTTAGTCAATATTGCTAAACTTTTTAAATTGTGTTGATACTTTCTAAGAATCGACTTTTTGTTTTGTTCATTGTATTATTTTACTATTCTTCCTTTTACTTATCTCTGATGTGATCTTATTGAGAAATAATAGTTTTTTATTTATTTGGGTTTATTTGCATTTTCTTTTTTTAATCTTCTAAAGAAAACCTGTTTTTGATTTAAGATATTCTTTTTTTCTTAATGTGGACATTAAATGGTATAAATGTCCATTTGAGCACTGCTTTTTCTGCAGCCCATAAGTTTTGGCATATTATGTTCTTGTTTTTATTTTTCTCCAAATAATTGCTAATTACTTTTGTGATTTTTTTGGACTAATGTGTTTTTAAGAAAGCATTGTTTAATTTTATATATTTGTAAATTTTCTAATTTTCCCTCTATTATTAATTTCTAGTTTTATTATATTGTCTTGGAAAAAAGATACTTTAAATTCAATATTTGAAGTCGGTTAAAATTTGCTTGTGGCCTAATATATAGTCTACGCTGAAGACTGTTCCATGTGTATTGTGGTGTTTACTGCCTGTTAAGTATCATTGGTTTGTAATTGTTTTCAAGCCATCTGTTTTATTATTGATTATTATCTAGTTGTTCTAGCCATTACTGAAATTATATAATTAAAGTTTCTAACTATTATTGAAGAACCATCTATTTCTTCTTCAACTCTGTTTATCTTTGCTTTGTGTATTTTGGGGGCACTTTTGTTAGGTGTGTATATGTTTATAATTATATCTTTTGTAAGGATACAATTACAAACCTAAGTACAATAATATTCTCTTTTCTATTTTTCTACATAGTTACTTTGACCAATATTCTTTATTTCTATGACTGAGTTACTGTCTAGTGTCCTTTCATTTCAGCCAAAAATACTTACCTTACCACTTTCTTTTGAGTAGTTCTACTAGAAATGAACTCCCTCAGTTCTTATTTACCTGGAAATATCTTGATTACCTCTACATTTTTGAAGTATATTTTTGCTTAATGAATAATTCTTGATTGATAGGGTTTTAGTTTTCTTTCAGCACTTGTATGACATTCCACTGCTTTCTGCCCTTTGTGGCTTCTAAAGAGAAATTGGATTTTAATCTTATTGAGCATACATTCTGTGTGAAAAATCTCTTCTCTCTTGCTGCTTTCAGGATTCTCTCCTTGCCTTTGCCTTCCAACAGTTGGATTCAATATGTCTCTGTGTCAAACTCTGATTTTATTCTGTTTCAGATTTGTGGAGCTTCTTGAATGTTTAGATTTATGTGTTTTATAAAATTTGGCAAATTTTCAGCCATTATTTCAACAACTATTGTTTGTGCCTCTTTTTCTTTCTTCTCCTGAGATTTCAATTATAGTCATGTTGTTATGCTTGATGGTGGCCCATAAATTTCTTAGGTTCTAGTCAGGTTTCCTCCTCAGATTGGATAATTTCCATTTATCTATCTTGAACATTGCTAATTCTTTCTCCTGCTTATTCAAATCTTCTGTTGAATCTTTCAAGTGAATTTTTTTCTTTTCGGTTATTTTGCTTTTCAGCTCCAGAATTTTAAATTTTATTATTATTATTATTTCTATGTTTGTATTAATATTCTCCATTTGGGGGGACATCATTCTTCTGACTCCTTTAGTTCTTTGCACATGATTTCTTTTAGTTCTCTGATAATATTAAAGATAATTGATTTAAAGTTATTTCTAGTGTATCCAATACCTTGGCTTAGTCTGTGATAATTTCTGCTTATTATTTTTCCTGTGAATTGGCTATGCTTTCTTGTTTTTTTGCACACCTCATAGCTTTTTGTTGAAAACTGAATATTTTGAAGATTTTAATATTTTAACTCTGGAAATGAGACCACCTTCCCCTCACCAGGGTTTGTTGTTGCTACTTGTTGTAGGTTGTTGTTTATTGATTTGTTAGTGACTATTGTAACTATTTTTATAAGACTGTACATTTTGTTATGTGTGGTCACTGATGTTCTTATTCTGATATCTTAGTGGTCAGCTGGTAATTTGACATAGATTTTCTGAAATGACTGAGGCCAACAAAAATATCTTGTCATGGTCTTTTCATTTTGACTGTGTTGAGAAACTCCTATATTTAGCAGACTTTGTATGAATATTTCTTAGCCTTCAGTTCCTGTTTGTTTGAAGCCTAAAGGTCAGTTAAATGTGAAAGCTTGGGGTCATTTAAAATATTTTCTGAGAATTTATTTAGCCCTGGCATTGTCTAACCTTCTAGATTCCTCAGAATATGCAGAAACTTTCTAATCCCTTATACTCGCATGTGTCTTCTTTCCCAACCTCTCTCTTTTTTTAATAAAAGACATTTCCACCTGCCTGGTGATTGTCATACTTGTTGTGCCTTGCTCCCAGTAACTGCAGTTAGTATAGCTTTTAAAAACAGATTTGGAAATATCATCTAAGAGCCTACTACAGCCTTAAGAATGTTTTGAGGTGGGCAAAACAAGGCAAACTCCTGAGCCAATTCTTTAGAAAATCGCTAGACAAGTCAAAATATACAACCAAAATTCTTTAACAATATCGATACTGCATCCTTTGGCAGCAAGCCACAAAACGAACATGAGCCACCATTTCCAAGGCTACAATCAATCTGATAAATGGTGGTGCTAGGTGAATTTAATATACTACAATGTTCTCTTACTAAAATTTAGCAGCTTCTTTTTTTGTTAACTCTTTCTTCATTATCTGAAGTTTCTAAGTTAAGTTTCAAAAGGCCAAAAATGTTTATTTTGACAAGTTTTGTTGGTCTAGTTATTGCTTTTATGCAGGAATGGAGTTTTGAAATACCCTATTCTGTCATTTTTGGTGATGTTAACTTTTTCTTTATTTCTGAATAATAGTTTTGCTGGATACAAGATTTTCAATTAATTTTTTTAACAGTTTGAATATGTCATCATCCATTATTTTTTGGTCTCAATTATTTATTGTGAGAAGGCAGCTTTTAATCTTACTGAGGTTCTCTTCTTCCTGATGGGTCATTTTTATCTCAATGCTGTAAAGATTTTCACTTTATCTTTAGTTTCAACATTTTGACTGGGTTGTATTTCGGTGTAGGCCTCTATTTATTATAATTGGAGTTTGTTGAGCTTCTTGGGTGTCTTGATTAATGCTTTTATCAAATTCAAGAAGTTGGAGTCATTAATTTTTCAGATACTATTTTTGTTTTCTTTTTCATCTCTTTCTGGTACTCTCATTACATGCATTTGTTGTACTTAATGGCGTCTGAAATTTCTCTGAGACTCTATTCATTTTTCTTTTTTTCCTCTCTCTGTTTTTTTTTTTTTTTTTTTTTTAGGAGTATTTTCTTTTTTCTTTTTTTTTTTTTTATTATACTCTAAGTTTTAGGGTACATGTGCACATTGTGCAGGTTAGTTACATATGTATACATGTGCCATGCTGGTGCGCTGCACCCACTAATGTGTCATCTAGCATTAGGTATATCTCCCAATGCTATCCCTCCCCCCTTCCCCGACCCCACCACAGTCCCCAGAGTGTGATATTCCCCTTCCTGTGTCCATGTGATCTCATTGTTCAATTCCCACCTATGAGTGAGAATATGCGGTGTTTGGTTTTTTGTTCTTGCGATAGTTTACTGAGAATGATGGTTTCCAATTTCATCCATGTCCCTACAAAGGATATGAACTCATCATTTTTTATGGCTGCATAGTATTCCATGGTGTATATGTGCCACATTTTCTTAATCCAGTCTATCATTGTTGGACATTTGGATTGGTTCCAAGTCTTTGCTATTGTGAATAGTGCCGCAATAAACATACGTGTGCATGTGTCTTTATAGCAGCATGATTTATAGTCCTTTGGGTATATACCCAGTAATGGGATGGCTGGGTCAAATGGTATTTCTAGTTCTAGATCCCTGAGGAATCGCCACACTGACTTCCACAATGGTTGAACTAGTTTACAGTCCCACCAACAGTGTAAAAGTGTTCCTATTTCTCCACATCCTCTCCAGCACCTGTTGTTTCCTGACTTTTTAATGATTGCCATTCTAACTGGTGTGAGATGGTATCTCATAGTGGTTTTGATTTGCATTTCTCTGATGGCCAGTGATGATGAGCATTTCTTCATGTGTTTTTTGGCTGCATAAATGTCTTTTTTTGAGAAGTGTCTGATCATGTCCTTCGCCCACTTTTTGATGGGGTTGTTTGTTTTTTTCTTGTAAATTTGTTTGAGTTCATTGTAGATTCTGGATATTAGCCCTTTGTCAGATGAGTAGGTTGCGAAAATTTTCTCCCATGTTGTAGGTTACCTGTTCACTCTGATGGTAGTTTCTTTTGCTGTGCAGAAGCTCTTTAGTTTAATTAGATCCCATTTGTCAATTTTGGCTTTTGTTGCCATTGCTTTTGGTGTTTTGGACATGAAGTCCTTGCCCACGCCTATGTCCTGAATGGTAATGCCTAGGTTTTCTTCTAGGGTTTTTATGGTTTTAGGTCTAACGTTTAAGTCTTTAATCCATCTTGAATTGATTTTTGTATAAGGTGTAAGGAAGGGATCCAGTTTCAGCTTTCTACATATGGCTAGCCAGTTTTCCCAGCACCATTTATTAAATAGGGAATCCTTTCCCCATTGCTTGGTTTTCTCAGGTTTGTCAAAGATCAGATAGTTGTAGATATGCGGCATTATTTCTGAGGGCTCTGTTCTGTTCCATTGATCTATATCTCTGTTTTGGTACCAGTACCATGCTGTTTTGGTTACTGTAGCCTTGTAGTATAGTTTGAAGTCAGGTAGTGTGATGCCTCCAGCTTTGTTCTTTTGGCGTAGGATTGACTTGGCGATGCGGGCTCTTTTTTGGTTCCATATGAACTTTAAAGTAGTTTTTTCCAATTCTGTGAAGAAAGTCATTGGTAGCTTGATGGGGATGGCATTGAATCTGTAAATTACCTTGGGCAGTATGGCCATTTTCACGATATTGATTCTTCCTACCCAAGAGCATGGAATGTTCTTCCATTTGTTTGTGTCCTCTTTTATTTCCTTGAGCAGTGGTTTGTAGTTCTCCTTGAAGAGGTCCTTCACATCCCTTGTAAGTTGGATTCCTAGGTATTTTATTCTCTTTGAAGCAATTGTGAATGGGAGTTCACCCATGATTTGGCTCTCTGTTTGTCTGTTGTTGGTGTATAAGAATGCTTGTGATTTTTGTACATTGATTTTGTATCCTGAGACTTTGCTGAAGTTGCTTATCAGCTTAAGGAGATTTTGGGCTGAGACAATGGGGTTTTCTAGATAAACAATCATGTCATCTGCAAACAGGGACAATTTGACTTCCTCTTTTCCTAATTGAATACCCTTTATTTCCTTCTCCTGCCTGATTGCCCTGGCCAGAACTTCCAACACTATGTTGAATAGGAGTGGTGAGAGAGGGCATCCCTGTCTTGTGCCAGTTTTCAAAGGGAATGCTTCCAGTTTTTGCCCATTCAGTATGATATTGGCTGTGGGTTTCTCATAGATAGCTCTTATTATTTTGAAATACGTCCCATCAATACCTAATTTATTGAGAGTTTTTAGCATGAAGGGTTGTTGAATTTTGTCAAAGGCTTTTTCTGCATCTATTGAGATAATCATGTGGTTTTTGTCTTTGGCTCTGTTTATATGCTGGATTACATTTATTGATTTGCGTATATTGAACCAGCCTTGCATCCCAGGGATGAAGCCCACTTGATCATGGTGGATAAGCTTTTTGATGTGCTGCTGGATTCGGTTTGCCAGTATTTTATTGAGGATTTTTGCATCAATGTTCATCAAGGATATTGGTCTAAAATTCTCTTTTTTGGTTGTGTCTCTGCCCGGCTTTGGTATCAGAATGATGCTGGCCTCATAAAATGAGTTAGGGAGGATTCCCTCTTTTTCTATTGATTGGAATAGTTTCAGAAGGAATGGTACCAGTTCCTCCTTGTACCTCTGGTAGAATTCGGCTGTGAATCCATCTGGTCCTGGACTCTTTTTGGTTGGTGAACTATTGATTATTGCCACAATTTCAGAGCCTGTTATTGGTCTATTCAGAGATTCAACTTCTTCCTTGTTTAGTCTTGGGAGAGTGTATGTGTCGAGGAATGTATCCATTTCTTCTAGATTTTCTAGTTTATTTGCGTAGAGGTGTTTGTAGTATTCTCTGATGGTAGTTTGTATTTCTGTGGGATCGGTGGTGATATCCCCTTTATCATTTTTTATTGTGTCTATTTGATTCTTCTCTCTTTTTTTCTTTATTAGTCTTGCTAGCGGTCTATCAATTTTGTTGATCCTTTCAAAAAACCAGCTCCTGGATTCATTGATTTTTTGAAGGGTTTTTTGTGTCTCTATTTCCTTCAGTTCTGCTCTGATTTTAGTTATTTCTTGCCTTCTGCTAGCTTTTGAATGTGTTTGCTCTTGCTTTTCTAGTTCTTTTAATTGTGATGTTAGGGTGTCAATTTTGGATCTTTCCTGCTTTCTCTTGTAGGCATTTAGTGCTATAAATTTCCCTCTACACACTGCTTTGAATGCGTCCCAGAGATTCTGGTATGTGGTGTCTTTGTTCTCGTTGGTTTCAAAGAACATCTTTATTTCTGCCTTCATTTCGTTATGTACCCAGTAGTCATTCAGGAGCAGGTTGTTCAGTTTCCATGTAGTTGAGCGGCTTTGAGTGAGATTCTTAATCCTGAGTTCTAGTTTGATTGCACTGTGGTCTGAGAGATAGTTTGTTATAATTTCTGTTCTTTTACATTTGCTGAGGAGAGCTTTACTTCCAACTATGTGGTCAATTTTGGAATAGGTGTGGTGTGGTGCTGAAAAAAATGTATATTCTGTTGATTTGGGGTGGAGAGTTCTGTAGATGTCTATTAGGTCTGCTTGGTGCAGAGCTGAGTTCAATTCCTGGGTATCCTTGTTGACTTTCTGTCTCGTTGATCTGTCTAATGTTGACAGTGGGGTGTTAAAGTCTCCCATTATTAATGTGTGGGAGTCTAAGTCTCTTTGTAGGTCACTCAGGACTTGCTTTATGAATCTGGGTGCTCCTGTATTGGGTGCATAAATATTTAGGATAGTTAGCTCCTCTTGTTGAATTGATCCCTTTACCATTATGTAATGGCCTTCTTTGTCTCTTTTGATCTTTGTTGGTTTAAAGTCTGTTTTATCAGAGACTAGGATTGCAACCCCTGCCTTTTTTTGTTTTCCATTGGCTTGGTAGATCTTCCTCCATCCTTTTATTTTGAGCCTATGTGTGTCTCTGCACGTGAGATGGGTTTCCTGAATACAGCACACTGATGGGTCTTGACTCTTTATCCAACTTGCCAGTCTGTGTCTTTTAATTGCAGAATTTAGTCCATTTATATTTAAAGTTAATATTGTTATGTGTGAATTTGATCCTGTCATTATGATGTTAGCTGGTGATTTTGCTCATTAGTTGATGCAGTTTCTTCCTAGTCTCGATGGTCTTTACATTTTGGCATGATTTTGCAGCGGCTGGTACCGGTTGTTCCTTTCCATGTTTAGCGCTTCCTTCAGGAGCTCTTTTAGGGCAGGCCTGGTGGTGACAAAATCTCTCAGCATTTGCTTGTCTATGAAGTATTTTATTTCTCCTTCACTTATGAAGCTTAGTTTGGCTGGATATGAAATTCTGGGTTGAAAATTCTTTTCTTTAAGAATGTTGAATATTGGCCCCCACTCCCTTCTGGCTTGTAGGGTTTCTGCCGAGAGATCCGCTGTTAGTCTGATGGGCTTTCCTTTGAGGGTAACCCGACCTTTCTCTCTGGCTGCCCTTAACATTTTTTCCTTCATTTCAACTTTGGTGAATCTGACAATTATGTGTCTTGGAGTTGCTCTTCTCGAGGAGTATCTTTGTGGCGTTCTCTGTATTTCCTGAATCTGAACTTTGGCCTGCCTTGCTAGATTGGGGAAGTTCTCCTGGATAATATCCTGCAGAGTGTTTTCCAACTTGGTTCCATTCTCCACATCACTTTCAGGTACACCAATCAGACGTAGATTTGGTCTTTTCACATAGTCCCATATTTCTTGGAGGCTTTGCTCATTTCTTTTTATTCTTTTTTCTCTAAACTTCCCTTCTCGCTTCATTTCATTCATTTCATCTTCCATTGCTGATACCCTTTCTTCCAGTTGATCGCATCGGCTCCTGAGGCTTCTGCATTCTTCACGTAGTTCTCGAGCCTTGGTTTTCAGCTCCATCAGCTCCTTTAAGCACTTCTCTGTATTGGTTATTCTAGTTATACATTCTTCTAAATTTTTTTCAAAGTTTTCAACTTCTTTGCCTTTGGTTTGAATGTCCTCCCGTAGCTCAGAGTAATTTGATCGTCTGAAGCCTTCTTCTCTCAGCTCGTCAAAATCATTCTCCATCCAGCTTTGTTCTGTTGCTGGTGAGGAACTGCGTTCCTTTGGAGGAGGAGAGGCGCTCTGCATTTTAGAGTTTCCAGTTTTTCTGTTCTGTTTTTTCCCCATCTTTGTGGTTTTATCTACTTTTGGTCTTTGATGATGGTGATGTACAGATGGGTTTTTGGTGTAGATGTCCTTTCTGGTTGTTAGTTTTCCTTCTAACGGACAGGACCCTCAGCTGCAGGTCTGTTGGAATACCCTGCCGTGTGAGGTGTCAGTGTGCCCCTGCTGGGGGGTGCCTCCCAGTTAGGCTGCTTGGGGGTCAGGGGTCAGGGACCCACTTGAGGAGGCAGTCTGCCCGCTCTCAGATCTCCAGCTGCGTGCTGGGAGAACCACTGCTCTCTTCAAAGGTGTCAGACAGGGACACTTAAGTCTGCAGAGGTTACTGCTGTCTTTTTGTTTGTCTGTGCCCTGCCCCCAGAGGTGGAGCCTACAGAGGCAGGCAGGCCTCCTTGAGCTGTGGTGGGCTCCACCCAGTTCGAGCTTCCCGGCTGCTTTGTTTACCTAAGCAAGCCTGGGCAATGGCGGGCGCCCCTCCCCCAGCCTCGTTGCCGCCTTGCAGTTTGATCTCAGACTGCTGTGCTAGCAATCAGCGAGATTCCGTGGGCGTAGGACCCTCTGAGCCAGGTGTGGGATATAGTCTCGTGGTGCGCCGTTTCTTAAGCCGGTCTGAAAAGCGCAATATTCGGGTGGGAGTGACCCGATTTTCCAGGTGCGTCCGTCACCCCTTTCTTTGACTCGGAAAGGGAACTCCCTGACCCCTTGCGCTTCCCAGATGAGGCAATGCCTTGCCCTGCTTCGGCTCGCGCACGGTGCGCACACACACTGGCCTGCGCCCACTGTCTGGCACTCCCTAGTGAGATGAACCCGGTACCTCAGATGGAAATGCAGAAATCACCCATCTTCTGCGTCGCTCACGCTGGGAGCTGTAGACCGGAGCTGTTCCTATTCGGCCATCTTGGGTATATCCCCTCTCTCTGTTCTTAAGAGTACATTCTCTCTATTGATCTCTCTCAAAGTTTGATGATTTTTTTTTCTGCCACTTCAAAGCTCTCTTGGGCAACTCTAGTAAATTTCATTTTGGTTACTATATTTTTTAACTCCAGAATTCTTATTTTTAAGTTCTGCAGTACATGTGCAGGATGTGCAGGCTTGTTACATAGGTAAATGTGTGTCATGGTGGCTTGCTGAACCTATCAACCCATCACCTAGGTATTAAGCCTGGCATGCATTAACTATTTTTTCTGATGCTGTCTGTCTCCTGCCCTCCCCTGCCAGGCTCCAGTGTGTGTTGTTCCCCTCTTTGTGTCCATGTGTTCTAATTGTTCAGCTCCCACTTAAGAGTGAGAACATGTGGTGTTTGGTTTTCTGTTCCTATGTTAGTTTTCTGAGGATAATGTCTTCCAGCTTCATCCATTTTCCTGCAAAAGACATGATCTTGTTTCTTTTCAAGGCTGCATAGTATTCCATAATGTATATGTACCACATTTTCCTTATCCAGTCTATCATTGATAGGCATGTGGACTGATTCCATGTCTTTGCTATTGTGAACATACACGTGCATGTATCTTTATAATAGAATGATTTATATTCCTTTGGGTATATGCCCAGTAATGGGATTGCTGGGTCAAATGGTATTTCTGGTTTTGAGTCTTTCAGGAATCGCCACAGTGTCTTCTACAATGGTTGAACTAATTTACATTCCCATCAACAGTGTAAAAGCATTCCTATTTCACCACAACCTTGTCAGCATTTGTTGTTTCTTGACTTTTTAATAATCACCATTCTGACTGGCATGAGATGGTATCTCATTGTGGTTTTGATTTGCATTTATCTAATGATCAGTGATGTTGAGCTTTTTTTCATATGATTTTTGGTCACATGTATGTGTCCCTTTGAGAAGTGTCTGTTCATGTCCTATGCCCACTTTTTAATGTTTTTTTTTCTTGTAAATTTGCTTAAGTTCCTTGTAGATTCTGGATATTAGCCCTTTGTCAGATGGATAGATTGCAAAGATTTTCTCCCACTCTGTAGGTTGTCTGTTCACTCTGATGATAGTTTCTTTTGTGGTGTAGAAGCTCTTTAGTTTAACTGGATATCATTTGTCAATTTTTGCTTTTGTTGAAATTTCTTTCAGCGATTTCATCATAAAATCTTTGACCATGTCTATGTCCTGAACGGTATTGCCTAGATTTTCTTCTAGGGTTTTTATAAATGGGGTTTTACATTTAAGTCTTTAATCCATCTTGAGTTACTTTTTGTATAAAATGTAAGGAAGAGTTACAGTTTTAATTTTCTGCATACAGCTAGCCAGTTCTTCCAGCACCATTTTTTAAATAGGTAGTCCTTTCCCCATTGCTTGTTTTTGTTGGGTTTGTCAAAGGTCAGATGGTTGTAGATGTGTGGTGTTATTTGTGAGGCCTCTGTCCTGTTCCATTGGTTGATATATCTGTTTTGGTACCAGTATCATGCTGTTTTGGTTACTGTAGCCTTGTAGCATAGTTTGAAGTCAGGTAGCGTGATGCCTCCAGCTTTGTTTTGTTTTGTTGTGCTTTTGTTTTTGTTTTTTGTTTGTTTGTTTTTTGCTTAGGATTGTTTGGCTGTACAGGCTCTTTTTTGTTTTCATATGAAATTTAAAGTAGTTTTATTCTACTTCTGTGAAGAAAGTCAGTGGTAGCTTGATGGGAATAGCACTGAATCTATAAATTACTTTGGGCAGTACGGCCATTTTCACAATATTGATTCTTCCTATCCGTGAGCATGGAATATTTTTCCATTTGTTGTTTCCTCTCTTATTTACTTGAGCAGTGGTCTGTAGTTCTCCTTGAAGAGGTCCTCCATTTCCCTTGTAAGTTGTATTCCTACATACTTTATTATTTTTGTAGCAATTGTGAATGGGAGTTCACTCATGATTTGGCTCTCTGTTTATCTATTATTGGTGTATAGGAATGCTTGTGATTTTTGCATGTTGATTTTGCATCCTGAGACTTTGCTGAAGTTGCTTATCAGCTTAAGGAGTTTTTGGGCTGATACTATGGGCTTTTCTCAATATACAAGCATGTTGTCTGCAAATAGAGACAATTTGACTTCCTCTCTTTCTATTTGAATACACTTTATTTCTTTCCCTTGCCTAATCACTCTGGCCAGAACTTCCAATACTATGTTGAATAGGAGTGGTGAGAGAGGGCACCCTCGCCTTGTGCTGGTTTTCAACAGGAATGCTTCCAAATTTTGGCCATTCAGTATGATATTGGCTATGAGTTTGTCATAAATAGCTCTTATTATTTTGAGATATATTCCATCAATACCTAGTTTATTGAGAGTTTTTAGCATGAAGGAGTGTTGAATTTTATCGAAGGCCTTTTCCACATTTATTGAGAGAATCATGTAGCTTTTGTTATTGGTTCTGCTTATGTGATGGATTATGTTTATTAATTTGCATATGTTGAATCAGCCTTGCATCCCAGGGATGAAGCCAACTTGATCATTGTGGGTAAGCTTTTTGATGTGCTTCTGGATTTGGTTTGCCAGTATTTTATTGAGGATCTTTGCATAGATGTGCACCATTGATATCGGCCTGAAATTTTCTTTTTTTGTTGTGTCTCTGCCAGGTTTTGCAATCAGGATGATGGTGGCCTCATAAAATGAGTTAGGGAGGATTCCCTCTTTTTCTATTGTTTGGAATAGTTTCAGAAGGAATGGTACCAGCTCCTCTTTGTACCTCTGTTAGAATTCGGCTGTGAATCCATCTGGTTGCAGACTTTTTTTGTTGGTAGGTTATTAATTACTGCCTCAATTTCAGAACTTGTTATTGGTCTATTCAGGGATTCAACTTCTTCCCAGTTTAGTCTTGGAAGGGTGCATGTGTCCAGGAATTTATCCATTTCTTCTAGATTTTCTAGTTTATTTTCCCAGAGGTGTTTATAGTACTCTGTGATGTTCGTTTTTATTTCTGTGGTATCCGTGGTGATCTCTTCTTTATCTTATTTTATTGTGTTTGTTTCATTCTTCTCTCTTTTCTTCTTTATTAGTCTTGCTAGTGGTCTATCTATTTTGTTGATCTTTTCTAAAAGCCAGCTCCTGGATTCATTGATCTTTTGAAGGTTTTTTCGTGTCTCTTTCTCCTTCATTTCTGCTCTAATCTTAGTTATTTCTTGTCTTCTGCTAGCTTTTGAATATGTTTGCTCTTGCTTCTCTAGTTCTTTTAATTGTAATGCTAGGGTATTGATTTTAGATCTTTCCTGCTTTCTGATGTGGGCATTTCGTGCTATAAATTTCCCTCTAAACACTGCTTTCACTGTGTCCCAGAGATTCTGGTACATTGTCTCTTTGTTCTCATTGATTTCAAAGAACTTCACTGTTTCTGCCTTAATTTTGTTATTCACCCACTAGTCATTTAGGAGCAAGTTGTTCAGTTTCCATGTAGTTGTGTGGTTTTGAGTGAGTTTCTAAATCCTGAGTTCTAATTTGATTGCACAGTGTTCTGAGAGACTGTTTGTTATGATTTCCCTTTTTTTGCATTGGCTGAGAAGTGTTTTACTTCCAATTATGTGGTCAATTTTATAATAAGTGCTATGTGGTGCTGAGAAGAATGTATATTCTGTGGATTTGGGGTGGAGAGTTCTGTAGATATCTGTTAGGTATGCTTGGTCCTGAGCTGAGTTCAAGTTTTGAATATCCTTGTTAATTTTCTGTCTCATTGATCTGTCTAATATTGTCAGTGGTGTGTTAAAGTCTCCCACTATTATTGTGTGGGAGTCTAAGTCTCTTTGTGGGTCTTTAATAACTTGTTTTATGAATCTGGGTACTTCTTTATTGGATGCATATGTATTTAGGATAGTTCGTTCTTCTTGTTGCATTGAGCCCTTTAACATTATGTAATACCCTTCTTTGTCTTTTTTGATCTTTGTTGGTTTAAAGTCTGTTATATCAGATACTAGGATGCAGCCTCTGCTTTTTTTTCCCTTTCCATGTGCTTGATAAATATTCCTCCATCCCTTTATTTTGAGCCTGTTTGTCTTTACATGTAAAATGGGTCTCCTGAATTCAGCACACCAATGGGTCTTGAGTCTTTATCCAATTTGCCAGTCTGTGTCTTTTAATTTGGGCATTTAGCCCATTTACATTTAATGTTAATATTGTTATGTGTGAATTTGATCCCATTATCATGATCCTAGCTGGTATCACTAGTTGATGCAGTTTCTTCTTAGTGTCAACTGTCTTTATATTTTGTTGTGTTTTTGCAGGGGCTGGTCCTGGTTTTTCCTTTTCATATTTAGTGCTTCCTTCAGGAGCTCTTGCAAGGCAGGCCTGGTGGTGATAAAATCCCTTAGCATTTGCTTCACTGGAAAGGAGTTTATTTCTCCTTCACTTTTGAAGCTTAATTTGTCTGGATATGAAATTTTGGGTTGAAAATTTTTTTCTTTAAGAATGTTGAATATTGGTCCCCACTCTCTTCTGGCTTGTAAAGTTTCTGCAGAGAGATCCACTGTTAATCTGATGGGCTTCCCTTTGTAGGTAACCTGACCTTTCTCTCTAGTTTCCCTTAATAGTTTTTCCTTCATTTCAACCTTGGAGAATCGGATGATTATGTGTCTTTGCATTGCTCTTCTCGAGGAGTATCTTAGTTGTCTTCTCTGCATTTTCTGAATTGGAATGTTGGCTTGTCTTGCTAGGTTGGGGAAGTTCTCCTGGATAATATCTTGAAGTGTGTTTTCCAACTTCGTTCCATTCTTGTCTCTTTCAGAGACCCCAATAGGAGATCTGGTCTTTTCAGATAGTCCCATATTTCCTGGAGGCATTTTTTGTTCCTTTTCAATCTTTGTTCTCTAATCTCGTCTTCATGCCTAATTTCAGTAAGTTGATCTTCAGTCTCTGATATCCTTTCTTCTTCTTGATCAATTTGGCTATTGATTTTTGTGTATGCTTCACGAAGTTCTCTTGCTGTGTTTTTCAGCTCCACCACATCATTTATGTTCTTCTCTAAACTGGTTATTCTAGTTAGCAGTTCCTGTAACCTTTTCTGAAGGTTCTTAGCTTCCTTGCATTGGGTTAGAACATGCTCCTTTAGCTCAGAGGAGTTTGTTATTACCCACCTACTGAAGCCTACTTCTGTCAATTCATCAAACTCATTTTCTGTCTAGTTTTGTTCCCTTGCTGGAGAGGAGTTTCAATCATTTGGAGGAGAAGGGGCATTTTGGTTTTTAGAATTCTCAGTGTTATTGCTCTGTTTTTTCCTCATCTTTGTGGATTTATCTACCTTTGATCATTGAAGTTTATGACTTTTGGATTGGGTTTCTGAGTGGGGGTTCTTTTTGTTGATGTTGATGTTGATTTCTGTTTGTTTTTCTTCTAACAGTCAGGCTCCTCTTCTACAGGTCTGCTGCAGTTCGCTGGAGGTCCACTCCAGACCCTCTTTGTCTTGGTATCACCAGTGGAGGCTGCAGAACAGCAAAGATTGCTGCATGCTCCTTCCTCTGGAAGCTTTGTCCCACAGGGGCACCAGCCTGATGCCAGTTGGAGCTTTACAGTTTGAGGTGTCTTCAAACCCTGTTGGGAGGCCTCTCCCAGTCAGGAGGCACTAGGGTCAGGGACCCGCTTGAGGAGGAAGTCTGTCACTTAGCAGAGATTGAGCACTGTGCTTGGAGAACCCTTCCTGTCAGGATCAGCTGCTCTCTTCAGATCTGGCAGGCAGAAAAGTTTAAGTCCACTGAAGCTGCACACACAGCTGCCCCTTCCCCCAGGTGCTCTGTCCCAATTAGATGGGAGTTTTATCTATAAGCTCCTGACTTGGGCTGCTGCCTTTCTTTCAGAGATGCCCTGCCCATTAAAGAGGAATCTAGAGAGGCAGTCTGGCCACAGCTGCTTTGCTACACTGTGTTGGGTTCCACTTAGTCCTTAGCACTGTGAGGAGAAAACCCCCTACTCAAGCCTCAGTAATGGCAGATGCCCCTCCACCCACCAAGCTCAATTGTCCCAGGTCGACTTCAGACTGCTGTGTTGGCAGCCAGAATTTCAAGTCAGTGTTTCTTAGTTTGCTGGGCTCTGTGGGAGTGGGATCCACTGAGCAAGACCACTTGGCTCCCTGGCTTTAGCCCCTTTTGAGGGCAGTGAATGGTTCTGTCTCGCTGGGGTTCCAGGTACCACTCAGTTGGAAATGCAGAAATCACCTGCATTCTGCGTTGGTCTCAATGGGAGCTGCAGACCAAAGCTGTTCCTATTTGGTCATCTTGCCAGCAGCTCCCTTGATTGTTTATTTTTAAATTTTCACCAGTTCAATAGATTTTTCACAAAGGAGAGTGTCTGGTGATCTCCTATTGCCATTCCAGAGGTCTTGTAGGTGTTTCAGTTGAGTTGTTAATAAATGTGCAGGGGAAGGGAGCAGGATAGCTGACTAAAAGCTAGTGTGAACCACTCTCATGGAGAGAAGAAAGAGTGGTGAGTAATTACTAGATCTTCAACTGGAACATCCAGGTGAACACATTGGGATTCATCTAGGAAACAACTTGACCCATGGAGAATGAAAAGGAGTGAGAGACAGAATGACTGCCCGCCAGAGAATAACATAGAGCCAGGAGAGGCTTCTTCACTATGGAGAAATAGTGAGTGAGTAAGAGTCCCTGGGAACCCACACTTCTGCCATGAACTTTTCCAACCCTGGTGTCAAGTAATCCCCCTGTGAGTCCATGACACCAGGGCATTCAGACTGACACAGAGAGCTACATGGTGTCTGGGCAGAGTTGCCACTCAGGCACACAGATTCCCAGGAGCCTTGAATCCCTGGGTAGCCTGGCATTAGCAGCTGCAGCTCTTGCAGCAGGGAAAGTCAGGATCTCTCGCATGTCCCCCCAAAAAGGGCCAAATCCAGGGGGCTGAGAAGCAACAGACTGCAGGCTTTGCTTCCTCTGCATCTTATATAATAAGACTTACTGGCCTCTGGGTCTCTAACCACTCACCATCTAGTCTCTCAGGCCAGTAGGAACTCTACCCTTCCCTAGAATGGAGTTCCCAGAATGAGAAGATGTCTAGCACTCCCTTCTGCTGTAGCCTTCAGGCTCTAGTGGTAATTACAGAGTGACTCAAATCTCCAGCACAGCAAAACCGTCTTATGGAAAAGTAGCTGGACTATTTTTTATGCAGCTCCCTGGTCCCACTTCTCCACATGGGGTGAGACTCCATGACCTGGTACTCCAGCTACCACCCACTGGGGCTTTTGGGCCAGTAGCAGCTCTGCACTTCCTTGGGATGGAGATCCCAGAGAGAGAGAGAGAATGGCTGCCATTTTTGCTGTATTACAGCTTTTACTGCTATAGCCTTCATGCTCTGGAAAGCAAGCAGTGTTTAGGGAGTGGTGTGGAGCCCTTGCACAGCATAGCCATCCCACGGAAAAGTGGCCAGACTGTTTTCTATTGGGTCCTTGATCCCACTCCTCCTCACTGGGTGGGACCCTCCAAACTGAGACCCCAGCTGCTTCCCGCTGGGGCTCTCAGGCTGGTAGTAACATCGTACTTCCCTGGATTGGAGCTCCCAGAAAGAGAGGCCAGCTACCATTTTTTACTGTCTTACTGCCCCTGGCGCTATGGCCTTCCGGCTCTAGCGGTAAAGAGTGGTGCAGATCTCCTGTATAGTGCAGCTAATCTATGGAAAAGTGTCCAGACTGTATCTTATATGGGTCCCTGGTTCCAATTCTCCTCACAGGGTGGGACTGCCTGACAGAAAACTCCAGCCACACCCCACTGGGGCTCTTGGACCAGTAGCCACTTTGCACTTCACTGGGACAGAGCTCCCAGAGGGAGAGGCTGGCCACCATTTTGCTGTCTCACAGCCCCTGTTGCTATAGCCTTCAGGCTCTGAAGAGTACACTGTGATTAAGGAATAGTATGGTCCCCTGCACAGGGCAGCCATCCCACAGAAAAGTGACCAGACTGCTCTCCACATTGGTCCCTGTCCCTGCTTCTCTCCATTGGGTGGGCCCTCCCAACCTAGGATTCCAGACAACTACCCTGCCTCCACCTGAACACTTCAGTCAGAAGGCAGCTCTGCATTTCTATGAGGAAGAAATTCCAGGGAAAACCCACAACCCATCTGCCATTGCAGCTACAGTAGTACCACCCTAACCACCTTTGGGTAGGGAAAGGAACAAAGGGGCTGGCTTCTATGCTGGCACCTCCAGCATAACACAGACAATACATAGAGAGGGGTCCAGTCTCTCCTCCCTGTGAGCCTCTACACCCCACCCTTCACCAGACAGGGTCCCCAGCTTGGGACCACAGAACAGTCACCTCACTTCTTACTGAGCATACCCACTGGTAGTGGCTCTATGTTTCCCTGATGTGGGGATCCCAGAGGCAACTGACAACGCCCCCCACTCCCACCAACCACTGCCATAACCAAAGTTCTGCTCCTGCCGACTTTGGTCTGGGAAAGAAACAAGCAGCCTGAGGCTTTCACCCAAGTTTATAGCACACCATAGTTATCATATGGAAAAGAACCCAATCTCTTATCCTTGTGAGCCTTCAGCTCTCTGCTCTTCAACAAGTGGAACCCCCAGCTTGGGCCACCAGAGAATCTGCTCCACTCGGTGGCTGCACATTTCCAGTAGCAGTGTCTCTGTTTTTCTCTAAGATGGAGCTACCAGAGATAACTGAAAGCCCTCTGCCACTGCCACTGCAGTGGTACTGTCCTTGCCACTCTCGGACTGAAGAAGGAACAAAGACGTTGAGTGCGTTATCCACAATTCCAGCAAACTGCAGTTGCCCTAAGAAGAAACAACAAGTCTATTTTATCCAGGACCCATCCACCTCCCCGCTATTGCTGCCAGGCAGCCCCCCAACCCTGCTTGGGTACATTGCACAGCTGTCCCATTCAGAGCTAATCACACTGATTAATAGCAGCTCTACATCTTTCTGGGGCAGAGTCACAAGAAACAAGTGAAAGATCCTCTGCCCAAACCACTGCCAAATTTCCTTCTCCTGTTACTCCCAAGCAGGGAAGGGAATATAGAAACTGATTTTGCCCCAGAGCTGTGGTGTGTAGCCCAGGCATGCCAAGACAAGACCTGCAGTGTGGAAGAGGAGCCCACACTTTCAGATCACTGACAGAAAGCGTGGCTACAATTGTGAAAAAAATACCTAGGACCCAAAAGACTGAGAAAAAGCCTAACTACTAAGTCTAAGCACCACCTACTTGAGCACAGCCCAGAACATCAACACAAAAAATACTTTGCTAATATACCATCATGTAAAAACAAGGACAAGTATTCAGCTACAAGTAAACACTCTGAACAAAGCCTCTGCCCTCTGAAAACATTTAGAAAAGAAGTC